>NC_000001.11:179548223-179851253 GCF_000001405.40 Homo sapiens | reverse complement strand
CTTAGCAAAGACCACCAAGAGGTAGAGACAGAAGGTCCAGAAAGTGCAGATACAGGTGATAAATCAGAAAGTCCAGATGAAGCAAATGTGGGGAAACATCCAAAGGATAAAACAGAAGATGAGAACAAGCAGAGTTTTCTGGATGGCGGAAAAGGGCATCACCTCCCTTCAGAAAATCTGGGTAAAGAACCCTTGGATCCAGATCCCAGCCATTCTCCAAGTGACAAGGTAGGAAGAGCAGATGCACACTTAGGGAGCAGCTCTGTGGCCCTCCCTAAGGAAGCGAGTGACGGAACTGGAGCATCTCAGG
This sequence comes from Homo sapiens, assembly GCF_000001405.40. Lineage (NCBI taxonomy): Eukaryota > Metazoa > Chordata > Mammalia > Primates > Hominidae > Homo > Homo sapiens. The sequence goes on along the minus strand of NC_000001.11, from coordinate 179,850,943 downwards.
AACCACCTACTACAGACTCCCAGGAGGCCCAGAGTCCTGGTCATTCCAGTGCAGGGCAAGAGGGTGAGGATACACTGAGGAGGCGACTGCTGGCCCCAGGTAAGAGAACCCCCTGAACTACTCTCCTGTTTTGTACTGCTCTGTTAACTGAGAACACAGCAGAAGTCAGAGGCCTTCTTTCCAGAGAACTTTTGTCATCTTTCATAGGAGTAAGGCCTTTGGGCCTTGCCCAAGCTCACACCAAGCCATGACTGAGTTGATTTTAGAATGAGGTTTCTCATCTAGGCTAGCTCATTCCACTATATTAAGTTGCTTCCTACACATAAACTGCATTTCTAAGCATGTTTTTATTAACTGTTTATATTAATGTGATATGACAAAAAGGGGCATGACTTTTAAAAAATTCGCTTCTGGTTTTTTATTTCTTATGAGAATATTTCGACTTACAATTTTTAAAATCTTTTACTTTTTGGGAAACTAAATGTTACATAAATCAAGAGATGGGTATATTTAAAAATGAGCATTAATGGGACAGTATCCTTAACTCAGTCATGTTTCAGTTTTATAGGACTTTGAGTAAGACAGTTAGTTTCTCTATACGTGGTTTTTTCTGCCTATATGTTAAGAGGAACAAGCATGTCTTCCCTTATGAAGCTAAGCGTTGCAGTGTGCTAAATCCTTAACTGGAACTGGAGGTGTGAATTCTAGTTGTGGCCCTACCACTTGCTGACTTGGGAGACCTTGGGAAAATCTTCCCTTCCTGGTGCTTCAATTTCCTGTTTGTAAAATGAAGAAGTTGGACAAGATGATATCCAAACATTCTTCTAACTTTCACCTTCTGTGATTGTCTGTGTGGGTTTGTATTTTATAAGCACTCTGAAGAGCTCAGTCTGAAATGCCCATTTGCCAGTGCAAAAGAATATAAAATATAAGATGTTCTGTTCATCAGGGACTTCAGCAAGGGCTAGTAATTCATGTTTCACTGCAAATCAATGACTAATCTCAAATATATGTTTTATTTATTAATCATTAGAATAATCTGTAACTTCAGTGAAGGCAAGGACTGTGTCCTCTCATTCATTGTGTATCTCTGGCACCTGGCACATAGAAACACCTTTATGAATTTTGTCAAATGAATGAATGTGATCTGTAAGGACCATGACCTGCGTCAGAATTTCACTGTTATAAACTAGGTGCAATTACTTACACCTCTAGTCCCAGTTACTTGGGAAGCTGAGTTGGGAGGATTGCTTGAGCCCAGGAGTTCAAGCCTGCAGTGTGCTATGATCACCCCTGTGAATAGCCACTGCATTCTAGCTAGCCTGGGCAATCTAGTGAGATCCCATCTCTTAAAAAAAAATTCACTGTTAGGCAGGTTCACTGTGAGTAGAAAAAATATTGTTTAAAAAAATCTAGTTTAGGCCAAGGGTGGTGGCTCACTCCTGTGATCCTAGCACTTTGGGAGGCCAAGGCTGGTGGATCACTTGAGGCCAGGAAGACCAGCCTGGGCAACATGGCAAAAACCCATCTCTACAGAAAACACAAAAACAGCTGCATGCACCTATAGTCCTCAGGAGGCTGAGGTGGGAGGATTGCTTGAGCCCAGGAGGTTGAAGCTGTGGTGAGCCGAAATTTCAGCACTACACTCCAGCCTTGTTGACAGAGTGAGACCCTGTCTTTAAAAAAAAAAATGCAGTTTATGTATGGAAAGCAATTTAATATAGTTGAATGAGGTTATCTATACTCTAAGAGATGAGAAACTTTGTTTTCATCTCAACTTAGCTATATCTCTTTTTTTTTGTTTTTTTGAGATGGAGTCTCACTCTTTTGCCCAGGCCGGACTGCAGTGGCGCTGTCTCGGCTCACTGCAAGCTCCGCCTCCCGGATTCACGCCATTCTCCTGCCTCAGCCTCCCGAGTAGCTGGGACTACAGGCACCCGCCACCGTGCCCAACTAATTTTTTTTTTTTGTATTTTTAGTAGAGACGGGATTTCACCGTATTAGCCAGGATGGTCTCGATCTCCTGACCTTGTGATCCGCCCGCCTCGGCCTCCCAAAGTGCTGGGATTACAGGCGTGAGCCACTGCGCCCAGCCAGCTACATCTCTTTATGTGACCTTGGGCAAGATCTTTAATATCCCTGGACCTTTTTTCATGATAGGTTAAGTAATGGGGCCGGAGTAGGTGTCCATTATAGATCCTTTCAGTTCTTAGATTCTATGATATGATATTTTAAGAACCTACTCTTTGGGGTGATAGGAACAATCCTTTATAAGTGAAGATGATCCTACTCATCTATGCTAATAGAAGTACCTGGCTGGGGTTAAGCACAAATTTAGATTCTAGTGTGATTTAGCTTAGAGTGCTAAAAATTGTTGCCCTTCTTTTCACCCACATATTTTAAGCTTGGCATGCCCTCCCTACATCTGGATTTTTACATATTTCGTGAATTTTCTTCACCTTATATTCCTTGCTTTGTATATCTCCTTCACTAAGAGTTTCAAATTTGCTTCTGTAAGCTATTTTGCAACTGTACACTAATCTCTCCTATCTTAGAACTTAGTGCCTCTGTTATTTTTATATTCGGGGTCTTGAGGAACCATGTGAAACTCGAACACTGGAATTAGAGCACAATTACCCTGTGAAGTTGAATCTTGTGTACAGCCAACATTTCTTAAATCCCTTCTTGATTTTATACATTTTGCTGAATTACATTTTAGGTAAGTTTGGCCGCACTATTTAAATGTCTTTGTCTTTGATATAAGAGGCAGTAAGGAATTGTGAATATAGCAACATTATCCTTGAATGAATTTCACAGTATTTCATTTTATCCTTCTAAGTAGAATAAAAGTAATAGTCTTAAAGAAAAGACAGGAAAAATGTTAACTTTGGTTTTTTTTTTTTTTTTTTCTGAGATGGAGTCTTGCTCTGTCCCCCAGGCTGGAGTGCAGTGGCACGATGTCGGCTCACTGCAACCTCCACCTCCCAGGTTCAAGCGATTCTCCTGCCTCAGCCTCCCACGTAGCTGGGATTACAGGCGCCCGCCATCATGCCCGATAATTTTTGTATTTTTAGTAGAGACAGGGTTTCACCTTGTTGGCCATGCTGGTCTCAAACTCCTGACCCCAAGTGAGCCACCTGTTTCAGCCTCCCAAAGTGCTGGGATTACAGGCATGAGCCACCGTACCTGGCCAAGGTATAGAAAGCCTTTTAGTCAAATCATTCTTTGGTTTGGTGAGAGATATAAAGGTATACATACTGTCATTAGTGTACTGCCTAAAAATAATATTGATTCTTTTCCTCTCCAGAGGCTGGAAGTCATCCACAACAAACACAAAAATTGGAAGAAATTAAAGAGAATGCACAGGACACCATGAGACAGATTAATAAAAAGGGTTTTTGGAGCTATGGTGAGAACAAACCTGGTTTTACTGCAGTGTTGATTCACTTTCAGAAATCCTCAGTGAAAATGCCTAGAAAACTAGCAGATTTAAACAGTTTTAACATTGTGTTTATATATACTTATTTAATGATTGGTAGTGAGACATAGTAAAATAGTACACTAGAGTTTTAGGGATTTTTCCCTTACGGGTGCTGGCTGATATTTTGCTGTGCTTAACAAAATGGAATTTCTCACAATAGGAAAGGCTTTTCCTAAACAAGAAACAAAAACTGCCTTTCTAATTAGAGAATATTAATTTTTCAAGTGCACTTTAAAGTTATGACTCCTAAAAAAATGGTCGGCTATAGGTAGTAGGTGCATTGAGAAGATGAAAAAAAATCTTGATCACTCATGTCTAAATTACATCATTAGTTATAATAACAAATACATAGACTCAGCTTTTACCTTTTATTTTTAAAAATTTTTTACCGAGTACTTAACTCTTCCACGTAGCTTTTATCTTTTAACAGATATATCTTCAAATAATTAAATCTGAGAAGAGATTAGAGAAAAGGTACTTCTGGTGGATTGAAAGTTTAAACAATTTATGCAAAAGAAACTTATTGCTCCTAGTAAAACCTGCTGGTATCTCTGCCTCATTTCAGTTTACCACAGGCTTTGTTTCTGGCTCGTGTTCTCTGTAATTTTCTATTCCTTTTTCATTCTTTTGACAGGCCCTGTGATTCTTGTCGTCCTGGTTGTGGCTGTTGTGGCAAGTTCTGTGAATAGCTACTATTCCTCTCCAGCCCAGCAAGTGCCCAAAAATCCAGCTTTGGAGGCCTTTTTGGCCCAGTTTAGCCAATTGGAAGATAAATTTCCAGGCCAGAGTTCCTTCCTGTGGCAGAGAGGACGGAAGTTTCTCCAGAAGCACCTCAATGCTTCCAACCCCACTGAGCCAGCCACCATCATATTTACAGCAGCTCGGGAGGGAAGAGAGACCCTGAAGTGCCTGAGCCACCATGTTGCAGATGCCTACACCTCTTCCCAGAAAGTCTCTCCCATTCAGATTGATGGGGCTGGAAGGACCTGGCAGGACAGTGACACGGTCAAGCTGTTGGTTGACCTGGAGCTGAGCTATGGGTTTGAGAATGGCCAGAAGGCTGCTGTGGTACACCACTTCGAATCCTTCCCTGCCGGCTCCACTTTGATCTTCTATAAGTATTGTGATCATGAGAATGCTGCCTTTAAAGATGTGGCCCTGGTCCTGACTGTTCTGCTAGAGGAGGAAACATTAGAAGCAAGTGTAGGCCCAAGGGAAACGGAAGAAAAAGTGAGAGACTTACTCTGGGCCAAGTTTACCAACTCTGACACTCCCACCTCCTTCAACCACATGGACTCAGACAAATTGAGTGGGCTGTGGAGCCGAATTTCACACCTGGTACTGCCAGTCCAGCCAGTGAGTAGCATAGAAGAACAGGGGTGCCTTTTCTAAAGCTAAGCACAGAGTTGGTTACAGAAGGTATATGTTTATGAAAAAGTTTGTTTAAAGACCTTCCATTTATATGGAAGGAGGTTGATAAAATAGCTTGAGGAAATAGCCTGAAAAACAAAGATGAGCTTATTTTAGAAACAAGTTTTTATTTTTTATTCCTTGTAAAATCTTTCTAATCTAAGCCTTGACAAAGCTAAAAATTAACCTGACTTTTTTTCTTTGGACCAAATCAGGTTTGAAATATCGATGATATATATGAGAATTTTTTTTAAATTCTAAAATATAGCAACATTGCACAGGAAGATACTCTTACTTCTTAGAGTAACTACAGAGTGATTTTTTTTTTTTCTTGAGTGAGACTCTGAAGAACCTTTTCGATAATGTTTGGACTTGGACTAAAGCAATTAGAATTATGAAGCAATGATAACCTTTAGAAAATTTTTCTATCACATGTTGAATATTTTCAAACCTTACTTTAATAATCTAAAGTTACGGGATTATATCTTATATTAATTTTGCAGTTTTGAGTAGTATGATAAAAGAAATAAGAATTCAAACCATTAAGTACCTACCTAAATACTACATGTAAGGCACTGTGCTTTTATTTCATTCAGCTGAGGTATAAGCAGCTGTACTCAAATGTTCTTAAAAATGAGAACCAGTGGGGAAATTGTTTATAATCATTGGAAATGAAGAAATTCCAATTGGCTATATCTTTACTTCAGCTTTTCTTGAACAATTTACAGCATTGATTTTCAAACTGTGTCTACTGGCACCCTTCCCCTTTGTATCAGAGCAGTTCTGCTTTTAACTGTTTTATATGTTGGGGTTCTCTATGAGATTTCATTGGAACAAAGAGTTTCACTGATATTCGAGTTTGAAAACCATTGATTAAGTGAAAAAACATCTTAGAAGATAGGAAATATGTTTAAAAAATGAATGTATTAAATCTTATGAGTAGGAAGATGAAATACAGGTTTATTGTATAGATACATTATTTATGAAGGATAAAGATCTATACATGAACAGCAGAATGTATAAGCTAGCATTTACTAGCATGTCTCTGATGCTTTTGTTCATTTCTGTTAATCGTCATTTCTGTCCCCTCTGCATGGAATTTTATACTTGTCTAGGGTAAGAGTTTGTAGACTCTTTCAGCAGAACAGATTTTAATAACCAATTTATTTGTTTTATTTTAAAAATTTATTTTTGAATAACCAATTTAATAGTAAATTTTATATGAACATTTGGCATAACTTTACCAGTTTATTTCTATGCAGTGATGGAACATTATGTAATGCAGCTCATTTCTTGACCAACTAGTTATAGAAGTACCATTAGGTTAAAAATTAGAGAAATCTAAGAGATGTTATACTTAGTGAGAGGAAGCAGAAATGGTGGGTAGATTCTCAGAGGTTTTGATGTTCAGTACTGACGGACCATGTTCTGTGATTGTAAGAAAGATTGAAAACAGTTTGTATGGAGATAGAGTTGATTAGCATTTGAGCTCTGAAAGCAGAACTCTAGTAAAATGATCTCGACCTAACAAAGGGTCTGTTCCATTATATAGACTATTACCATAATCCTGGATTATTTCAACTGGGTTTTGGCCTCTCCATTATATGAGATCATATGTATATAGCTAAGAAGTCTGATTAAAGTATGGAAAGATTTTAGGAAACACTAAGAAGATACAGGGATCTTTACTGATACCTAAAAAGATTACAATTGAGTAATTGCTCAATTGAGTGTAGGGGCATACCTGAAGGAAGAATTTGCATTTGGGACTTCGAAGGAAGCTTCCAAGAGATTTGGGAAGAGACCTGAACAAAAAGTTAAAGCATGGTGAATGTGATATCACTGTCAATCCAGTATAAAAGCAGAGGAAGTTGAAGGAAAATCTGTATCCCATATGCACATTTTTTCTGTCTTTTTAGATCTTAGATGCTAGCGTTACATCCACAAAACCAGTGTTGCCTTGTATAACTATTATATTGGCCTGCTGACCTGTGCTACCTCAGATCTGTCAAGGAACCAGTATGTCGCATATTCTTGTTTCTTCATTCAGTTGAATATGGTTTTTCATCATTTCTCTTCAAAATAATTTAGAAAAATAAATTTCTAAAGTCATAATTTTTAATTTAGCCTTTTTAAAAACATTTTCCCTTCCATGTATAGTGCAATCAATTGAGGGTGTTGTCAGTTTTCTGTCTGCTATTTCAAAAGTCTTTTTTTTTTTTTTTTTTTTTTGAGATGGAGTCTCACTCTGACTCCCAGGCTGCAGTGCTGTGGCTTGATCATAGCTCACTGTAGCTTTAAACTCCTGGGCTCAAGCAATCCTCCCACCTTAGCCTCCTGAGTAGCCGGGACTACAAGTGCAGACTACCACACCACTCTACCACACTATTTTGTATAGAGACAGGGTCTTACTGTGTTGCCTAGGCTGGTCTTGAACTCCTGGCCTCAAGTGATCCTCCCACCTCAGCGTCCCAAAGTGTTTGGATTACAGATGTGACCCAATGCACCCAACCAAACTTCTTTTTTTTTTTTTTTTTTTTTTGAGAGAAGGTCTTGCTCTGTCACCCAGGCTGGAATGCAGTGCAGTGGCACAATCTCATCTCACTGTAACCTACACCTCCTGGGTTCAAGTGATTCTTGTGCCTCAGCCTCCCAAGTAGCTGGGATTACAGGCATGCACCACAATGCCCAGCTAATTATTGTATTTTTAATAGAGACGAGGTTTTGCTATGTTGTCCAGGTTGGTCTCGAACTCCTGGCCTCAATTGATCCGCCTGCCTTGGTCTTTCAAAGTGCTAGGATTATAGGCACGAGCCACTGCACCTGGCCTCAAAAATCATTTTTAAAAGAAGCAGTATATTAGCTCTGGGTCTTCTCATGACTAAAATGACTATTTTTAAACATAAGACCATATTTTATAAATGTACAGATAATTCAAATCTATTATCTAATGTATTAGGTTAATTTCTATTTGTTCTATACTTTTTTTTTTTTTTTTTTTTTTGAGATGGAGTCTTGCTCTGTTGCCCAGGCTGGAGTGCAGTGGTGCAATCTTGGCTCACTGCAAGCTCCGCCTCCTGGGTTCATGCCATTCTCCTGCCTCGGCCTTCCAAGTAGCTGGGACTACAGGTGCCCGCCCCGACACCTGGCTAATTTTTAAAAAAATATTTTTAGTAGAGACAGGGTTTCACCGTGTTAGCCAGGATGGTCTCGATCTCCTGACCTCGTGATCCGCCCGCTTTGGCCTCCCAAAGTGCTGGGATTACAGGCGTGAGCCACCGCACCCGGCCTATTGACATTTTTTAAGGTTTCAGATTTTCTTTTGTGTGTCTAGTAATTCGTCTTTTATTGTCAAAGATAATTTGCTTATTTGACTTAGAAAAATGATTTGTGGGCATACAATATTGTATGTGGTACCTAAACGTTGCCATTTAGTTACTCTTACAGAACAACTTTCATTACACTGTATATTAATATAAATTACTTCTTGAGTAATCCCAGAATTGTAGAACCAATTGGTAGAATCAGAAACTGTCTTTGGACTTGAGGTTTTTCTTCCCTTAGGGTAAATTTTAGGTTTTCTGGTTAGTTTCCAGGAGTTGGCGGACAAGTTCATATCACTAAAGGTGTTCATATCACTAAAATAGTAATGCTAATTTGTTTCATATTTCTATTTTAAAAAGCAATCAATAAAGACATTTCAATACATTTCATTTGGAAGCCCCCAAGTGTATGGTGGTTAATAAGGCTCAGCATGCTGGTAACCCACCATTCTCTTAGCTAGTGACTCCACTAAATAGTGCTAGCCGCTGAGATGGTTTTGACCCTTTAACAGCCTTTTTTTTTTTTTGAGACAGAGTTTCACTCTTGTTATCCAGGCTGGGGTGCAATGGTGCGATATCTCGGCTCACTGCAACCACTGCCTCCCAGGTTCAAGCGATTCTCCTGCCTCAGCCTGCCAAGTAGCTGGATTACAGGCACGTGCCATCACGCCCAGCTAATTTTTGTATTTTTGGTAGAGACGGGGTTTCCCCACGTTGACCAGGCTGGTCTCGAACTCCTCACCTCAAGTGATCCACCCGCCTCGGCCTCCCAAAGTGCTGGGATTACAGGCGTGAGCCACCGCGACTGGCCTACACAGCTTTTAATTGCTTGATTTATACTTTATTAAAGAGAGGAAGCACAATGAGCAGTGATACTAAAATATAACTAATATGGCATGTGAAAGTGATCATTATTCAGATGATCTTCACCAACACTGCATTTGCATATATCTGACCAAACTTTATGCGACATAGGCAGGTCTCTGGCACTTCAAAAATGAATGTTAAATAGAAAATAATAAATAATAGCTGATTAGGGTAATCATTTATTTAATCAGAATAAAGATTATATCCATAAAATTTACTTGCAGAGAAGTACTTTCTTTTTGTTTTAAAGACAGGGTCTCACTCTGTCACCCAAGCTATGGTGCAGTGGCACAATCACAGCTCACTGCAGCCTGGACCTCCTGGCCTCAAGGGGATGATCCTCCTACTTCAGGAATTATGCCACCATGCCCGGCTAGTTGAGAAGTACTTTCAAATAGCAACATGAAGCCTTTCCTTTACCATTTGAAAATAAAACATAGTTGTAAACATAAACCAGTATGTCTTTGTAAAGCCAATAATATATCATTTTATAGGAGCATTGTCTTCTTGTGTTTTTCAAGTTGACTATGTAGTTCAATGTCAGTCTCCATTTTAATATCTTGTTTGTTTATCAGCCTGAGCATATTTCATTTTAAAATGTATTTGTTGAGAAGTCATGGTGGTTTTTTGTTTTTCACAAGTCAAGTAGCTTGAACACTATCACTTGTCCAATGGGAAAGTTGATGCTTATCTTTATGGCAAATGCTTGGTTGAATAATATATTTGCAAAGATGTTAATTCTACAGAGAGCTAAATAAAGTTAAGATACCTGTAAAACAGTTTCTCCAGATGACTTTAAAATAAGCCTTATTTTTGTAAATTTATGTTAAATTTTAGGTGTTAAGTTGTGAAATACCTAATGATGTGGGCCTAAATTTGCCTCATTCAGACTGAGACAGGGCTGTTAAAATTCATTTCTAGCTAATAAACTGTGCTATAACTTCTTTATTATTATTATTATTATTATTATTATAGTTTAAGTTCTGGGATACATGTGGAGAACATGCAGGTTTGTTAACATAGGTATACACGTGCCATGGTGGTTTGCTGCACCCATCAACCCGTCATCTACATTAGGTATTTCTCCTAATGCTATCCCTCCCCCAGCCCCCCACCCCCTGACAGGCCCCAGTGTGTGATGTTCCCTGCCCTGTGTCCAAGTGTTTTCTTTGTTCAATTCCCACCTATGAGTGAGAACATGCGATGTTTGGTAAACTGTGCTATAACTTCTGTATCTCTATAGGCCAATCCAAATGGCCTGAGAACATAATCAGTATCCCCTAATCTGCAAAAAGGTAAATACCTTAGTCTTCAGTACCTTTCCTTCCAGTATTATCTGCATTATCTGTGCCCGCTTGCTGTGATGTCTTGAAAAGCCCATAAATTGGTTCTTATTTTGGCAAATGGTCTCCTGCTTTTCCTCACTGAGGCTTATAAACTAAATTTGCCTTTGGCTAAGCGCAGTTACATGAACCAAAAAGAACATTTTAGACTTGGGAAGCAACAGGCTGAGTCACATTGTATGGGGCAGAGTTGGCCAAGCCCCCGGCAGTCACAGCCCTACTCTCTGTGTTCCTTCTAGGCCTGAGGACGCATCAACACAAAGCTCCAGGCAGTTGCTCCTGGTTCATCAGAGAGCACAGGAAATTTAAATCTATTTGCCTTTCCTGTCATAAAAGAAACAGCACACTGACTTTCAAACTCAATTGCATTTTGCTTATTTGTGCTTAACAAAAAATATGTGTGCTTTGCCAATACTAACGTCCCACTTCTCTGCACTCCCTTTCTGTATAACAGGGATTGCTTTTGTATTTGTTTCTTATAGATGCTGATGATGTGCCTTATTCAGATTAGTTGGCCATTACCAGAATAAAGAATAAATCTGAATTTTTTTCAGCGGACTGATTCTTGATTAAATTTCCCAAAATAGCAGGTTTATAGAAATGGGCATGTGGTGATTAATGGTGGGAAAGGAAACTGCCCTCATATGGCAGTAAGCTGAGGAGCTAGAGAATCCTGTGAGGGTTGTCAGGTGGCATTTTGTGGCCATCAGTGAAATGGTATAGGGCAGACCCTGCCTAGAATCTGTTGCAGCTCTTGGGTAGCATTCTTCGAGTGCTATTCCTACTTAACGAAGCTTTCCTGAGTATGGGAGAAACATTGGGGTTGTAAGTAGATCCCTGGGAATTGCTGCTATCCCAGGGTGTGCTGTTGTGAGTGTGTGTGTGTGTGTTTTGAGACAAAGTCTTGCTCTGTTGCCCAGGCTGGAGTGCAGTGGTGCAATCTCCCCTCGCTGCAACCTCCGCCTCCCAGGCTCAAGCAATTCTCCTGTCTCAGCCTCCCAAGTAGCTGGGACTATAGGCACAGGCCACAGTGCTGGGCTAAATTTTTCTATTTTTAGTAGAGAAAGGGTTTCATCATGTTGTCCAGGCTGGTCTCAAACCCCTGAGCTCAGGTGATCTGCCTGCCTCGGCCTCCCAAAGTGCTGGGATTACAGGCGTGAACCACCACACCCAGCCTGTGAATGTGGTTTTTTTTTTTTTTTTTTCGAGACGGAGTCTTGCTCTGTCGCCCAGGCTGGAGTGCAGTGGCGCGATCTCGGCTCACTGCAACCTCCACCTCCCGGGTTCATGCCATTCTCCTGCCTCAGCCTCCCGAGCAGCTGGGACTACAGGTGCCCGCCACCACGCCCAGCTAATTTTTTTGTATTTTTAGTAGAGACGGGGTTTCACCGTATTAGCCAGGATGGTCTCGATTTCCTGACCTTGTGATCCACCCACCTCGGCCTCCCAAAGTGCTGGGATTACAGGCGTGAGCCACCGCGCCCGGCCGAATGTGTTTTTTAAGTGTGGATATCCCTTACCTTATGTGTTGGGAGTGGGGGAGGTGGGGGTGTGTTCAGAATTTCTGCCTTAAGATGTTGCCAAACCAGAATTACAGAGCAGAAGCACCTGAATACCCATCTCAGCCCCTCACCCACCTTCTCCCAGCTTCCTGCTCGGCCCACCCCCATCCATACCCAACTAAAACCAAAGGTCTTATTAACACATTTTATAGAAACATTTTCTAACAAATCTGAATTGAATTTTGAAAATCTGAAAGACTTGTTTTTGCAGTTTAGAAAAATAGGAACTTTGGGAGTTACCATATCTTAACATATGAGCTTTCACTGAAAAGAGCTAAAGTCAAGCGATAAGATGAGCCTGAAGGCAAAGAACACAGAATTTCCTAATACTCATTCCACAAACGTCAACAGTAGATTAGCAGCAACGAGATTTTCTTAATGCATAAACTCACCACTAGAGGATATTACATACTAGTGTTCTACCGTACACTAGAACAGGCCTCAATACTGATTAATAAGGGAGTGAGTGGCTATGAATTATTTAGTTGCTGTAGGAATTGTCATTTTAAACAGGATACAATAAAAATGATTTTAAGTCTGAAGTTGCAATTCGAGTCATAGAATGTTTGGTGCAGAAGCAGCTCCATCAAGCTAAACAGAAAAGATCTTAGCTATTGGTCCAAGGTATTATCTACTTTAAGAAAAGGAAATGAGTAGGCAGATCGTATTATGTATATGTTTAGGGCACTCATTACTGTGGAATCTGCCCACATGACTTTAGGGCTCACAGAAGGCCCCCATACACACACTAAAAATGAGACACTAGCCAGGCGTGGTGGCTCACGCCAGTAATCCCAGCACTTTGGGAGGCTGAGGTTTGTGGATCCTTTGAGCCCAGGAGTTTGACACCAGCCTGGCCAGCATGGTAAATCCCTGTCTCTAAAACAAATGCAAAAATTCGCTGAATGTGGTGGCACATGCCTGTAAGTCCCAGCTACTCAGAAGGCTGAGGTGGGAGGATCACCTGACCCTGGGGAGGTGGAGGCTGCAGTGAGCCATGATTGCACCACTGCACTCCAGCCTGGGTGACCGAGTGAGACCCTGTCTTAAAAAAAAGGCCAGGCGCAGTGGCTCATGCCTGTAATCCCAGCACTTTGGGAGGCTGATGTGGGCTGAGCATGAGGTCAGGAGTTCAAGACCAGCCTGGCCAACATGGTGAAACCCCTGCCTCTACTGAAAATACAAAAAGCCAGCCGTGGTGGTGGGTGCCTGTAATCCCAGCTACTCTGGAGGCTGAGGCAGGAGAATTGCTTCAACCCAGGAGATGGAGGTTGCAGTGAGCCGAGATGGCGCCACTGAACCCCAGCCTGGGCAACAAAGCAAGACTCCGTCTCAGGAAAAAAAAAAAGACACTTTGTCTTTTTGACCTATATCTGACACTTTCTAGGATCACTAATTCTTAAGTATACAAATCAATGTTTAAGATAAACCATTAATTCAGTAACATCTTTTATTATCATACTGAGAGGTGACAGCGTGCTGGCAGCCCTCGCAGCCCTCGCTCGCTCTCGGCGCCTCGTCTGCCTGGGCTCCCACTTTGGTGGCACTTGAGGAGCCCTTCAGCCCACCACTGCACTGTGGGAGCCCCTTTCTGGGCTGGCGGAGGCCAGAGCTGGCTCCCTCAGCTTGCAGGGAGGTGTGGAGGGAGAGGCGCGAGCGGGAACTGGGGCTGTGCGCGACAGTTGCTGGCCAGCTGGAGTTCCGGGTGGGCGTGGGCTTGGCGGGCCCCGCACTCGGAGCAGCCGGGCGGCCCTGCCGGCCCCAGGCAATGAGGGGCTTAGCACCCGGGCCAGCGGCTGCGGACGGTGTACTGGGTCCCCCAGCAGTGCCGGCCCACTGGCGCTGCACTCGATTTCTTGCCAGGCCTTAGCTCCCTCCCCGTGGGGCAGGGCTTGGGACCTTCAGCCTGCCATGCCTGAGCCTCCCCCACTCCGTGGGCTCCTGTGCTGCCTGAGCCTCCCCCACTCCGTGGGCTCCTGTGCTGCCTGAGCCTCCCCAACGAGTGCTGCCCTCTGCTCCACGGCGCCCAGTCCCATCAACCACGCAAGGGCTGAGGAGTGCGGGCGCACGGCGTGGGACTGGCAGGCGGCTCCACCTGCGGCCCCGGTGGGGGCTCTACTGGGTGAAGCCAGTTGGGCTCCTGACTCTGGTGGGGGACTTGGAGAACCTTTATGTCAAGCTAGGGGATTGTAAATACACCAATCAGCACTCTGTATCTAGCTCAAGGTTTGTAAACACACCAATCGGCACCCTGTGTCTAGCTCAGGGTTTGTGAATGCACCAATCCACACTCTGTATCTAGCTACTCCAGTGGGGACGTGGAGAACCTTTTTGTCTAGCTCAGGGATTGTAAATGCACCAATCAGCCCCCTGTCAAAACAGACCGCTGGGCTCTCTGTAAAATGGACCAATCAGCAGGATGTAGGTGGGGCCAGATAAGAGAAAAGCAGGCTTCCCGAGCCACCAGTGGCAACCCGTTCGGGTCCCCTTCCACACTGTGGAAGCTTTGTTCTTTCGCTCTTTGCAATAAATCTTGCTGCTGCTCACTCTTTAGGTCCACACTGCCTTTATGAGCTGTAACACTCACTGCAAAGGTCTGCAGCTTCACTCCTGAAGCCAGCAAGACCATGAACCCACGGGGAGGAAGGAACAACTCCAGACGCGCTGCCTTAAGAGCTGTAACACTCACTGCGAAGGTCTGCAGCTTCACTCCTAAGCCAGCGAGACCACGAACCCACCAGAAGGAAGAAACTCCGAACACATGCGAACATCAGAAGGAACAAACTCCGGACGCGCTGCCTTTAAGAACTGTAACGCTCACCGCGAGGGTCCGCGTCTTCATTCTTGAAGTCGGTGAGACCGAGAACCCTCCAATTGCAGACACAATATTACATGAGATGCCGTTTGAAGCTTTCACCTGGAGTTGGCACATCTCTGAAACTCCAAACACATAACAATAATAGGTAAAATATTTCAAGGAAAATTTTAGAAGACAGAGCTAGGCTCAAAAACAAGATGCATCTTTGAGGATCAGAAACAGAATAAAAACTCCCAAGTGGTGAGCAGGGCTGAAGTCGCAGGCCTACTGGACCCTGCATTTGAAGTCAGACAGGCTGCTGGCGGCTTGGAGCTACGAGTTCTCCACGTGAGGCTCACCAGGTTATGTATACAAATTGCTTGTTAGAAGCCCTGCAATATTGGTATTGTTATCTGCAAATATTCAGTGATTAGTTTTCACACAGCCTTTAAAAAAACATCTTGTTTGAATGTCTTATATAAAGTATGCTACAAGTCAGTTTCATAATTTTTTTTTTAGAGATGAGCTCTATGTTGCTCAGGCTGGACTCAAATTCGTGGGCTCAAGTGATCCTCCTGCCTCAGCCTCCTGAATAGCTGGAACTACAGGAGCACAGCCCTGAGCCTAATTTTTTTTTTTTTTTTTTTTTTTTTTTTTGAGACAGAGTCTCGCTCTGTTGCCCAACTAGAGTGCAGTGGCACCATCTCAGCTCACTGCAACTTCCGCCTCCCAGGTTCAAGCGATTCTGCCACCTCAGCCTCCCGAGTAGCTGGGACTACAGACGCATGCCACCATGCCTGGCTAATTTTTTGTATTTTTAGTAGAGACGGGGTTTCACTGTGTTAGCCAGGATGATCTCGATCTCCTGACCTTGTGATCTGCCCGTCTCAGCCTCCCAAAGTACTGGGATTACAGGCCTGGGGCTCTGCATCTGGACAAAGTTGACATTTTTAATACATCTTTACAAAATGTGAAGAATTCCTAATAGGACTTTTTTTTTTTTTTTAAGACTCATAGCCTAAACAAAGTTAAATACAGTTTTTAAAGACTATTCTGTTAAAAGTACCCTAAATAATCATATGAAGATGATAATTATGTCTAATTTTTTGTCTGCTTTGTATTATTTACATTTTAATATGTGGTGTTTGTTTGAAAAATAATCTAATATTTTTCTAAATATATCTCAATGTTAATGACTGCCAATTTATTTCCTTATTTTCAGGTTCATAATAATTTTTGTACATAAACTTTCTTGATCATAAATTATTGCAGCATTTTATTCTTGCAGTAATAACTGTTTATTAAATTGAATGGTAGATTTTTAATGCACACAAGGTGATTTCCACTTCAAGTTACATTATAGACTGCATTTATATATTTGAAAGTGAATATTCAAATTTAACAAATCAATGACATGCTTCATTTGAATTGCTATAACTGTTCAAACATAGTTGATTGAGAATCCATCTTTTCCTCACTGATTTGAAATGCCACTTTGTCACATACTGGATTCTCATATGTATTTGTGCTTATTTTCTGAATGTTCTATGCTGATCCATTGACCTGGCTGATTAGGCATAAGTACCACACAGTTTTAATTATTGTGGCTTTAATATCTGGTGGTGGCTCATTTTTTTTTTCTGAATTTTTCTAGCATTATTACTTATTCTTTCAAATGAACTTTAAAATCACCTTGTCTAAAAAGTAAATATTTTTCATAGGATTGCATTAATTTTTCTAGTGATCTGGTGGGAAATTGGCATCTTCATGACATTAAGTCTGCATATCCAAGAAGCAAGCAAACTCTGTTCTGGGTAGCTTTGTTTTTATGATTTTACTATGGCTGGAAGCAGCTAGAAAGTGTTGTGTCTCAAATCTAAAAACCCACATCTGGTGAAGTTCTAAGTTTGTTTAAAATACCAATTCTTTTTCATAGTCAAATATGAAAGATGAGAATGGATTATCTCTGCTTCCCCTATTCCCTCCAGCACTGTGAGATTTCCTTCCATTTTCTGGAAACAAGGAATCTTTATTCATCTTTGGAACGACTCAATTCACTGAGGACCCTCGCGGAGATAAACAGTGCCTGAGTTGCTTCCTAACTGCCATGGTTTTCTGTGAAAGGAAACCCCTCTCTACTGGATTATCTTACAAATGATGTTGAATAATAGAAGATCTGTGAAAATATTTATTCCTAGAATGAGAATATAAACACCCTCATACCAAAGCCACTGGTGGTCCTTAGTTCTTCTCCAAGTATTCCTAATTCTGTAATCCTTTTGTCTCCCGACTTTTTTGCTTTCTGTAATCTTGGGTATGAGGCTACACATTCAATTTGCAAATATTTACCGAATACCCACATGTGCCAACAACTGAGTTGAACATCAGCTATCCTAATGACATACGGAGAAAAAAGCCCCTCGTATGGTTTGGGTGAATATTTCCTTCCACCCCAAGGTTTGTAACCTTTGAATAGGATCCTCCCTCTTTTATCTATGGGAAATAGGACTAAGAATATATAGTTTGGGAGGATGTCCTTTTTTGCTGACAATAGGGTATCCATAAGCAATATGCTGTTCAAAGTCTCCAAGTGGATCAACATTTTGAGACTTTGTAGCAGCATGCTTCGAAGAGGATACAGGAGGAGAAACCAGCCCTGCATTAGAAATAATTAATCCACTAGGCCCTATGGGTCATTATCTGCTACTCATTGCAGCAGATAATGATATTCCCAGCTGTGATTTGGGCTGGTTGTCCCCTGACAAATTTTCATGCACAGAACCCAGGTCAAAACCCAGGTAGAAAGAAAATGCAAACATGCCTCTCATCTGAGGGGGTGACCCTTTCAGGCCCAATGGGGATGCAGCAGCTGTTTTGCAGAAGGGTCTTGAAGAGATGAAGAGCTGTAGTCTGATGGGGAGTAAAAACTGGGTGAAGACCATGAGCAGGGTTTTTCTTTTTTCTTTCTTTCTTTTTTTAGACAGAGTCTAGCTCCGTCACCTGGGCTGGAGTGCAGTGGGACGAACACAGTTCACTGCAGCTTCGACCTCCCAGGCTCAAGCAATCCTCCCCCCTCAGTCTCTGGAATAGCTGGAACCACAGGCATGCACCACCGTGCCTGGCTAATTTTAAATTTTTTTTGGCCTGGCGTGGTGGCTCACGCCTGTAATCCCAGTACTTTGGGAGGCCAAGGCAGGTGGATTGCCTGAGGTCAAGAGTTCAAGACCAGCCTGGCCAACATACTGAAACCCCGTCTTTACTAAAAATACAAAAAATTAGCTAGGGGTGGTCGTGGGCGCCTGTAATGCAAGCTACTCAGGAGGCTGAAGCAGGATAATCACTTGAACTCAGGAGGCGGAGGTTGCAGTGACCCAAGATTGCACCATTGCACTCCAGCCTGGGCAACAAGAGCGAAACTGTCTCCAAAAAAAAAAAAAAAAATTTTTTTTTTTTTTGTAGAGATGCGGTTTCACTACTTTGCTCAGGCTGGAGTGGCTATTTTTCAGACAGCATTTAGTCCCCATCATTTTGCCTTACCTTACTTCCTGGTGGGCAGCATTGCATGTAAGTTTTTGTCACACAAAACACTAAATAAAGACTAGAGAGATGGCTTGTTCTGGTGCATAGACAACCTTTTGCAGAGGAAGGATGAGAACCTGTAGATTTACGTAGTTGTTTTGATTAACTCTCCATCCACCAGTCCCAGCTGGTAGCATCAATGAGCAGGAATTTTCACAGTCATCTGGAGAAAACACACCATATTAAAAAGCAAACCAATTTGTTTTATGGGGGAAGGGGTTCACAGATGCATTTGGGAAAAATTAGCAAATGGTCCCTTGCTTACCATCTTCACTCTTTTCTTTTTCATCCCGAACATCAAAGTCGTTCAGTGGTTTTGAGATCACATGTTCCACTTAATGTTTAAAGCAGGTGCCAATAGGAGGAGTAGAAACATCCCTGTGAGGAAAACCACAACTATGCCTTGTTATTTGAAATTTGCTCTAGTTTCACATTCTTAAAATGTTAAAAACTGGAGTGAGAACTGGCTTGTTTGCTGAGGTGATGCTGAAGCATGACGGTGGCCCAGTGAGCTGTGGCTATCTGGGAGGTGAAGGTAGTTTTGTTGAGTGGTGCCTGCTGGGTTTGATTCACTACGACGGCCACCTGCAGCTGCCCCGCCAAGGGGTGCCAGATTCCACCTTCTCCTCATCCTCAACACTGCCTTGGGCTGGCTGTGATCTGGCCTCATGGCTGCAACCACGACAGTGCTGTGACAGGGCTTTGGCTCTGTTAGCCATGTGGGGTACAGATCCAAGTGCCCCTGTGGCCAAAGCCTGCTACATTTATCCAGCTCCTGTAAACACACTTTCTTGTAGAATCACAAAGATGTAGGAAGTCCTGCATCTTCCATCTGCTTCTTTCCCATCCTGTAGCCACTCCTGGGTCTCCTGTTTTAGTCCCTGTGTGGTTCCAGTGTCTAAGAAATGAACGCATGGGAGTTATAACCCCTTTTTAAGTATCTTCTGCCTACGTATCTTGCGTAGCTCAGTCTTTTTCTTCCCTTTTACAACGAGGTAGCAGGTGCTTGAGTTTCTGAGAGGAATGAGAAGGGCAAATGCAAACCCCTTCCCTTGAGCCTTTGCAGCTGGTTGACTCAATAATAGTTGCTGAGTGCCCATGGGTCAGGCTCTTCCAGGGCTGGCTTTGCTCTGTAATGAACACCTTGCACTCCAGGATTGTTTGATTATCCTTCAAAACTGGACACACCCTTTCCTGTCAGATGGTTTCTGTGGTCATGCATTGAGGTGGAGGTGGATGTGATGACCTCTGACGGTCCTTCTAGCCCTAGAACTCTGTAATTCTAATGGTCAGGAGCATATCTTAGCATCTGTCTTCTTTCTCCTCTTATTGCTTTCATTTACCACATTATTTCTGTCTACCTTCTCAAGACTGTAGCCTTTCACCTAGCACATCCTCTGTATATCTGCATCCATCTCTGGTTGAATTTCAGTTTGTAACCACCAGACCAGTCTTATCTGGCCCTACTCTGTGGATAACAGAACGGCCAGTTATTTTGCAGACACAGAGCTAAGAAGTTGCAACTTACGCAGCCAGGGCATGCACAGAAAAGAAAACTTCGACCTCAAATGACACTGGGAACTAAAGTCTTTTCCCCAACCATGGAACTAAACGTTTGGGACTTATGTGGAACCTGAACACTGGAACATTTTCAAAAGTGGGGGGTCAGTTGTCTAGGAATTTCTGGTGATAAGACCCCTCCCCATGCCTTACCAAAAGTCGTCTCATTTGAAGTCCTTCCAATCAAATCCTGCCCTGCCAGCACTTTCACATACCAACCAGTCCTTCCTAACCCATAAAACTTGCCCCAAAACCCAGATATGGGAGGCAGATTTGAGTTTTGCCTGCTGTCCCCTTAGCAGTTGACCTCAGAACAAAGCCTTTCTTTTCTTTTCTTTTTTTTTTCTGAGATGGAGTCTCACTCTGTCGCCCACGCTGTAGTGCAGTGGTGTGCTTTCGGCTCACTGCAACCTCCACTTCCCGAGTTCAAGTGATTCTCCTGCCTTAGCCTCCTGAGTAGCTGGGATTACAGGCACCTGCCACCACGCCCAGCTAATTTTTTGTATTTTTAGTAGAGACGGAGTTTCACTATGTTGGCCAGTCTGGTCTTGAACTCCTGACCTCGTGATCCACCCACCTTGGCCTCCCAAAGTGCTGGGAATACAGGCATGAGCCACCGTGCCCGGCCAGCCTTTCTTTTCTCAAAGCCCAAAGCCATAGTATTGGCTTCTCTGTGTGTCGGGCAGTAAGCCCATTGCTTGGTAGCAAGTCTGTCTTCACTGTCTAAAAAATGCTTTGATCAATAGCTCCCTGCCCCTCCTCTAGTGATCTAGACCCATCCGTAGTAATTTCACTCTTTTCCCGAGGACAAAGTCTGGTGGGAAAGAAACACTGAGGCTAACATCAGCTTCCTAAAGTCATGATTCCACATTTGGCAGGCAGATGGACCCACCAGTCTCTGATTATGGCCAGTCTTTGAACACCTGACTCCACTTTCTACCTGCAGTCTCCACTGTAGCTTATTTTAGTCTCAAGCAAGTAAATACCTGGGAAGGTTTAGTAGCTCACCTGTGAAAATACATGTTAATTTTCCACCCTGGAATTTAATAAGCTCCTTGAGGGCAGGGGTGGCATTTTCATTTTTATTTCTCTAACACCTGACACAAACGTTTGGTGTCTAGTTTAGGTCCTCAATAAATGTTAGTTGAATAAACAGTTTTCTCTCTGTTAACTCTCCTCTCTAATGGCAGTTTTTTCAAAATCCAGGCACGGATTGGGCTTACTGCACACTTCAGCGTAGGAGCACGTCGGTTCACCATTAGAGTAACGGATCTCAGGGGTCAAAGTTGTGGACTCAATCGTAGAGGAAACCACTGGGCTCACCAAGAGAATGATCGTTTCCGGCCCCTTTCTACATAACTTCATGCAACACGGAGACTCCTGAAAGTTGTAGATGAGTTGGATTTCTGAAAATCAAGTTGTTTCGTCTTTATTGAAATGTCCTAGCTTCATTTGACTGGACTTGGGTCACTAATAGGTTTCTTACACTTTGGCTTTGAGTTTCTTTGCCTAGAGGCCTGTAAGTCAAGAAAGTCTAGGAAACAAAAGGGGGCATGAAATAGTAACATGGAATGACTGAAAGGGTCATTTTGCAGATGGGGAAACCAAGGGGCTAAGTGACTGCCTAAGGCCACAGGTTACAGTGTAGACCTGAGCCCAGAACCTAGATCCTGGGCCCAAGGCCACTGGTCTTTCCACTGTGGGGAAACCTTAGTGAGCCAGGGAAGTACAGTATTTACAAGAACCTACCATTGAACTATCTGGGGGTGTGGGAAATGGCTGTTTGCCTCCATATGAGGCTTTCTCAGCATTCTTGTTTTACAGAGTACACCACCTCATCTCCCCGCTTGGAGGTGCATATTGTCTACGGCACCCATAACTGCAGGACTGGCAGCCTGGGAAGGGCCATGCCGGGGGCTGATGGAAGCCCTCACTCTGGCGCTCCCTTGCACCTCCCACCCACATGATGCAGAGGTCCGTTGTGCTCTATCCCAGAATCCAAACTGCACCCCGTGTCCCCGCCAGTCCAAGTACTATCAGATATGTCAGCAGCAGGGAAATGCCACTTCCAGGTTTCCAGCTGGGCCTGAGGGGCTTTGTGGAGTCAGTAGCAGAGGAGGCAGGGTGAGCAGAGCCGCTGGGCAGGCACAGCCCAGAAGCAGGGCCTGATGTGCAGCTGGAAGTAGAGGGATTGGCCCTGGAGTCTCCACTGGCTGGGCTGGGAATGGTTCTAGACACTGGTCTCAGGCTGGACAGATGCGTGTTTGTTCCCCATGCTCCTGCGCAAGGGGCAGAGCTACAGTTGCTACTGATGTACCAAGAGGCTGACTGTCCTCAGTGTGTCCACTCCAGGAGAGAACCATGGCCTCATGTGCTTGCAGCCCTGCCTGGCCACTCAGGGTGCTTTACGTTGCTGCAGTGCTCTTGGTTTCATGCCACTGCCTTTGGGAGACAGCAGTGTCTGTGGATACCTCTCTGGACCTGGATACCCAGGTCAGTCAGCAGCTCCTGAAAAACCTGCACCTGAAAAAGTCCCAGCCCTGACCTCCAGACTGCTGCCAGTGGCTCTAGAATCCTACCTTTCACAGCTGGACATGGAAGCAAGAAGGGTGGTGGCACCATATTGGGTAAGTTGGCTTTGGGGAGTTTCAGTCTGGAAGAATCTATAAATGACCAGCTAGTTTTGTTAGGTTGGTCCCGATTGCTGTGTAATTCCCAAAAGGGAAGAAGCTCAGAGAAGCAGGGAGAAAGAAACTGAAAACTCAGATGCTACCAAAGGAGTGTGGCTTTGGTTGTTCAATACTTCGTGCTCCAGATCATGAAGCTGATGAGGAAAGCCCTGGCAGGTCTCCGAGTGCTCTGAGGTACAGGTCCGAGCAGACGCCCCAGCTCCAAGTCCTCAAATTACCCCGTTTGTTGCAAATGGACTGTGGAATCATTTTCCCCAGGAGTTCAAACTACAATCTTACTAAACCTCTGCCATCATCATGTGCTTGGGTGTAAATGAAGCCCCAGTATTTAATCCTCTTAAAGCTTGTAACCTAACAGGATGTGGAGGAATTGAACTCTGGGACACTGTTGGTGGGATCGCAAAATGTTGCAGCTGCTGTGGCAAACGGGATGGGGATGGTGGTTCCTCAAAAAATTACAAATAGTATTACCACATGATCCAGCAACTCTACTTCTAGGGACAGAAGTAGAATTCCCAAAAGAATGGAAAGCATGGTCTCAACAACAATGTATTTCTTTTCTTTTTTTTTTTTTTTGAGATGGGATTTCCCTCTTGTCTCCCCGGCTGGAGTGCAATGGCGCAATCTCCTCTCACTGCAATTTCCGCCTCCTGGGTTCAAGCGAGTCTCCTGCCTCAGCCTCACAAGTAGCTGGGATTACAGGTGCCCACCACCACGCCCGGCTAATTTTTGTATTGTTGGTAGAGACTGGGTTTCACCATGTTGGCCAGGCTGGTCTCGAACTCCTGACTTCAGGTGATCTGCCCACCTCAGGCTCCCAAAGTGCTGAGATTACAGGCATGAGCCACTGCGCCTGGCTCTCAATGATGTATTTCTACACCCATGTTCATAGCAGTGTTATTCACAGTAACTAAAATGTGGAGGCAACCCATTTATCCATCCACAGATGAATGGATAAGTAAAGTATAGCATACATACAATGACATATTATTCAGCCTTAAAAGGAGGGAAATTCCGACCTGCCACATGAGATGAGCCTTGAGAACGTTATGCTGAGTGAAATAAGCCATTCACAAAAAGACAAATACCGTATGATTCCACTTATGTGAGGCACTTAGAGTGGGCAAAATCATAAAGGCAGAAAGTTAGAATGGTGGTTGCCTGGGGCTGGGGGTTGAGGGAATGGGGAGCTTTTGTTTTATGGGTATAGAGTTTCAGTTTTGCAAGATGAAGAGTCACGGCAGTGGATGGTGGTGACGGTCACACATTATGAATGTGCTTGATACCACTGAACTGCTGCCCACTTAATGGTGAAGGTGATAAGCTTTATATGTGTATTTTACCACAGTGAAAGACATTGAAAAGAAAAAAAAAAACCCTCCAGCCTATGAAAGACAGGAGTGCATCTGGTTCCTTCAGCTGGCTTTGGCTGGCTGTAAAGCGTGTGCAAGGCCTGTGTTGGGTGCTGGGGCCAGTGCAGTGGGGAATCCAGCCTCAAGGAACAACCTGTCCGCAAGGGAAAATATAGGGCATGCCAGATACCAGCAATCCAGCAACACGCGGGGAGGTGGAGAGAGGATGTTTTGCTTATCCAGAAAAGGGAGTGATTGCTTCCAGGGGCCTCAGGGGAATAAATCATAGAATCCTGGACAAGGTTTGAAGGACAGGTAGGATTTGGGTGGGTGGAGGAGGGTGCATGGGGTCAGAATTGTAACCGAAAACTCATTCCAGGTGGATAGAGAAAATTTCTAGTGTTGTTGTTTTTAAACTATTTGGGGGACTGGCACAGACCCTTTTTGAATACCTGATGGGCTCACATTTCTGTCGAATCCCAGCGGGTTCCTAGACCTCAGGATCATTTAAATGGATCCGTTTGGGTGGGGTTCAGGGCCAAGGTCTGGCGATGCCAGGAGTGTATGCCTGGTTTGTTCCCTCACCCCTACTCCTGTGGTCAGTGCTCCGCTTGCTGGGACATCCTGGGACCACGAGGAGATGGCCCAGTGCAGCAAGGCCTGGAGAGAAGGCTGTGGGGTCTACCCCAGTGAACAGCTTCTGCCTGGGGACCTGTGAGTGGTCTGCCCCGAGGCTTCTGCCATCCATCTCCTCAGCTGGCACAGCCCAGGACCTCAGTGTGCTCACAGCCTGGGAGGAAGGAGGCCAGGCCAGGCCGCATAAGGCTGAGCCGCCCACCCCACCACTGTTTCCTTTGCCCTGCGCCTTCCCCCTCCCAGGTGTCTCACTGCCTTCTCTCCACTTTGGTCTCCTCTAGCCCTGCTTCGCTCACGTCTCTCCACTGTCTAGATCCCCTTTCTTTTCATCTTAAAATCTGCTGCCTGCGTGAACCGCCCCAACGTGTCCCCCAGGACAGGCTGTGAAGCTGCATTCCAATCCCTTTATATTTGGAGTTCCTTGAAGTCAGTGTTTGCTTAGGAGATTTCAACTTGGGGAAAGAGAAGGGATGACCCCTCATCATCCTGCCTACCTACAGATTTACTGAGCCCCATCCTCCCGACAAGATGAACCTACTTCCAGGCCTTGCTGACATACAAAAATTGAACATATCTGTTAAAAATAATTCAAACATGAATGGTTCCAGAGTTTCTGCTTGGAGTGATGAAAAATCTTTGGAGGCCGGGCTCGGTGGCTCATGCCTGTAATCCCAGGACTTTAGGAGGCAGTGAGCCGAGATCACACTACTGCACTCCAGCCTGGGCGACAGAGTGAGACTCCATCTCAAAAAAATAAAAAACAAAAACAAAAAAAATTCATACAATATGAACGAACCTGTGCCAGCTGCCACTGTTTTTCACTCTAGCCTTCTGCCCTTGACCTTGTGGGGAGAAAATTGCTCAGCAGTTGGAGCATAGCAGGCCCTTTGCCTGTTGAAAGCCCCCAGAGAGGCTCAAAGGGAGCCAAGTCCCTGTTCCAGAGCAGGAAGGCATGGCATGTCCTGTCCTAAGACACGCAGGATGTGCTGAAGGCCGCTCTCCACTAACAAGGCATCCTTCAGGGCTCAATGATCACAGCAGATACCTCCGTCGTCTTGCCCCTGCGGGAGAATACGCAGAATGCACTCAATTCTCAGGTGGGGTTTTGTATAATTGTACTCGGAAAAATTTCTTTTTGAAATGCAGACTGACAAAAACCAAAATAACAAGGAGGCATGAATTGAAAAGCCTCATTTCTGCCTCTGTGTCTTCTATTCCTTGCTCCCTCCCAATAGGAAACTATTTTTATTAGTTTTTGTGTGTGTGTCCTCCCAGTTTTTCTTTACTTCCATTTTATATTATAACTTGCATCTTTTGTAAAATTCTCAATTCTTAATTTTTCTCTTTTAGGTTCCTCCTATTCATTCTCACCAGCTCATGACTCCTCCTCTGATGGGGACATGAGGGGCCAGGCAGGGTGGGAGGGAGGCAGAGTTAAGAGAAGGGCGGGGGAGCTGGTGGGAACCCGAGTATCCAGGGGCCTGGGGTTTGGAGTCTTCTAATCATTCTGGAGCCCTTTAGTTTGGGGAAAGAGTTCAGAGGACTTGAATTTCAAAATGTCTCATTAGACCCAGAACAAACATCCTGTTGGGGGAGTGAGTGGTTCTTTGCTAGTTTTAGGAATAAGGATCTAATTCCCAATGGATGGAAAAACTCTGGGTCAAGGCAAAGCCCAGGAGGGCGGTCCCTGCAGGGATGGGTGAGAGTGGATGCAGACCTGGCTTGTACCCAAGGCCTGCACCTGAGTCCCAGACACGCTCAGGTGCCTGTGGCCAGGGCCGGGGGAGCCACGTCGTCTTCTGTCTACACCTGGATGGGAAGGCAACCTCACATGCCTAGTGCAATCTGGCCACCCAGCCTCTGGCCATCCACCCCTGTGGAGACCGGAACTGTCCTCTCCCCTGAGAGTTCAGGGTTGCCTCATCTATCAGCTGTGGCTGGGTTCCCTCTGTTGGTGTGGGGAGAGGGGGGAGTTGTTGACAGGATAGAGAGGAAGTGGGAGGCCAAGCAGTTCCCTGGAGGCCTAGGAGAGGCTCCCTGCAGGGACTAGCCACCCTTGGCAAATGATATCCTGGGAGCGAGGCACCTGGGATTGTGGAGGGGGATTTTCTGCAGGGGTGGCTTCTGCCTTGCTTAGGGCACGGCCCTGGCTGGATGTCCATTTCCTAAGCTTCAGGAAGAGTTCAGGGCTGCCCAACAAATGAGTTTAGAAGCAGAAATGTTATCCTTATGAATAATCCCAGGTGTCTTTATGCTGAATGTATTGGAACATGTTTGTTGGACAATAATTTCACATATTTGGAGAAGGTTGAGCTTTTTATAGCCTGAATGGAGCTGCTTTAGAAGATCTTGCCTTTCAGGGACTAGGAACATGAAGATGACCTCCTGGCTGGGCATGGTGGCTTTGGGAGGCCGAGGAGGGAGGATCACTCGAGGGTAGGAGTTTGAGACCAGCCTGGGCAACATAGTGAGAATATGTCTCTACAAAAAATTAGCTGAGCATGGTGGCACGCATCTGTAATCCCAGCTACTAGGGAGGCTGAGGTGAGAGGATTGCTTGAGTCCAGGAGTTCAAGGTTACACTGAGCTATGATCACACCACTGCACGCCAGTCTGGAGGACAGAGTGAGACCCTGTCTCAATAAAATAAATAAAAATAAATTTTAAAAAGATGGCCTCCATCCTTCCTCTCATCTTCCTCCCATCCCTCTCTCCAGGGCTCTGCCTGCCTGAGAATTCCTGCTTTGGGCCAGGCACGGTGTGGTTCATGCCTGTAATCCCAGCACTTTGGGAGGCCAAGGCAGGTGGAACACCTGAGGTCAGGAGTTTGAGGGGAGGGGCTGAGTGCAGGTGTGGGCATCGGTGCAGTGGCGAGAAGGGGAGAGCCCAGAGGGAACCTTCCTTCCTGATGCCTAAGTAGCCCCTGTGGGGGGCCCTGCTGCCTCCAGATTTGGTTCTGTCTGTACATCCTACTGTAACAGCCAGAGAAATCTAACATCGCTGACTCCATCTTGCTTCTAACCTCATAAGCCAACTGCCTTTGCTCATCCCTACATGCAGGCCAAGCTAATCACAAAAAGCCTGACCAACATGGTGAAACTCCAACTCTACTAAAATACAAAATTAGCTAGGTGTGGTGGGGGAGGTGCCTGTAATCCCAGCTACTTGGAAGGCTGAGGCAGGAGAATCGCTCTAACCTGGGAGGCGGAGGCTGCAGTGAGCCGAGATCACGCCATTGCACTCCAGCCTGGGTGACAGAGTGACATTCCATCTCAATAAATAAATAAATAAATAAATAAATAAATAACCAACAAAAAAAGATTCCTGCCTGGGAAGAGTTAGAGATACCCCTCCCTGGGGTCTGAGCCATGGCCTCCTTAGCTGACTGTTTGGTGGCTAACAGCATACGCTGCTTACCTGGAGAAGGCCTGTCCCTTTGGTTGGGCCCCTGTGCTTGAGGGAAGAGTTCAGAAGATTTTGTGAGGGTGTCAGGCCTCTGTTCAAGCTCAAGTTGTTCAGTTGGATCTAGAATAAAAACTCTCATGACTAAAGTATTAAGGAGCATACTTACAGCTTTTATTTCTTCTAGCAGAAATAGTACTTCTAAAAAGTACGCTTCACTCCCCCTAAGAAAAGGGTCAAGGGGAAAAGGCAAAGGTGCTGAGAGCTGCTTTGAAGAAGCCCTGCTCCACTGGCACCCATGGAAGGGCCCAGAAGAGATGAAGGCAGGTGCATGCAGGTGGTTGGGGGAGCTTGGTGGCGCTTGGTGGCTGTTCAAATCTTGCCGGTCATCCTCCTCCAAGGCTGTCAGTAGAGGTTTGATACTGTTTTATAGAACTGGCAGAATTCAGTCCCCAGAGTTTTATTTCCCTTATTTCAGTTGCCTAGAACCAGGAAAGCTACCTCAGCTCATGTTGAAGTGGAGATAAGTCTGTTCATATGACATTCCCCCAAACAACTTAGAATTACATAGAAGACTTGCCTAAATCACACAGTAAGTAGTGTGACAAAACCAGCACAGATGGTTCCCAGCTTACAATGGTTTCACTTACAAGTTTTTGACTTTATGATGGTGCAAAAACAGTACATGTTCAGTAGAAACCACATTTGGAGCACCCATACAACCATTCTGTTTCTCACTTTCAGTACGTTTTCAATAAATTACATGAGATAGTCATGAGTTTGTCATAAAATAGGCTTTGTGTTAGATGATTTTCCCAACTGTAGGCTAACGTCAGTGTTCTAAGCATGTTTAAGGTAGGCTAAGCTGTGATGTTTGGTAGGTTAGCTATATCAGTTTTTGACTTATGATATTTTCAGCTTAGGATGGGCTTATTGGGACGTAGCCCCATTGTAAGTAAAGCAGCATCTGTGTCTGTCAAATGAAGAGGGGTGCAGCAGGGCTGCAGAGTCAGCTGAACCATTTGTAAGCTGAATAGAGAAAGATAACCTTAATTTTATTTCTTGAAAGTTTATATCCATGGGATGTAAGCGACTATCTGATGGTTAGGGGAATGGAGCCCCCTGTGACCCACAGGTTTGGGTGTGCAGCTGTGCCATCGTCCCTCTTGCTTCTCCGTGGAGCCCGGCAGGACACGAGGGAGGAGGATTCAGAGCAGAAGGAAGGCAGGTCCCTTAGAGCCGGTACTGGCAGGAGCGACAGGCGTGTGGCAGGTCCAGTCCTCCAGGTGGTTCTCCTTTGGTTTCCTAACTGTGAAGATGCAGATGGTGTTCTGCCTGAGCCCGTTTCCTTCCCTCCCTCCTGCACATCTGGGCTTCCTCTCTCCTGCCCTTCCTTCCCCTCTCACCTGCTCAGTGATATCTGGAGTCCCTGCCCACTTCTGGTAGTAGGAAAGCCAGAATGTGTGGCAGGTTCTGGGAGAAGCCCAGTGGAGCCAGGGATGGATGGGCCGAAGAATTTGGGCTCAAGAGGAAGAGCTGGGGGTCTTCTGACTCCTTTCGGAACCAGCTTTCAAACCCAAGACTTGAACTCGAAAGCTAGTGAAACAAGAAGCGCAGCCAGGTGTGGTGGCTCACACCTGTAAACCCAGCACTTTGGGAGGCCAAGGCGGGTGGATCACCTGAGGTCAGGAGTTTGGGACCAGCCTGGCCAGTATGGTGAAACCCTGTTTCTACTAAAAATACAAAAATTAGCCAGGCATGGTGGCAGGTGCCTGTAATCCGAGCTACTCGGGAGGCTGAGGCAGGAGAATCACTTGAACTCCAGAGGCGGAGGTTGCAGTGAGCTGGGATTGCGCCAGTGCACCCCCAGCCTGGGTGACAGAGTGAGTCTCTGTCTCCAAGCAGAGATCTGTGCTCTTAGTTGAAATATGAATGCTCTCCTTCATTCGTTCAGTTTATTGGGGCACATATGAGGCCAAAATGCAGTCATAGGTTGCTGGGAGCATGGGTCCCTCAGTGAGTCACAGGCAGAGTTACTGGCAGAGGTGGGAGGTTCCACACAGAGAGAGAGGTGGACCTGGCAGTAGTGGCACAGGCTGGCCCCAGCTGGCCCCTCTCTCCACCTCCCAACGGCCATCCGTCCTTCATCGCCCGGCAGCTCACTGGGTGGAGAACCAAGTAGTACGAGGGAGGAGGGACTGAGTGCAGGTGTGGACATTGGTGCAGTGGGGAGAATGGGAGAGCCCAGAGGGAACCTTCCTTCCTGTTGCCTAAGTAGCCCCTGTGGGGGGCCCTGCTGCCTCCAGATTCGGTTCTGTCTGTATATCCTACTGTAACAGCCAGAGAAATCTAACATCGCTGACTCCATCTTGCTTCTAACCTCATAAGCCAACTGCCTTTGCTCATCCCTAGACACAGGCCAAGCTAACCACGAAAAGCATTTTGATTACAGTTTAACGCTAGTACTAATGACCACCTCTCTTTTGAAACAGACTCCTGAGGAGATGAGGAAGTGTGCACTCAAGTAACAGTGCTGTCTGAAAGACTTAGAGCAACAAGGTGGATCTGACAAGCAGTTGACCATGAACAAAGAAGTTTTGCAACCTCCTTGGACCCCTGATGACAGCCAGATGTCTGTGGCCTCCAGTCACCTCCAGACCTTCACCCCCTGCATGGTCCCTCTTCCTCTAATATGAAAGAAGCCTAAAAAAATCTATCAATCTAAGTTGGTTCTGGCTGGGCACGGTGGCTCATGCCCGTAATCCCATCACTTTGGGAGGCTTAGGCAGGAGGATCACGAGGTCAGGAGTTCGAGACCAGCCTGGCCAAGAGACCAGCCTGTGGTGAAACCCCATCTCTACTAAAAATACAAAAATTAGCTGGGAGTGGTGGCGGGCACCTGTAATCCCAGCTACTCGGGAGGCCTAGGCAGGAGAATTGCTTGAACCCAGGAGGTGGAGGTTGCAGTGAGCTGAAGATTGTGCCATTGCACTTCAGCCTGGACAACAGAGTGAGACTCCGACTCACAAAAAAAAAAAAAAATGTTCTTTAGGACATTGGTCCTCCATCTTCTCAGTTGGAAGCTCCCAGAAATAAAGTCATCTTCCTTACCCCAACACCTTCTCTCAACTTATTGGCTGTCATGTTGTGAGTGGTAGAGTTTGGACTTGGCTATACTGCTAATGATAGTGGCTACCACATGTGCCATTATCATTAATGTGAGGTGTCACATTGGGACCATAATGCCCACTGTATCCATTAAAATTAAGTGAGGTGTCAGCTCACTTAATTTTTTTTTGAGATGGTGTCTCACTATGTAGCCCAAGCTGGAGTGCAGTAGTGCAGTCTTGGCTCACTGCAACCTCCGCCTCCGGGACTCAAGTGATTCTTGGTGCCTCAGCCTCCCAAGTAGCTGGGACTACAGATGCCTGTCACCTCGTCCGGCTAATTTTTTGTGTTTTAGTAGAGACAGGATTTCACCATGTTGCCCAGGGTGGTCTCGAACTTCTGAGCTCAGGCGATCTGCCCACCTCTGCCTCCCAAAGTGCTGGGATTACAGGTGTGAGCCACCGCACCCAGTCAGCTCACTTAATTTTCATGGAATACAGTGGGCATTATGATCCCAATTTTACAAGTGAGAAAACTGAGAAGGAGAGAGGTCCCCAAAGTTGCCTAAAGTCACACAGTAAGTGGTAGAGTCAGGATTCCAGCTGAAGTCTGCTTCCAAATCCCACCTTCTAACCGCTGCCACTAGACTGCTGTGTCTGCTGGGGTGTTAGGTCACAGGAGAAAAGAGATAATGGCTTTGTGACCCGGGAGCTCCGCCTTCACCTCCTCCTGCCATCCTCAGCATGAGCCAGCTGCATGAGGGGTGCTGTGTGCTGGGCTGGAGGATGGAGCCATGTGCCACTCCCTCCGAGGCACGCTGTGAAGGTGCAAGTGGTGTGTTCTGAGAGGTTGTGCACTACTTGGTTCTCCACCCAGCGAGCTGACAGGCCGGCGATGAAGGAAGGATGGCCGTTGGGAGGGGGAACTGGTGGAGAGAGGGGCCAGCTGGGGAGGAGGGTGGAGGAGTAGCTTGAGTCAGACTGCGGGGGAGGTACTGGCCGTCCTTGTCACTGTTCTTTAGAAAATGCCTCCGTCAGTGCCTGAGGTTCAAGGAGTGTAGGCCGTTTTCTTTCTGAGTTCCGAGCAAATCGAGCTGGGGGACTCCGGGGTATGCTGCCCTATCCCAGGAGTCTCAGTCTTAGGTAGTTTGGCGATCTTCTCCTGTAAATAATCAATAGTCCCTGAACAGCACTTGTAAATTTGAGCGTAGAAAACTGGGTGAGATGTTTTTATGGTGAAAGAAGCTTCTCCTTGAAGTCCCTGCAGAAGCCCCAGGGGCAGAGTGACATGGACAGGTTTTGGGGATGTGGGCTGAATGATGCCATTATGGGGCTGCTGGAATCTGGGGTGCCAGAGCTGTTGGTTGGAAAGCCCCCGGGTATGAGGGCAATGTGCCACTTTGACGACAGCCTCTGCCTCCAACTTTTTTGGGCCTGAACAGTGCGGAGGATGAAAACTTCTCACCCAGCTTTCTACATTCAAGTTTACAAGTGCTGCTCAGGACCCACTGATTATTTCCAGGGGAAGATCACCAAACCGCCTAAGGCCGAGACTCCCAGGATAGCGCAGCATGCCCCGGAGTCCCCCAGCTCGATTTGCTCAGAACTCAGAAAGAAAACAGCCCACACTCCTTGAACTTCAGGCACTGATGGAGGCATTTTCCAAAGAACAGTGACAAGGACGGCCAGCACCTCTCTTGCATTCCTCAGTCTGACTCAAGCTGCTCTTCCACCCTCCTCCCCAGCTGGAGCTGAGGCTGAAGGCAGTTGAGGGCCACCAGGGAGAAGAGCTGGGTCAGGGCCGTGACTTGCCAGCAAGCATGAGGCCAAGCAGATGTGCCGGGTGAGAGGCTGGAGGCCGAGTCCGGGCTGGCTGCCCTGCGGCGGCAAAGGAGATGGCTGGAGGTTGGGATGGATGCAATGATGAGTGTGCCTCAGGGTCTGGTTTCTGATTCCATAGAACAGCTGTGGTGACAGAGCTGTGGCCAACTGCTCCCTGGGCCGAGGGTGAAGGAAGCTGTGCTCCCACTGGTGCTAGGGAAGGCTGCTGCAGGGCTGGAGGCCTGGGTGCTGGACTGCTGGGGCAGGCTGCCTGCTGTACCCCCAAGCTGCAGTCAGGGCTCGCCCTGAGGCCCTGAGGTGGAGAGAGAGCAGCTGTCTCGTACACACCCATGTGCACAAGTGCAGGCACACACACACACACACACACACACACAAAAGACGTTCTCACTTCATCCCCGAATTCTCCCTCCTACACACAAAGCTAGTTCCCAGTTCTCCAGTCCCCCTCCATCCCTCTCCACTTCTGTAGTCTCTGCTGGGCTGCACTGGGGATCTGGTCCCAATTCCCCTCTCTTCCCTTGCTGCCCCTGTAACAAAGGGCTGGCCATGTGACATGATCTCCTCAGGCTTCAGAGAAGTGATTTTACCCTGAGCTACACAGGCAGGAAGACCACCAGCCTGGAAGGTGTGTGTGCAGGGTTGGGAAGAGGGGAAGGGCAGGTAGCAGGGGCCGAGGCCTGGGTTGCCCCACAGGGAAACTCACTATCCTCAGCAGGGCCCTTCAGCCACTTTCCCAACAAACAGCAAATCTCCGCCGATTGAACTCTGACTGAGGCAATGGGGGCATGCCAGGCAACAAGGTGGAGGTTTGCTACCGTGGGAGCAGGGAGAGCGTGGAACACAGACGCTCTGGGTGTTGAAGAGGAGGCTTCACCCTTAAATCCACACCAACAGCCCCCTTCACTTCCCCCGGTGAAGAACGAAGGACCCTGTGGGATTTCTACTTCAAATCTCTCATTTATTCCGACATCCACTCGGTTATGACTCCAAGTTATCAAAGATGCAAGACAAGAAGTCTAGAGCAGGAGTGGTGAAGTGGAGGTGGAGAAAGACGGCGGAGAGGGCTGTGTTCCTGGCCCCTCCTTCTCTTCCAATTTAGGGCACCGTTTGAAAAGTGTACAAGTAGTGTCCCTTAGCACAGACTAGACAGCAGAAAAGGACAGTGCAGTTGAGTGGGGGAAGCTTCCTTTTCCACAGGGTGGGGCCCTGCGGCTGCAGCGGGCAGGCAGGCAATCTCGAGCCTGGTTGGAGACCGTGCCCTGAGCAGCGTGGGCTATGTGGGGAAGAGCTGGGGCCCACCATCTCTCCAGCACCCCAAACCCAGATTCTGATTTGTGGGGCTAGCAGGGCTTAGCTAGGAAAGCGGTAGGAGGGAGGGGATTGCACAGGACGCTTGTACTCAGGGACCCCATCAATCAGGGGCAAGAAGTGGGTGATGGTTAACTGGGTCTTGATTTTTACAAAGGCAGGACGTACGAATGATGTTATTTCTGGCAAGGAGGACACGGCTGCTGTGGTTGATTGGCTGTGGAATTCCAGGGGAGCAAGGCACTAGGAAGTGGGGAACGCTGCCAGGCCCAGCAGCTCATCAGGAGCTTGCACTTGGCCCAGTTAGGGCTGGCCGTGGGACGGGCTTGTTGAAGCTGCTGCCGCCATAAGCTGCCCCTCTGCACCAGGAGACAGATCCCATTACCCCACCTACAGCTGCTTCCTGGTACAAGAGAAGAGTTACCATTTGAAATGACTCCACAGGAGAGTCTGACAAACATGTTTGCTTTTCACTGACAATTAAAATTGTTTTGCTGCTAATCTTGTTTTATTGTGGTCTTTCATCCATCAGCAAGCATCCCTGCACGCAAGATCAGAGTTGGGTAAATACATCCAGACCCTGCCAGGATTAGGGCAAGAGGGAGTGCTCTGGGCCGGCAGATCTTTTTCGGAAATTCTCACTTCTTGGAGCACTAAAGGGTTGTTAGTCTATCTGGGCAAGCCTCGTTTCCCTGGAGAAAATGGAGTCTCAGAGATTAGTGACTGGTCCTAGAGCTAATGAGTGACCAAAGTGTGACCAGAGCCCAGGTCTGCTTCTCAACCCAGGGCACTTTGATTCCAGATTGAGATGTAAGGTGACAGGTGCCTTAATAGTGGCGCAAAAGATGTGCATTCCCCTCTTCCTCCCTCCCCGCTCCCTGCTCCCCCAGCGGCACCCTGACCTTCCTCAAATGCAGAATCAAGATTTCAGCAGGGGGGCCAGCCCTTTCCCTGCCCCACCCTCCTCGAATTCAGTGACTCAGGAGTGGGAAGGGGGTTAGCTATGCCCTTAGAAGGGGGCCAGCTTCTGCAGAGGCCACTGGAAAACTCATCAGGATTCTCACTCACAAAGCCACTGCCACATTCTAAGTAGGAAGTCGGAGTTGGAAATGAGGCTGGTGTGAGACACAATAAATGGCTCATCGCCAGGAAACTGGGGAGTAGGGCGGCCAAGGGAGGGCGGCGAGCGTGGAATCCCAAGGCTAAGTCACGTCCCTCCCATCCTCAGGACTGGGCTGTTGCTCTGGTGAGATGAATGAAGATCCTGCTCCACGGCGTCACAGGTGGATGCTTACATAGAATGCCGGGCTCTGGGGGACTTGACGTGGTTTCAGCCGCTGCAGCATCGCCCCACAGAGATTCTGTGCTCTTCCTGTTCACCAGCCCGCTGTCTGCCATGGGGATTGGTCACGTGTTAACCACCTTTCGTTCAAGCTGTTTCGGGATCAGACTTTTCCTTCTCTGGTACATGGGAGACCTTTCCTCTCTGCAGCTCCTGAATGTACAAAGCCCCTGGTGCCTACCCGTGGTTACTGTGTGTGTGTGTGTGTGTGTGTGTGTGTGTGTGTGTCTGTGCGCGCGCGCGCGCGTGCGTACACCTGGGAACGGTTATGCACACCCTCACAGGACTGCATCCACACAAGCTACTCGGCGTGGTGGGCTGGGCCGAGAGACAGTCAGCTGGTCTCTTTGCTAAGCTACCAGAAGTCGGCTAACAAAATGAAAAAACTTCTCCAGCAGGGGGCGCTGGTTCCTAAGTCAGAGAAAGGATTTCGGGGAACACAAGGTTAGACACTTTCTGGTGCAGTCCCCACAAGCCACCTTAGGCTTTAAAGTCAACTTGACACGTCCCACGAGGAAGGGGGCAGGTGAGATGTGATACGTTCAGGAATCAACGACCCTACGGGAGCAGCTACAGTGACAGCAGTAGCTATGGTAACCAACGTACAAAGCTGGGCTGTGAACTAGCTGTTGGAGTCGTTTCAGCAAGCGCGTCCTGAAGCAGTGCCGTTGACGCCCCGCCCCTCGCTTCTCCAATGCTGGAATTGTAGCTCTCACTTCTCTCCTTGCCCTCTGTCCCCTTTTCCTAGGCACGGATGCTTCATCTCCCGAGGACCCGGGAGGCCTCCTGAGCCTTTGCTGAGCTTTCCCTGGTGCTCCTTTTTGCAGTCCAGCGAATCCAGGGGACTGGGGCACACTGCAAGGGGTTGTGGTGGTGCTGGGGCTGCCAGAGGAGTGTCCCAACCAAGAAACTGGCGAAGCTGCAGACTCGACCTAGCAGTCCCCCACCTCTGGCCCACAGAGTTGGAGCCAGGCCCTGTCTTGGTTCTCAATGCACTCAAAAGCTTAAATCCTAGTAAACCCTCCACTGCGGAGCGAGAAAAGCCAAAGAAACAGAAACAACCCATGTGGGGCTGTTGGAGGGTCATTCATCACCCCCATGGCCCCCGCCAGGGCAGCAGTGTGGGTGTGTGTGCGGGTCGGGGTGGAAGGATTTACACGTCTGTACTAATAGCCCTTGGATTGGTGAAGGCCTCACGCCCAGAGCCTGGCCAGGTCACCGGGTAACTCTGGGGTGCTGCCAATTTGAGGGATGGGGGTCCCCCCTCTTTGTAGTATGTGGGAGCAAAGGAGAGCCTCTCGCCTCCACCCCCATTGGGCACCATGTCAGCCGTCCGTATGTAAAAGGGGGAGCTGTATGGGGAGCAGGTAGTGCAGTGGCTCGCGGCCACCCCACAGGGCTGGCTGCAGGGCTCGCTGGTGAGAGGCGCCAGGCTGCCTCTGCCGTCCAGGGCTTGGGAGCTGCAGGCATTGCAGGTGGGGCCTCTGGGATGCGTGGGAAGGTCGTGCTCCCGCTCCTCCTCCTCGTCTGCAACCTCGGTTCCGCTCTTCTTGCAGCAGTAATACTGTGCGGAAGGGCAGAGGGATGCCTGAGAGGGTGAATGCTCCCCCCGCCCCATGCATTTTTGAGCGTGCACAGGTGCCCCTGTCCCCTGCTCCATGGAGAACCTAGTGCCAGGCACTGAACCCCAGGGGCCTGCTCCACAAGTTTCTAATCCCAGCTTTGCAAGGCCAGTACTGCTTTCCTTTTCCCCTCCCACCACTCCTCGCAGTAACTCCAGGCTGTAGTTGAGCGGGGCAGGGACACACACATCATATTGAGGACAGGGCTGGAGCTGCTGGCGGCAGCTTTCAGAGCCTCCCCAGAATGGTGCTCTTCCCATGCTCCTGAAATCTCAGAGGTGCAGGAGACACAACCCAATGACCCCGTATCTTTCCAGCACACTTTCTGTGTGCTCTGAGTGGGCAGGCTGGGGGGCACTTAGCTCCCTTCCGACCAGCCCCAACTCCCATCCTCCTTGACTTACGCCTGCTACATTCCATAGCTTTGGGCTCTGTGGGCCCTGAAGTCGGCCTCCAGTTTCTGCCCCCATAATGAAAAAGAGGTTTGCTGGTGGCCTGGCAGCCTCTGGCTACGGGTCCCGGGGACTGACCTGGAGCCTGCAGTAGCACAGGACGGCAATGATGCAGAGGAGGATCACCGTAGCTAGGATTCCGCCAGTGATCACAACCGTTCCCGCTGTCATCCGCCCGGCGCCCCATCAAACTCTGCAAAGATGTGCGGAGGGCTGAGGACCAGCTGTGGCTGCAGCCCTGGGCTGGGCCGGGGGGAGTCTTCCTGGAACTGCCCCGAGGCTGGGGCAGGGGGCCTGAGAGCAGCAGGTGCCGGGAGGGCCAGGCCCCAGGGGTTTCCTGAAGGCTGAGGACGACTGTGGCTCCAGACTGGGCCAGCCTAAGTGGGCGAAGTTGAGTACCCAGTTTCAAAAAGTTCTCACGATCTTTCCCCTTTGGTGCTCTTCTCGCCTTTCCTCTCCCGTCACACCCTTCTTAGCTCCCGCTTCTGCGTGGCTGCAGACACAGAGGAACAGCTGCCGCTGATTGCGGGGCTCCTCCCTGTGTGGCATCATGCTAAGCACCCCCACGCATCTTACTACATCCTCGCGATAACCCTTCGGGGCAGTTATTAGCTATCCCTACCGCACGCATGCTGAACGGGGCTGCGAATAATTTGGCTGCGATTCCACCCAGCCCGTTCATCCCAAAGGCTGTGCTCTTGATCCCCGCCCTCTTGGCACACACCCCAGTGGTCCCTGAGCCTTTGGCCCGGGCTGGCGGGGAAAGGGCCACATCTCGAAAACACCAGGTGGCTCTTCTCTGGCTCAAACCAGCACTTCTTTTGGGGGTATCTCTCTTCTCCTTCAAACCCTCCTGGAAAACAAAGGCAAGGCGAGCCCAGAGGGAGTGGTGTGTGGCATTCTGGGCCCTGGAAGGCTGTGGCCAAGCTGGGGAGACTGGTCCTGGCTTCTGAGGCTGAATGAACAGGACAGAGGCAAGCTCTGGGCATGAGGCTGTCATGG
Source organism: Homo sapiens (assembly GCF_000001405.40). Taxonomy (NCBI): domain Eukaryota; kingdom Metazoa; phylum Chordata; class Mammalia; order Primates; family Hominidae; genus Homo; species Homo sapiens. The sequence continues at coordinate 179,812,266 of NC_000001.11, read as the reverse complement.
CTTCAGACAGATTCTCCTTTTAGGTCAGTGAATGGGGATTTCTGAGCCTCCCAGGTGCATTGGGACCAAGGGGCAGGAGGGTGGGGAATGGGAAGTTGGCATCTTGGAGATGGAAAAATGACTACGATCACTTACATTCAGTAAAGGGAACGGCGACCTGCAAGACAACAGAAAGGACAGAGATGTTGGAAGAAGAGAGTTACTCACTGAAAAAGGCCAGAAGGGTTAGATGATTCCCAGACAACCCTCATTTTGCTTTCTTCGCTGTGTGGCATATCATCAGTGAGCCCACAGACCCCAAGTCCAGGTCTCCAGCTGGGTCTCCAGCTGCTAGTAGATAGACATTTCAGTGGATGTCCCAGTGGTCATCTCAAACTCAGTTATGACAGGTTAAAGTCACCACCCTGCTCTCCAAATGGACTCCTCTCCTCCGACCTGTCTGGAGGCTCTGTTGGTGGCTCCACCAGAGCTGTCCCGAAGGGCTTTGCAAATTGTTTATTACTCAAAGGGCAAGTGGGGGCTAGAACCCAACTGCACTGTGCTCACAAAGCTATGCACCCTGGTGTGTTCACCAGGTAAAAGGGGGTGCCTTTATCTCTTTACCCAAAGATATCACATGTCCACCACTGTCCTCTTAGAGGGCTGCACCTGCCCGGCAGTGTGGCTCCAAATCCACTCCCGCTCTGTGGACCAGCAGCGTGGGCATCACCTGGGAGCACCATTAGAAAGATAGCATCTCAGGCCCCCCACAGGCCTAATGAGTCAGAGTTTGCATTTTAACAAGGTCCCAATTGAGTAGGTTGCACATTAGAGTTTGACAAGCCCATGGGACGTTCCCCTAGCTGCCCAGAATTTAAACTCCTCAAATTCTTCTTTGGCTACCCCAGTCTTCTGTCCCCCACACCAGTGAAGACTCATCACCTCTCAAGCTGCACTGGCACAATGGTTTCCTAACAAACCTTCCCAGTTTTGTCTCTGAGTACCCTTCCTGCCACCAGCTGTTAAGCCTTCCTTCATACCCCTGGGCCTTTCTGTGACTCTCATGCACCACATTGCCTGCAGGATACATTTATCTGCCCATAAACTTTTAGAGACAGCTTCAAAGACATTGCCATCCCCCACGTTCCTGCACACTTACCCTATTTATCTTTCCCTCCTCACCTCCCTTTCTTCCGCTTACGTGATCCACTGCCCCATCATGCAGTCCCACTGTTCTTTTTTTTGGAGACAGAGTCTCACTCTGTCCCTCAGTCTGGAGTGCAGTGGCACAATCTTGGCTCACTGCAACCTCTGCCTGCTGGGTTCCAGTGATTCTCGTGCCTCAGCCTCCCGAGTAGCTGGGATTATAGACGTGCAACCCCACACCGGGCTAATTTTTGTATTTTCAGTAGAAACGGGGCTTCACCATGTTGGCCAGGCTGGTCTCAAACTCCTGACCACCCACCAAGGTGGGTGATCCACCCGCCTTGGCCTCCCAAAGTGCTGGGATTACAAGTGTGAGCCATAGTCCTACAGTTCTTAAGCAGCTTATTGCCTAGTGATGAAAAGATACGGGGCAAACCTTAGGATACAGTGTGAGACTCGCAGCCACAGAATTGCAGACTAGAGTTGCGGAACCTAGAGTGGGGCAGCTACTGACTGAGGGGAGATGCTCCACTGCAGGTGTTGTATTGAGCTGAATCCTAAAAGCTGAGTGAAAGCTTATCCAGTAGACAAGGTGGGGAGGGCAGAATGAACAGTCCAGGGGTGTGAGAAAACAGTTCCAGGAACTGCGAGGGATCTGGCGAGGCTGGGACAGGCCAGGGCAGGCATGCAGCTGCAGAGGCTGCAACCCGGTCAAGGAATCCAGATGAACTCTCTTGGAGACCCTGGGGGTTTCCTGACGGGGCTTTTGACAGGGGAGCGTGTGGCCTTTCTTTTTCCATCTGTTTAAATCCTGCCCATCCTTCAAGGTTCTGAGAAGCCTCCCCTGACTGCCCCAGCCCTGAAGCTCTCTCACTTCTGGGCTCCTATTGCAATGCCCTTCATGGTTTGCTCTTCAAATCCCGCTTGGTGGGATGAGAGTCAACTTTTCATGTGGGAACATCTTGACTCCTCCACTATATTATAAGTCCTCTGGGATCAAGGGTTGTGTCTTACACGGTCTCCTATCCCCTGCAGCCTTATACACCATGCCTGACACATACCGGGTACTTAATAAAAGCTCACTGTTTAGCTTGTCACAGCCCTGGCAGTTATGACTCTGACAGACCACCAGGGGGCAGCAAGCTGTACCTCTCAGCTCAATCCCATCTGCAGACTTGAGCGTCACTGTTCGAGACCACTTTGATTTTGCCCAGGTGCATGGCGGGCCATGCTTCAGGGGTTTCTTGGGGCATCTGGAGGCGGGGTCAGATGAATCTCAGCGTGGGGAAGGCTTAGGCACTTTCACTACAGCACCACTTCATCCCCTCACCACTTCCCTGCATATTCGTCGCTGAGGGCTGCTTATGGACAGAGAGGTCTAGGAGTGACCTGAAGCTGGGGAGGCAGCAGTGATCCACCCCACAGACAGGCTTGGACTAGTGTTCCAGGATGTGCCAAGCCTATTTTAGGAGACAGGGAATTATGGAGAAGCTGTATAAGAACAGTGCCCTCCCTCCTCCCTGCCCCTGTGCTGGACCACCCCTCTTTCAGGACCACGCAGGCTGTGCACGGCAATGGCCTGGACATCGGGGGCATGGCAGTGTGGGCAGAGCTGGGGTTCTCAAGGCCCAGGTTCGAGGATCACCTGTGCCACTGAGCAGCTACCCCATATTGGAAAATGACCTTCTTTCTCACTTGTAAAGCAAAGATGAACAAAACGCTCAGCTCTCACATTCCTCTCACGTCTCCCTTGCCAGTAGGATTGCGAGGAATCGTAACCAAGGCTTGCCTCTCTTCCTCTGAATTCTCAAGTGTGACTGTGAGGAAAGAGGGGGATGGGTGTGAGAGCTCTTTGTGAACTAGAAAAGACCCCACAAACATGGTTTTGGGGGGCCTCGACATGTTGTGGCTGTTTAGGTCTGGCCTTAAAATCATAAGCCAGGAAGGGACATGTACAGGGTATGAGATGAACTAATCAGCTCTCAACCAGTTTCCCTGAAGCCCCAGTACTAATGGAAAAAAAAAATTTTTTTTTGAGACAGGGTCTTGCTCTGTCACCCAGGATGGAGTGTAGTGCTGCAATCTCGGCTCACTGCAGCCTCAACTTCCAGGGCCCAAGCGATCCTCCCACCTCAGCCTCCCAAGTAGCTGGGACCAAAGGCATGTGCTACCACGGCTGGCTAATTTCTGTACTAATGGTACAGTTTAGCATTTAAATTCCCACATTCAGTGGCTCTCTATGATTTCAGGAGGGCTCATTGTCTCTTTGCAACTAGATGCAAATGCTGGCAATATCTCCTTACACCCAAACAGCAGCCTACAGTTTACAAAGTGCTCCATTTATGCTCTCTTATGGCAGGCAGGCTCTGAGATGGCCCAAGTGGTCACTGCCTCCTGGCAGTCATGCCCTTGTGTACTCCCCTCCCCTGAGTATGGGTGTGGCCTGTAACTTGCTTTAACCAATCGAAAACAGCATGGGTAATGGGATGTCACTTCTGTGAATAGATTATATAAGATTCAGACTATTCTCTTGCTAGCCATTCTCTCTGATAGTTTTGATACTGAAAGTTGCCATGTTGGGGAAGAAACCTAGGGTGGCCTCTGGCCAATTCCTGGCTGGGGACTGAGGCCCTCAATCCAGCCTCCCAAAAGGAACTGAACAGCCACATACATGAGAGATGAAGTGGATCCTTCTCCAGTTGACCTTTGGGATGAATTGACAACCCCAGCTGAGACCTTGAGGCAGCGGGTCAACCAGCCATGTCTGGACTCCTGACCCACAGAAACTGATAATCACTGTGTGTTGTTTTAAGCTGCTGAGTTTGTGGTAGTTTGTGACGCAGCAAAAGATAACGAATACATTCTTGAATCTTACAAAAGCCCCAGCAATGCTGGAGGAGAAGCGAGACCATTAAGTCATTTGCCTAAAGTCATAGGATAACAAGTGCCTGAGTCAGGGCCCACGGGCCAGTGCTGTGGAGTTTCTAACACACCAGCTGCCTCCTGAGGTGTCCTGAGGACAGGAGAAAGAGGTCCCTATGTTCCCACCCAGGTCTCAGCAGGTCTAGGGCAGAATGACTCAGTGGTGGCCAAGTCAGGGAATGGGGGTAGCCAAAGAGGACAAACCTGCTGTCCACTAAAGAATCCTAAGGGCCTTCCCTCTGTGACCAGGACTTGCTGAAGCTCCTTCCCCACTGGTGGCCCAGACACCCTCTCCCAGAGGAAAAGGGAGTGGCCCGTGCCTTACACTTACGTGAAACAGCTGGAGCAGCGGTGACTCAGTCACGCGGGCTACACCTGAGCAGACAGCAGTTGGGGGTGCGTCTGGCCAAGGGCATCAGTCCCTGCCAGAGAAGAGAAGGAAAGGCTCATGAGAGCTGGACAGGGAGGCTGAGGACAGACAGGCTCCTGCTGGCCCCCAGTTGTGACCCCAGCTTCTAGAGTGGAAGTCTCTCCAGGGGTTTGCTTCTTGAGGTAAACCTCCACAGCTGCCTTGGTTTCCGAGGCCCCAGCCTAAGAACCTGAGGACAGACCTGTAAGGTTACACCTATCCCAGCTTTGTCTCCTTCCCTCTGTGCTGCTGCTGGAAGCCTGTGCCCAGGGCAGCGGCAGGATGCTGGGCACATGTCTGGGAGGTGACGGCGAGTGGGGCAGGGCGCTCGGCTGGCTTTCTCCTGCTCCACTGGAGGATCTGGATCTGTGCTCAGTGGATGTGTCCTTGTTGCCTGCATGACTGACCCTGCTCTTAACATACCTCTTTCCCAGCCCCTTTCCCACGGTTTCCCGGGCCTATTTTTCCCAGTGCCCGGGCTGCACACTTCCTTCCCCTACTCCAATATCCTGACTTCTATCAGGCCAAAGATGGTGACTGGACAGCCAGATGAGCAAGTTCAGGCTGCTGCGCTGATGGTGGAGGGGGAGGCAGGGCCCTCCCGAGACATCCAGGAATCCAGGGTAGGCTAATTTTTGGGGGTCTCTTTACATTGTTTCATTTGTTTATTCATTTAACCAATCAGTCTAACCCAGGACAGTGTTGACCTTTCTTTTTTTTTTTTTCTGAGACACAGTCTTGCTCTGTCACTCAGGGTGGAGTGCCACTGCAACCTCGGCCTCCCGGGTTCAAGCTATTCTCCCGCCTCAGCCTCCCAAGTAGCTGGTACTACAGGCACATGCCACCGTGCCCAGCTATTTTGTGTTTTTAGTAGAGATAGAGTTTCACCACATTGGCCAGGCTGGTCTCAAACTCTTGACCCTAAGTGACCCTCCTGCCTTGGCCTCCCAAAGTGCTGGGATTACAGGCTTGAACCACTATGCCCGGCCAGGACAGTGTTGATCTTTAAATAACCACTCAACATTATTCGGAAGAGTCTGGACCCTACACTGAGAGAAGGAGGGAGAGGAGGGATGCCCTGTAGGGGTGATGCTCAGCCCTGGCTCAGAGGAAAGGCCCCCCCTGGGTGGGGGATGTTTGTATTGGGGAGGAAACCCAGCCATTAACCACATCCACAGAGCCACCTTCCCAAGGGGACAGGGCTAACCACCTCCAGGTTCTCACCCTCGGCCAGAAACTGGAGGTCAAAGGACAGACATTAGCATGATGCCTCACGGACTGGGGCTGTCTGAGCCCAGCAGCTCTCAGGGGCAGAGCCCTGGGGAAAGCTGAGAAGGAGGCAGAGTGACTGCGTGACAGAACAGCCCTGTCCCCGTATCACCTCTCTCCTAGATCTAGGCCTTCCTACACTCTCCCAGCTCCTGCCTTGGACATTCTGGGCACTTAGGCTTTCTTTTCTCCAAGATGTTCTCATTCACATTAACCTGTGATGTAGAGTTTAATGCGACTGGGTATCACAGTGGGGCTCTTGCTGCACGAGTTCTGACAGGGCAAAGGATAGAAATCAGAAGGTGAAAGTGAGCCTGGGGCAGGGCCCTCTGCCCCTGGCTGTGCACAGACTGTACAATGGGAATGTAAAAGCATCTGTCTCAGGATCCGTGGATGCTTTCACCCACTTTATAAAATACATATAGGACCATAACTTGGTGAAGGTTTGCTGAGGAGATTTCCATGGTGAGAGGTGTTGCTGAGCTATGTATCCCAAGGGAGGAGAGCTCTGGGGCTGGCTGTCTTGAGTCAATATTGTGTAAGTGTCAACAGGGAGAAGACCTGAACTGAAGAGGCTGCAGGCGGCCTCCAGATGCCCAGAGGCTGAGCAAGGGGTTGCAAAAGACTCCTGGAAGAGAGATGCAGTGCTTGAGTGGGTGAAGGGAACTTCGGAAGAGAGGGGTCCAGCCCAGCAGGGAACCCCAGGAGAGCCCACAAAAACATTTCCAAAAGCAGGAGCCAGTTTTAAGTTTCTCTAAGCTCTCTAACCAGTAAGAACCCCGAATTTCGATCCCGGCCAGTGGTAAAACAGCAGCTCCTGGGCGGGTGGTAGGGAAGAGAGAACAGGGCGGTGTAGACAGCAGAGGGACGTGTGGGGGCCCACCTCAGGTGCTTCCAGCTTGAGCAGAGAGAAACTGGAAGAAAGGAGAAAAACAATGCGGTCAGAGTAAGAGCGTTTCATTACTCATGATTATTATGCATTCCTTTTTTTTTTTTTGAGACGGAGTTTTGGGAGTTTTGCTCTGTTGCGCAGGCTGGAGTGAAGTGGCACAATCTCGGCTCACTGCAACCTCCGCCCCACCAGGTTAAAGCGATTAATGCTGGCTTTAAGGCAGGATGCCTCAGCCTCTCAAGTAGCTCAGATTATAGGCGCCCGCCACCACCCCCGGCTAATTTTTGTATTTTTAGTAGAAATGGGGTTTCACCATGTTGTCCAGGCTGGTCTCAAACTCCTGACCTCAGGTGACCCACCTGCCTCAGCCTCCCAAAGTACTAGGATTACAGGCGTGAGCCAGCATGCCCGGCCTATGATGCATTCTAATGTCTGAGTGGACTGTATCTATAACTTACAGTAACTATAAGGCTATCACCGAAGACTGGATGAAAAAGCAATGGGATTGGGCCAAGTTTTTTTTCTAGGGGCAGGGGAAGATTTCTCCCACTGAATACATTTTAAAGTAAAGGGACATTTGAAGAAAAAAAATTAAAGTTGCTTTTTGAGCATAAATCACACAAAGTGCTTGTTACTTACAGAAAAATGATCCATGGAAATGTAAGGACTCCTGTGTCTTTTTAAAAAACTTTTATTTTAGGTTTGGGGATACAAGTGCAGGTTTGTCACACAGGTCAACTCATGTCATGGGGGTTTGTTGTGCAGATTATTTCATCACCCAGGTATTAAGCCTAGTGCCCAATAGTTATTTTTTTCTGTCCCCTCCCTCCTCTCACCCTCCACCCTTAATTAGGCCCCAGTATGCATTATTCCCTCTCTGTGTTCATGGGTTCTCATCATTTAGCTCCCACTTATATGTGAGAACATGTGGTCTTTGGCTTTCTGTGCCTGTGTGAGTTTGCTAAGAATAATGGCCTCCAGCTCCATCCATGTTCCCGCAAAAGACAAGATCTTGTTCTTCTTTATGGCTGCATAGTATTCCATGGTGTATATGTACCACATTTTCTTTATCCAGTCTGTCACTGATGAGCATTTAGGTTGATTCCATGTCTTTGCTATTGTAAACAGTGCTGCAGTGAGCACATGTGTGCATGTGTCTTTACGATAGAATGATTTACAATATCTTCATTTTCCAGGTGATGAAACCAAGTTCAAACAGGACAAATGACTTGTTTAACACACACAGCAAGGCAGAGATGGCATTGTAGAGGTCCCAGGACAGAGCCCTTCCATTTGATATTGTCTCTCCTTCCAGAAGATATGCATTTATTTCATCAGGAGCCAGGGTGTCCCCTGAAGTAGGGTTTCTCAAACTGGCTTGAGGTTAACAATTACCTGAGCCATGTATTAAAAAATGGAGACTCCAGAGTTACTGAAGCAGCATCTACAGGGTGGGGCCCAGGAATCTATATTCTTAGCAGATGTGAGCCTTACCATCTGGCCCTTTGGAAAATGATGCAAGAAGAAACTTCTCTGGGAGAATTTCAATCTGGAGGCAGCAGGGGAGGGGAGTGATCTTGCAGAGCCTGTGGCATCATCTGGTGCCCATGACAAGACAAGAGTGGCTCTGGGTTCTTCTTAGGCTTCCCCCTCCTCCTGCCGCCTGGCCTGGAGGCAAGCAGGCCAGGGGGCAGGAGGAGGGGGAAGCCTAAGAAGAACCAAAGGCATGTGGCATTAGCCTGGGTGGGGATGGAGCCAATAAAGTGGTCAGAATGGGGGGCCTGGCTGGGTGCGGTGGCTCATGCCTGTAATCCTAACACTTTGGGAGGCCGAGGCGGGTGGATCATGAGGTCAGGAGTTTGAGACCAGCCTGGTCAAGATGGTGAAATCCTGTCTCTATTAAAAACACAAAAATTAGCCGGGCGTGGTAGCACGTGCCTGTAATCCCAGCTACTCAGGAGGCTGAGGCAGGAGAATTGCTTGAACCCGGGAGGTGGAGGTTGCAGTGAGCTGAGATGGCGCCATTGCACTCCAGCCTGGGCAACAAGAGCAAAACTCTGTCTTAAAATAAAAAATAAAAAAAAAATGGGGGCCTTAAAGGCCATTTGTCTAGTAGAGGCTGGAGTTGGGCACTAAAAGCCACCCTGATAGAATGTGCTGGGAAATGGGTCTCTCACTCCCCACGATACCAGGGGTCTCTGCTGTATCTGAAGGTTCCCTGTTCTCAGTGACTTCAGCCTCACTGAAACAGGGTCACCTCGCCTCACTGCCTGGATGAATGCTGGCAGGAAACGCCAGCTGCGGCTGGCACCAGCACATGTAATTAACCATCGACTGCCCCCTGCTCCTTGCTCAGCCCCCTTAGGAGCACAAGTTAATTGAGTGGGGCCTAAGCACCAGCTGATCTCAATTTCTCTGATGCAATTAAGCCTTCTCTAATCATTTATTAACTTATGAAATTGACACAGCAGGTTAGCAGTCCCAGAGAAGAAGTTTTTTTCCCTGTTACCTGTCTTCCTGGACGGCAATCCTCAGGCAAGGCTGGAAGAAGGAAATGGGGAAGGGGTTCCCTTTACTTTGATTGTATATATGCCCATTACAAAGTCCTGACCCCCAGGATGAGGATTTGAAGAACTGGTGACTACATGGGTTCTCTTACCCTAGATGGGTAACTACAGCAGCAAAGAGATGTGCACTGTTTGAGAAGGGGTCTCTCTAGGAGATACAAGACTCTTGCAAATCATCAAGAAAAGACCCCCAAGAACCCCAATATAACAGTAGGCAATGGCAGGTGGTTTACCCTAAAGGCTCACAAAAAAGAGATGCACCAACTCATTATTAATTCAAGAAATACAAGCTGAAGCCACAATGAGCTATCACTTTTTACCTTTGGATTGGCAAAAGTCAGGAGCAGGATAATGCCAAGCATTGGTGCAGATGTGGGTATACAGGAGCACTGGTGGTGGGTGTAGCTGGGGCAGCCACTGAGGGAGTGACCTGGTACCACTTAGTCATAGCAAGTACACACATGGCCCATGAAACAGCAATTCTGCTCCTGGTTTGATGTCCCTGAAATTTCTTAACACAGCCATAAGGTGTCACATGTGAAGATGTTTGTTACCGTTGCTGGGCTGTTTATGATGGCGGGGACTTGGAGGCAACCTCAGTGATCATCACTGAGGAGTGGACCCGTAAACTCAGGTAGATGCTATCACGGAGGATATGCACCTGCTGAAAGCAGAGGACCAGATGTGGCACTGCAACACACAGCAACAAGGAGAAAGCTTAGCACAGTGCTAAGAGAAACAGCGAAACAAAACAAAACAACCAAGCATGAGAGGCATAAGAATTCTGCTCACATGCATTTAAACTACAAGCACACAGATCCACAATCCACATGTTCAAGAACACATACCAAAAAATGAATACACATTATGGCTGCCTATGGAAGAAGGTAAATGAAAGTGAGAGTGAGAATAAACATCAATAAGATGTGACAGATCTTGCACAGACCAATGATCATGATACTGTGCTATGATCTGAAGAATATAGTTAACTTAGTCTTCTGCATCTGAAGTCCAAGTCAAACAAAAAGAGAAAAGAAAGGAGGCTTTCACTTCCCCCAGGGAGCCTTCCAGGATTGACTAAATGCTGCACATTTTTGTTTGGCCTTCCTAAGGCCTATTTGTCCTCTGGTATTGGCATTTATTGATACACAGGTATCCTGTGGGTATATTTTGCTTTCTCCTTTACAGTTTAGACCATTTGGGGGCACAGACTTGGAATCACGCGTCTTTGTTAAGCTCCACTCCGGCCGCCTGCCTGGTATCTGCACATTCTGGATGCTGGAATGACCAGGTCTAAGGGGGAAGTTGCTTTGCACAGAGTGCTGTCCCCACACAGAGCCTTCCATCCTGCTGTGCTCTGTTGTGCACAGTGGAAAAAGCACTAGGCCAGGAGTTCCAAGACTTGAGTTTAAACCCTATTTTCTGCACTTATTACCTAGGTGACTTTGGACAATTAATGATCTCCTTGAGGCTCATCTGCAAAACGGAGATAAATAATACACCTTTCTCTACAGGGTGAGGATTACCTGGGAAAATGGGGGGAGGGTGATCTTTAAAATCACACTGCCTTCTAAAGAGGGCTGATGTTGTTCCAAGAGCCTCAGGGTCCCTGCAGTTAGCCCTCTGAGCTGCTCACAGGAGAGACGTCTCCATGCTCACTCATCCCTGGGTGAGTCTGGCTGTGCTGAGGTTTGGGAGTGGGGCTTGGAGAGCTGTGTGGGTATGGGGTGGTGGTCAGATCAGGGACGATGGGGTGAGGAAGAGAGATGAGCCCTGAAAACCAGCTGAGGCTCAGGGGTTCCACTGGGTCTCCCTGCCAGTTAAAAATCCCAGCAGTCAGGCACTGCACAAGGCTTCCAGGAATTGGGAGGTGTCTTATTTAATTCCAAGTGTTTGTGTTGGTGTCTCCTCAATGTGAGTGATATTTTTCTTCTCTGTGGCAATCCAATATACATCCAGATGTGCCTATCTGGGTGCATATCCATAGTATACAGAAGACACTCACAGCAAGAAGAATTCAGTGGAGGGAGGAGTTTGGAGCCAGGGGTGACCATGAGAACAGCAGTCCTCAGAACAGAGTTTGGGTTTCCGCTGAGCCCTATAATGGGGGCTTGAGCAAGTCCTATGTAGATCCTGCAGAACGTGTGACCCCAGCTCATATTTGAGTTATGCCTGAGCTAATGCATGTGAAAATGAGTTTGTTATTCCTCTTCTCTTCCGTTCCATCCTTGATGGGCTGCTCAGAACAGAACATGAACCTCAGGCTCCTGATCATGACCTTGACTGGACCTTGTCTGGCTGGGCCTTTGTGTCTCAGCATCCTTGTGGAAACTCTGTTATTCCCCTCATTTATCCTTCATCTACTACTTACTGAGCGCTAAGGAAAATGCCTGGCATGGAGCCCAGCACCAGGGACACAAGATGAGAGGCAGAGTCCCCTCAAGGAGCTCACAGGAGGGGACGCGGAGAGAAAACATGGCCTGTCCTCTGGTTTCAGGACCCCCAGTGTCCAGTCCACCTGTGGAAGGCCTGGGGGTGACTCTGCAGTCTCTGTCAGACCACCATGGTCTAACATGGCTTGGAGTGCACAGACACCCCAGAGTAGGCATATCCATCAGGCTTGTTCAGTGCTTGGGGTTACAAATAAATATTTGCTGCAGATAAACAGAGGTGCTCTGCTCCTCCCAGCCAAGGGCTGTCTCAGAGGTGCTGCCTACATCCTGGATGCCTGTCAAGGGCAAGGCTGAGCGTACCCCTTCCCTGATTCGGGTGACACAAAACAGGCTGCTCTGCATGTTTTTTTCAGCAAAAACTGTGCTGATAATGGAAGAAGAGTAAGCACAGGTGTGTCGGAACCCCTGCACTGGCAGAGCCTGAGAACCTGGCTGTGGGCCCCTTGGGCTGGGGAGGGGCTGTGACTTTGGTCTAAAGCCCCACAGCACACTGTTTCATGTCTGCCTTACTCACCAGTGAATCTTTAGCCCTAGAACATAGTAGATGCTCAATACATACCTGTCGAATGCAGGAACTAGTGTATAGAGCATGCCATGTTTATTGGAAGTCTTCCTTGCCACCATCCCCCACACTGTCCACATGTCTCTGCTGCAGAGTGTCACACAGCACCTCAAGCTCCACCTGCCCCAGCTCCCAGACTTTTCTGATCCTTCCAGGCCTCTCTTCCTGAGAACCTCAGTTTTGCCTATAGTCCATATGACACAATTGGGACTTAGTTATGTGTCATTTTACACGAGTGTGGGCAATTTTATACAGACAATGCTAGTCTCTGGAGCTCCTGAAGTTCTGATCACAGGTCTGTCTGCTCTGCTTCAGAGAGGCCAGTGCTGAGGCCAGTAAACCTGTTAAGGGTTTGGTTCACATTGGACTTGGTTTTGTTTGTTTCTGCCTTTCCTAACAATGTTCATTAACAGTTTAGAGAGTTTTCCTATGCTTCATCTTGTTTGTCTCCTAGGCATGGCAGATTTTGATTTCTCTTACTTTACAGAAAATATTAAGTTTAGGAAGGCCAAGTGATTTGGCCACAGTCACATGACTATTTCCGGGACAGCCTGCTGCCACTCTTCTTCCATGACCAGAGTCGTTCTTGCTATGCACGGAACGTGCCGAGCGGCCCATCTCCATGCCACCCTGGCTCTTCTAACCCCAGAGTCAGTGCTCTTTCCTGGCCTACCAAAGCAGCCTGAATTGTTGGCCATTCACAGGAGGCATGAGGACACCATGGCATAGCCCAGTGTCATGGGATAGGGCTTCACATTTCACAAGTCTGTTGTGTTGCACTTTATGGCTTGGATTTCTCCCTATCTGTCCTTGATTGTTTAGAGGGTGTTCTGAGATTCCCTATGCAGCAGGCCTGCAGCTCAGTGCCTGCTAAACAGACTTGCTAGGAAAGGCAGAAGCATCTATAGGGCTTGTTTCACTTCTTTCAGCAGTGAAACACTTGTTTCACTTGTTTCACTTTCTTCCAGCAGACTGGAAGAAATCCAGTAAGAACACAGGCCACTGAAGGGACAGAGAGCTTGATTTCTGAGGCAGATGGAGATAAGGAGGGTCATTGCATTAGGCTGACAAGAGGGCCAGAGGGAGCTAGCTGTAAAGACTGGCCATGGAGCCCAGAGTCCTCACACTCAGGGTGGCAGGAAGCGGGAGGCTTGCAAAGGGGTTTCCAAGAGGGGCAGGATTGAACTAGGTTGATTAAATTATACCAAAGAAACTTTAGACCAGGTCCAAGATGAATCTCACAGAAGGATATACACAAGTGCAACAGGGAGATTTGGAAGCTGTGTCCACCCACATCGTGCAGGGAGGCTTGGGGAACATTTTTGAGCTGCTCTCCTCTCCTTTCCTCCATCCCAGAGGGCCTGGCCTATTTATCCCGCCAGTCGGATCTGACTGGGCCAGACTAAGGCTTGTCTAGAGTGGGACAAGGCAGCTTCTGGGGTAGGAGACCTTAAAAAGCATGTCAGGGTAAATCCAGAATCCTCAATCACATCAGACAAATATTCTAAGATGGGCAAAAGTGCCCCGAGGAGGACTGTGAAAAGCCCAGGGGCAGGTGATAAGGTGAAAGCGGCAGTAGGCCTGCTGAGTATGCGCGTGGTGGCAGGGCTGCACTGAAGCCACTGGAGGGGCCATCCAGAGGCAGCTCCTGAAACAAGAGGAGACACCAGGGGAACCCCACGGGGCAAGCCCCGTGTGAGACACAGTGGAGCCTGCAAAGGAAGGATCCCACTGGATCAGAATAAAACAATGCCCTCAGCCACACGGATGGGAACTTCCACCCTCACTTAGAGAGCTGGAATGGAACATTCACATCTAAACACATGCCTTATATTCTTTTTTTTTTGAGATGGAGTCTGGCCCAGGCTGGAGTACAGTGGCGTGATCTCAGCTCACTGCAACCTCCACTTCCCAGGCTCAAGCGTTTCTTGTGTATCAGCCACCCGAGTAGCTGGGATTACAGGTACCTGCCACCATGCCTGGCTAGTTTTTGTATTTTTAGTAGAGACGGAGTTTCGCCATGTTAGCCAGGCTGGTTTCAAACTCCTGAGCTCAGACAATCTACCTGCCTCGGTCTCCCAAAGTGCTGAGATTACAGGTGTGAGCCACTGCGCCCGGCCATGCCTTATATTCTTAATAGTTATACACACACATGCTCAAGTCAACCGCACATCAACACATATGGTTCCTATTCCACATAGGGGTTTAGTAATTCTCAACTCATTCTTTGGGTGTCTTTGTGAAGGTCCAAGTAAACCTTCTAGAAGTTGGCCTTGTTGACTATTAGAATCAGTATTCTGAGAGAGCAAAACTAAGGAAACAGCAACCTCTGCTTAGATTTTTTTAATTCACAGATAAAAATTATATATATATAGATAAAGATGATGTAAAACATGACATTTTAATATAGGTACACATTGTAGAATGGCTAAATCAAGCTAGTTATATGCATGACCTCACATACTTTGTTTTTTAAGGTAAGAACACTTAAAATGTACTCTCTTGGCAATTTTCAAGTATATAATATATTGCTGGGAACTGTAGTCCCCAGCCTGCACAATAGAGGTCTTGAACTTATGCCGCCTGTCTTGACAAGTCTTATTTCCCTTTTTTTTGAGACAGAGTTTTTCTCTTGTTGCCTGGGCTGGCGTGAGTGCAGTGGCGTGATCTTGGCTCACTGCAACCTCTGCCTCCCAGGTTCAAGCGATTCTCCTGCCTCAGCCTCCCAAGTAGCTGGGATTACAAGCATGTGCCACCATGCTCAGCTAATTTTTTGTATTTTTAGTAGAGACGAGGTTTCACCATGTTGGCCAGGCTGGTCTCGAACTCCTGACTTCAAGTGAGCTGCCCGCCTCGGCCTCCCACAGTGCTGGGACCACAGGTGTGAGCCGTCGCACCTGGCAAATCTTATTTCTATCTGAGAAACACACTCTGACTTCTCTGCAGGGGGCAGTCCTGCGACGGCTCTGAGAGCTGAATCATTATCACTTTGCACCCTGTAGCTGGGGTGAGGCAGGATGTGCTGATTCTAAACTGCAGCTTCTCACTCTTCCCCAGAAGTGGAGGTGAAAGTGGGCAGGAGCCCCCGTGTCATACACAGGCCTGTGAGCTAAAGGGGTGAGAACTGCATGTGGTGGCTAACCCATGGGGGAAGACTCCAGAATGGATGATCCAGGTAAGCCTGCTGTCCTAGAGAACAGTTTAGGAATGTTAGCAAGAGGGCAACTTCTCAAGTCTTCTATGTAACAGAAAAACACAGTAGGTTAAGATACAGTGTCTACAGCCTTTCCCTTCTTCTGCTTTCTGCTAAACGGTGTCCACCAGCTCATCTTGTGGGCTGTGCAGACTTGGGGTAAAAGGTAAGTTGGGAGGTACCATGCTGTTTGGGTTTATATGTTAGAAAGGTCAGAGTAGCCAACCTGGATGTACTTAGACAATGAGAGAAGAGGGGGAGATATCAAAGAGCCAGCATGACAGGCGTGTGAGAAGCATCCTGGAGAACCTGCAGGAGGAGGAGACTTTGGGGGCAGCTGCCATCTGTGCAAGATAGAGGGAGAGGTGGAGATGGGGAAAAAGATTTTTTAAAGTTTTAACAATATGTTATGAATGAAATTCCTCCATTTGGAATTTTCCCCAAATCTTCAATAAACATTTTAATCGCTTTCAAAATATGTGACATCAGATTTGAGTCTCTTTAAATGTGACACCTTGAAGAGATGGAGCCCACAGGGTAACTTTTTTTTTCTTTTGTGAGTTGTAATTATAAATGAGAATGACTTGTCCAAAGAAAGTAGGAATTCAGTTGGAAGTATCAGTAACTCTCAGAGATAGAAATACGCCAATTTAGGTAAAGTTGAGAAGAAATAGATAGATTAGCATTGATGTACATCCCAAACCTTAAGTTTGTGTGTGTGTGTGTGTGTGTGTGTGTGTGTATTATTGAATGTTTCTCTGGAGAAGGGGTACATAGCTTTCGTCAGATATCAGGGAGTTCTGTGACTGCAGAAAAGTCAAGGGCAACAGAATAAGATGATGAATAGAAAGGAAGTAACAGAGGAAGGGAATGGCTAAGGAGACACAGTTGTAAAATAATAATAATAATAATAATAGAGAAAGACTCCTGTCATAGGATCTATAGGCAGAGAAAGGAAGAATAATAAAATGTAAATCAGTTATGAATGGCCAACGCAGGAACTCATTTCCATAAAACCAAGCCAAACTTGGGGAGAGGGGTTAGAAAAAGACAAAAGGAGATAGTGATTTGGTGGGAAACACGAATGATAAACACTCTTCAGAATGTTTCTATTTGGTGGCCTCTCTGGAACCAGCTGCTATTGAGCCCGATTCAGCCTGTGGTCAAGGCCATAGCACTAGCACTGTTGCTGGGACTGTGTCTTAGCCTATTTTCTGCTGTTATAACAGCATATAAGAGACTACGTCATTTATGTAGAACAGAAGCTTATTTCGCTCATGGTTCTGAAGACGGGGGAGTCCAAGAGCATGGCACCAGCATCTGGTGGGGGTCATCCGATGGCAGAAGGTGAGTGAGCAAGGGAGTGTGGGAGAGCAAGTGAAAATGCAGGCCAATTTATCCTTTTATCAGGAGCCCATTCCCACAATAACAATATGAATCCCTTTACAAAGGCACAGCCCTCATGGCCTAAAGGCCTCTTAAAGACCCTACCTCTTAAAACCGTTACAACGGCAATTAAATTTCCAGCACATGAACTTTTGGGGGACACATTCAAGCCACAGATGAGTGTAAACTGGCAGAGGTGATTTGAGGGCGATTTGATAGTATGTACCAGAATCAGAAAGATACCTCCACTTTGCCTCAGCCTCCTGAATAGCTGGGGTTATAGGCATGAGCCATCATGCCCGGCTGTTTTATAATGATGTGTCATAAATTGCTTTTTATCCTCTTTAGGAATCCTCTTTAGATTAATCCTTGCTTTTCAGTAATTCTAGTCACTCTGATAGCCCTCTCCCATCCCCCTTCTTACCACCTTGCCAAGAGTTTGTCGTGTGCATATTTCTCTCTGGGGTTGCTGCTGGCAGGTGGTGGTGGTTAGAGTTCTGTGGTGAGTATGTGGGAAGGAGCCCAGGCCTTGGAGTTGGGAGGCCGAGATTAGATTCATGGCTCAGTGGGACTTTGGATAAGTCACTCAGCCTCTTTGAATTCCCATTTCCTTATCTTCATGCCCTTCCTCCCTTGCACTGTTACACGATTGCATAAATGCCTCCCCTTCAGCATTTCCTCATGACCCAGGGTTCACTCCCATGTAATATCTGTCTGAGCGCCTTGCCAGATGTAAACTCCTCTGATGCAGGGACCCAGCTTCTTTATCTCTGTATCTCCCAGAGCACCTAGCAAAGGACTCCAAACATAGTGCATACTCACATTTGTTAAATCAAAGCCAGACATTAAAAAGCACCACATAAGCCCTCACAAAAGCAGAGGATTACTGTCTTTTTAAAATTAGTGTTGTTATAATGATTTTTGGTTTGCCTAGTTTCATGTTATTGTCAGAATTTCTCAAAGTGTGTCTATCCACCGCATGCCACAGAGATGCCAGGATGCTAGTTTAAAATCCAGATTCCAGGGAATCCCAAGACACCTGTGGGTGCATCCTGGTAATGTGCATTTTAAGTAGGGTGATTATTCAATTTATTGCCTAACTGGGACACTTGAGTGAATGGGGGTACTATTAATAGTTATGCTGGGACAACTGGCATAAACCAGGACAGTCACACTCATTTCAAGTATTTCTTTGGACACTGAAGTGTGAGAACTGCTGCCCAATGCTCTAATTTTTTGGTGGTAAGAACCAGTTGTCTTCTCCCCTTTAACTCCTTAAACTGTGCAGCAAAGACAGGCCCCTGAATTGATGGGCTAGGGAGGCAGCTATGGTGCTGCCATTAGGCTGAGCAGAGGCACAAGGTGGCCAAGAGTGTGAGAGTAAGGGCAGCCGCTGCCCTGTGCAAGTCCTGGCCTGGAGTGTCCTCCTGCTACCTTGGAAGATGCTGGCTGTGGCCACTGTGAATGAAGCTGTAAGGGACTGGTGCTGATGTCTTCTCCAGCTGTCTTTCAAGGACCAGGCCCTCTTCACTCACAGATGAGACTTTAAGGGGACAGCAATAACACAAATAATGTCCCATACTCAACAGTGAGGGAGAATACCTGTAAGTCAGAGAGCCCTGGGCCGGCAACAGCCACCCAGCATGTGGTGGCACTCTGCAACCTGGCCAAATGCCCACTGCATCACTGAGGACAGCAACGGGGCCTCCAGATCCTGTGGCAGGGCTGTTGCTTTCTTTCAAGAGAACTTGTCTTCTGTTCATTTTGCTTTTTCTTTTAATTCACAATCATGGAAAAGCACCCAGTTCTATCAAAGCCAATTCTAAGACTTTTGAACCAAAGGGAGCTATGACATTACACCTGAAATATGAGTTCCAGACCTATCTCACCAGGATCCCTTGAGCTTTAATAAGACACCCTCTAGAGCTGGGGTTTCACTGCCCCCTAATAGCACTAAACCAGCGGTCCATGGAATCCCTGCATGAGCACGTACGCTTTTCTCATTTCTGTGCTTCATGCTTTCACCACGCACATACTTTTCCCATGAGACAAGCCCATATGTCACTAGGTAGATAGATGATGAGCCTTCTGATTTGCAGTAAAACTCATAGACTCTTAGAATTTTGGAAAGTATAACCTGCTTTCAAATAAGGTTTTAATTATGCTCTGGCTAAAGAACTGGTTGTGGTGACATATGTGACATGTAGACATATGAGTATGGCCTGCCACTGGGACACACAGAGAAGGGACCGTATCCAGAGAGGGCGTGGGAACACTCACAGCCATGCAGGTGAGCAATGGTTGAAGAAACTGGGGATGTTGAGCCTGCCTAAGAGAAGTTGTCAGAGAAAGGATGGGGGATAGGCTATGATATCTTTGTCAGATATCTAAAGACCTGTCACTTGAAGGAAAGATTCATTTTATTTTGTATCTCTGTTCCACAAAACTACATGATTCCATGCCTTTTTTTTTTCATGATATTCTCTTCCCCACTAATCCCTCTCAGATGCTACTTTCTTTATGCACCCTTTCTGGGGCAAAACCAGCTGTCCCCTCTTTCAGGATGCCAGCTCCTGTCACACTGTATTTTATTATATATATATATATATTTTATTATCTGTCTCATCCACTAGAGTATGGGTCCCTTGAGTGCAGGAGCTGGGCACACTTTTCTATCTCAGCACCAAATACAAAGTAGCCCTTTCGTGCATGTTTACAGAATGAATGAATGAAGAAATGACTTTTTGGTAGGGGTGTTTTAGTATGAGCTCTGTGAGGTGATGGAGATCATCAGCTCCATTTTATTGATAGGTAACTAATGGAGGCACACAGAGAAGAGGTGATTTGTCTAAGGTAACACAACTAGTAAGTGGAGGCGCAGACACTAGTTCTCAGGTCTTCCTATGTAAAACTCCAGCCTTTCTGCCATGAGAACAAGTGTGAACGTAAACAGGTAACATTAATAATCAAGTCACTATTTATTGGCACTAATTACATCCCTCGTCACTGAGACTGGGCCTTCTGTTTAAGATATGGAGACCAAAGTCCAGGAGCAGTGGTTCATGCCTATAATCCCACCACTTTGGGAGGCTAAGCGGGGGTGGATTTGTTGAGCACAGGAGTTTGAGATCAGCCTGGTCAACATAAAGAGACCCAATCTCCACACACACACACACACACACACACACACACACACACACACACAATCAGATATGGTGGCATGTGTCTGTAGTCCCAGCTACTCAGGAGGCTGAGGCAGGAGGATTGCTTGAGCCCAGAAGTCTGAGGCTGCAGTGATCCATGATCTTGCCACTGCACTCTAGCTGAGGCAACAGAGCTGGGGAATTATTATTTCCATTTTACAGATGAAGAAACTGAAGATCAGAGAGATTGAGAAACTTGCTCAAGGTCACACATCTAGTAAGTGGCAGTCAGGATTTGGAGCCTGGTCTCCATGAGTCAAAGTTCATTCATCTCTATACTCCATTGCCTGGCAGAGTGAGCCTTCAACTTAATACTACTAAATGCTGTTTCTGGAACAGGAAGACATCGGAATAAAGGACCGCTGCTAGCAGTGAGAAAACTGCAGAGACGAATGAGCTAGTACTTCAGGAGGCAGTTCGACCAGCATCCAATCATAATTGGAAGTGATTAAGCTTTTGGTGGGACGGCAAGCTTGGCTAGGTGGTTGGAATGAATGACTTTTACGGTTCCTTCAACTCAAGATCTTGCTATCCTAACATTTGTAGGGGTGAGGGCAAAAATATAAATGGAGGCCACAGATGATATGTCTAAATATTTAAAAGTTAAAAATCCAGTTAGCAACTGTTAAATGAAAACGCGTTCCATCCTCGAACACCTGGAAGATCAGCTCCATGCTGAAATGTGGCGGCATGGGAAGAGCTGGCTTAGTTGCCAGCCTGCAGCCTATTCCCCTTCTTTTTCCACCCTAGACTGTACCCCTTAGGAGCCTCATGTACATGCAGTGTGAACACCCCAGCTCTAATTGTACAGGTTCCATCCCCTGTCCCCAAAGAACTGCCTCCTGGCCATGCTGCAGGCACAGGGTATGCATACCCTTGGAAGGAGAGAGCAGGGGGAAGAGGCCTGCATGGGCCCGGGAAGCAGCTTTGGGTTGTTTGGACAGCGCAAGGATATGGTCTAGAAGGGAGGGCACAGGCTTGCTCTCCATGGAGGATGTGGTACGGCCTGAGGAGGGCCAGCATAGGGGCCTCTCGTGCCTGGGTCCTTAGACCCAGTCGGCAGTGTTACTGCCGACACTGAAGTCTCATAACGTTAGGTTCCTTGGGCCTTTCCTTTCTCTTGGACGTTTATATTATCTTGAGATAATATATTATCTGAGATTAAGACTAACAGCCTCTGTCTGGGACAAAGACACCTAGGCTGGATGATTGAGCTGGGCTTCAGGGGAGCTTTGCTGGACTGTTAGACTTTGGGTACAGTGGGCCTAAAAGGGACTATTGCTGGAGAAATGCAGGCCAAATAACTGATGGGAGCTCTAGTTTGTTTCCTTTCGTGTTCTGTTCTTTTCTCCCTGGTTGGCTGCCTATCCATCATCCCTTACTTAAGAATATTCCGGGTTTTGGAGGAATTTCCCTCTTTTATCCCACAACTTTCTTCTACTTAGTCTCTTCTGTGTCCTCATTCTCTAATGTTCTAAAGGCCACTATATTCCCAGGTCTGTCCAGTCTGAGCTGGAGCTGCCTTCTCCCACCTTGACAGTGGACCTTTTGTGGAGTGAGTATCTTCAACTGTGTCTTCAAAGTTGACAGGCAGATCACCTGAGGTCAGGAGTGATCTGACCTAATCCTAAAATCCTAATCTCAGTGAGTGCTGACTGCCATCCATCCAGATCAGTGGAAGGGTGAGTTTGATCTCTTAGGGGAGACAAAGCTATAGAGGCCAGGTCTGCCTCACTTGCCGAACCAACTCGTCGTTTATCCAGCCTGTATCTGCAGGTGGGTTGGAGGGGCTGCTCAGTGCTGGGTTAAAAGTGTGAATTCTAGAGACTGTCAGCCAGACCTGGGTTGAAATACTGGCTCCCCTCCTTATAAGCTGTGTAAACTGGGCAAATCACCTCATCACTTTGGGCCTCAGTTTCCCATCTCCAAAATCTGTAATATGGGGAGACTAGTAAATACATTCTAGGGCCATTAGGAGACTTAATGAGAAAGTTGACAAAAAACCTCTTAGTTTTGCAGTGGCAAGCCCATAACAGCAGCTCAAAAAAAAAAAAAAAAAAAAAAAAAGGAAGTCAGCTGTTATTAATACTTCCCACTCCTGTTAATAGTATCCCTCCAGTCTCTAGGCTTGGAGCCATGGCATTATCTTTGACACTGCTTTCTGTACCTACTGCTACCATCTGGGTTGAGGGTCATACTTCAAACAGTCCCTTTCCTACCAATCTCTTCTCCTTTCCATCTTTTCTGTATGTTGCTGTATTCACTTTCCTAAACCATTCTTTGGTCATGTCCTTTCCCTCTTCTAAAACATTCTGGGGGTTGCTATTGCCCACTACATAAAACACAGCCTCACCTGTTCAGCCCTCCTAAATGTAGCCCTAGTCCTACTCTTCTGCCATGATTTCCCACAACCCAAAATATGGTTGCTTTATTTGTGGATTTTGGTAAATATCTTGGGTTCCAAATTCAGTTTGTACCATTTTTTTTAGTTGTGTAACCCTGGACAAGGCTTTAATTGCCTTTGAGTGCCTGTGTTCTCATCCTGGGTAATATTACTCGATTAGTTAATGACTTTGCCTTCCTCCCAGACCAGTTTCCATGTGATAGCACCCTACCAATGTTAAGTCTTTCACCACTGCAGCTCATGCCCAGGACATTCTCCACCCTTCTCTTTTAAGAGATACCTCAAGGTCTACATCCTCCTGGTTGGATGATAGGATCCAAGATTCAATGATGTTCTAAAATAAGGAAAAGAAGGGGAAGGAAGAGTGGTAGAAGAGGAGGAAAAATAAGAATCTGATCCCTGCCGGGGGCGGTGGCTCACGCCTGTAATCCCGGCACTTTGGGAGGCCAAGGTGGGCAGATCACCTGAGGTCAGGAGTTCAAGACCAACCTGGCCAACAAGGTGAAACCCCATCTCTACTAAAAATGCAAAAATTAGCTGGGTGTGGTGGCAGGTGCCTGTAATCCCAGATACTTGGGAGGCTGAGGCAGGAGAATCATTTGAACCTGGGAGGTGGAGGTTGCAGTGAGCTGAGATAGCACCACTGCACTCCAGCATGGGTGACGGAGTGAGACCCCATCTCAAAAAAGAAAAAAAAATCTAGTCTCCTCTCTGCTCCCCTGGGAATGCACTGAAGATTTTGAGATTAAATAACCACAAATTTTACTTATTTCAAGTTGTGTTTTTAATGGCTGACCAGAGTGATCTTTGGGCTCATAGAAGAGAGTCTGGTGGCAGACATGCCCACTGGGAGGCCTGCTCCATGTCAGCATGGGCTGGAGAGTGGAGGCTGACATGTACTAAATGAAGAGACTGTTTAAGGGAACACTGGTGGGCAAGCAAGGGCTCAGCCCTGGGCACAGCACCACAGTGCACATAGACGGCGGCAATTCTCTGCGCCAGGTAAACACCCCACCTGGTGAGTGAGGCAGGCTGGAGGGTTGGACCTTGCACTGGAAGGTAGTCACAGCCAGGGTGCCTTGTTTGCAGACTTCTTGAGCCCCCTTTTTGTGACCTCTTTCCTCCGCAAAGCTGCAACCCTGCATTTCTATATTCCTGCATAATGCCATACCAGATATATAACATGCATCACATCATTCAATGTTGCAAGATCCCTGGGATATAGATATTATTTTCCCCGCTTTGGAGACAGTAAAACTGAGGCTCAGAAATTTAAATTACTGTCCAAACCCATGCCACTGGTAAGAGGCAGGGCTAGGATCCGCAAACCCGAAAGCTCCACTTCACATTGAGTTTATCTGGACTCAGCCCATTAGTGATCTATACCGGTTCTCACAGGCTTTGTCATGTAAAAGAAAGCAGCAGGGCCAGTGGAAGAGCAGGTCCTGTTCAGAGCAGGCTTTCCCTGTGAGCTTCAGGGTGAGGAATCTTCCCTAGGAGGAAGTAAATGGGCTCCAGATGGTTAACAAATGCAGTCTGGGAGTAACAGTTTTATTTCAAACAAGAGAAATATCGTTCGGATTTACCAAAGCTATGAACAGGTGAGTGGGTGGTGGGAAAGAGAGAGGATTATTCAGTTTCAGAATGATTTCCCTTGGCTGGAGAAGAATTCTCTTGGCTTGACTGGAGACTAGAGGAGCAGGGAAATAGATGCAGAAGGAAACTGAAGTCAAACCTGCCACTGATTACACATTGTGAGAAGTGATTAGGTGGTGGTTGACAAAATTACCTTTATAGAGAAAATCCTGAAAAACACATCACTCATATTTGCATAGCATTTCACAGCTTACAAAGCCCATATATTAACTTGTTGTCTCCTAGAATCTCTGAGCTGGAGGGCACCTGGACCAGCAGTTTCCAAGCCTGGTTGACATCCAGGTCGCTTTGTAACGGTCCCCAGATTTCACCCAGACCCAGGGTGTCTCTATGGGTGGGAGGCTGGGGGGTTAAATGTGCCCCTGGGGCTTCCCATGGTGATCTGGATTTGGGCACTGCCAATCTCCACCAGGACAACTGCCACCACCTCTCACTTCGGCCCTGCAGTGGGTTCTTCACTGAGCTCCAGTCCTCCCATATCCAGGCCCTTCTCCATTCTGCCACCAGACAGAAGTTCCCTAAAACACATGGAGTCAGGTCCCGCCCCTGCTCCTGGACAGGAGAAAGGCTGGCACTTTGGGGGAGCTGTAGAGCGGTGTGTCTAGACCTCATGCTCAGGCCCTGGCTACTCCTCACGCAAGGCTCCTCCTCTGTGAAGTGTTTCCTGATTTCACCCCTGCCTGTGGAGCAGGTGCTGTAGATCTTCTAATATTATAGCAATGCTCTCAGGGTCATGTCGTTATTTGATTACAGAACCATTTATCTGCACAAAACTGTGCGCGAGGGAACCTTCGGGGCAGGGGCTATGCCTTGTTCATTTCTGTATCCCTGGAGCACATGGTAGGATCTCTATAAACACCAGCTGAATGAACACATTGCATGCTGGCACCTTGAGCTATCATTGATGTGCATTTTAGATCAAGCAGGTCTCAGGAATAGATGTGTTTAGGGTGAGCTCTCCTTGCTCAAAGGCCTAATAGCCCAGCTAAATAGCTCTCTATTTACTACAAATTAAGAGGAGCCTCGGGCTAAAGAGATTGCTTAGGAACTGGAAGACTCTGCTTTGGGTCTGATACCACTTGTTCCATGACCACTTAATGTTTTCGAAATAATCTCATTTCAAACATTATTAATAATACTGCTTTGTATGTTAAAGGATGTCACGGTTTGCTAATGGACTTTAATTCATCCTCTACATCTCTGATGGGTAGGAAGGTCTCCCTCCCTTTTCCTGGCAGCAGGCCTGATGCGGCCAGGGTGCAGGCAGAGCTGGTGGCAAGGAGCCAGTGGAGAACTCTGGCACCCTGCTTTGTCAGCCAGCTCATTCCACTGCCAGACCCTCGGGAAAGGGCCTCGGCTCCTGGGTCCTGAAATACACACAGATACTTAAGGATGAGGACAGAGGCCTTGGGCTGAGACACGCCAGGGGCTAGACAGGTTACAGGTCACTTTGGAAATGCTCAGGATTTGAGTCCTGAGGTCTGAATTTAAATCCTGGTTTTCCTTGAGACTTTGAGAAAGTTATTCAATCTCTCTGAACCTTGATACTTTCATTTGTTAATGGGTATAATACTTGTGTCTTCCTTACTGGGTTGTCTTGAGGATTCAATGGGCACAATTATGTCAGAGGGCTTAGCAGGTGGCTAAGTGCTACACACACGTGGCTGGTATTACCCCTTAAGGCTGAGCCCTGGGGAACCCTCTTCGCTGCTGGGCAGAGGCTTTGGTGGGGAAGTAGAAGAGCCCAGCTCTGCTCCTAGGTCCATAACCTGTGTTCGTTTTACTTTGTGCATGGCACTCAGGCCTGCAGCCCAGATTGGTGGCTGGCCCTAAGACTCTTTCTCTGGGGTTGAATAGGACATCCAACTTATGCCTGGCTCTGAATCTACCCTGGGGAGACCTGAGACCCTGCTGCTGTCACTGTTGCCATCCTGAGGGTGAGGGAGCTCAGAAAAGCCTAGCCAGGGCTGGTGGGAAGGAGCATCCACTCCAGGTTAGGGCCTGTGTGGCTCTGGGAGCCTTTTGTGATGTGTTAGTAGGTACTAAGTGGCTATTTGGATTAAAACAAAATAACATCTTTTTAAATCCAACAACTTGGTCAAGATTAAAAAGTATTAATTACTAGCCCCTTTTTGGCAAGGGAGTGGGGAAATGGCCACCAGTATACACTAGTAGAACCTCCCCAGAAGGTGATTTGGCAACATACACCAGTCTTAAAGATCAAGGGCTCAGCAATTCCACTTCAAGCATTTCCCCAAAGGAAATAATTATGGTTATGTGAAGAGATGTCAACTCGATGTTCACTGCAGCATTATATATGAAGGGAAATCTGTAAGGAATCAAATTCCTTAACAACGGGGGAAGCTAAATACACTATGGCACATGTAGAATACCATGGAAAAATAATATTATCAAATATTGCTGAGCAAACAGGCTACAAAACAGTATTAGTAAATGACACTCTTTAAATATGTTTCTGAAAGCAAAACAAATGTGTACATATAGCCTATTAAAAAGCCTGGAATAATATATCCTAAAGTGCTAACCATTTTTTTAAGGGGTGGAATTATGGATTATTTCTCCATTGTGTTTTTCAGTGTTTTAAAGGTTTTGCCTCGAACTCATACATCACTTATACATTGTGAAGAGATCATTTTTATGACCCCCTCCCCACTCCCCCAAAACAAAAACAACAAACCAAAACCAAAGCTGGAGTGTGGGCTGGGCTGCTGGAGGCTCAGAATTCCCAGCTACACCCAAGAGAGCAGGCTACAGAACGAAAACCCAGGGAATGCCTTTTTGATCTCCGTCTTCATGTTCTCTCATTTTATCAAAGAAAACCTCAGTTGGAAGATGTGGGTGTACAGGAGATAATGTGCTTCAGAGACTTCCACTCACAGTTTAGAAATGCCTGTATTTATAGCTTGTGCAGTGACCTTTCTAGTCGACCACAATTTATGGTTTCTTAATTGGTTTTCTGGAAACAAGCAGTGGTAACTTATATACCAGGCAAGGGAGGAGCAAATCTAATCAGTTGCCAGGGTGAGGAATGGGGGGTGGGAGTTGTGGACCAGGGGAGGCTGGATGTGTTCTCTTCACAACAGCCTTCCTGACGCACTGAATTACTGCGCCTTTAATTGATCTGGTGAATCACAGTGAGATGTTGGAGAAGCTGGGCTCTAAATGAATAATCTCTTCATGTTCTATATTTATTTGTCCTCCCACAGTGACGTCCATGGCCAAATTCTAAGGTTGGCCAGCTTTTCTTTGACATTTGGGACTACCTGCCGGGTAGCCAGGCAACAGAAGAGTCCAGTTTACCCAAGATAATTGAAGGGACAGAGATGAGGAGGATTAAAGTTACTTGTTAAGTCAGTGAAATAAAGTCATCACAAGGAAAGGAACTGGAAGGAATACTCCACACCCCCAGCATCTAGATTTTATACACTGCGACATGTCACAATTCTAGGCTATCTTCTACCTGAAAGAAATGAGTATGCTTTTTCTTTTCGGGGCATATAATAGGAATTCAGCAAATGTTAGTCTATTTTTCCTTCTGTGCTTCATGTGCGCAGGTTTTGTGCTTTCTCAAGATAAGCCCCTCAAGGGAAGATGCTATACTGTTTTCTCTGGGTCTGTTGTGTATGTATATAGGGCAATGCTGGACCAAGCAGGAAGGGACTATTGAAGGTTACACTGGAGACATGCCTGCCATGTGCCAGGCACTGCGTTAACTGTGAATTTAGTTCACCCTCACAACAGATTCTGTAATGCAGAATTGTCTTTATTTTCAGAGGATACAACAGGTTCAGAGAGGTTAAATTAACTTGTCTAGTAAGTAACTTTTCTCCAACATCCAGTAAGTTACAGAGCTGGTATGTGAACTTACACAGCGTGGCTTTGCATCTTACACTCTTACCTCCTCCACCACTGCTCTCAAAGAGGAGGCAGGTTTGGCCCAAGGTCGGGGCATAGGCAAGTTGAGCTGTGGCCAGGTTATTCCTGGTGAAGGCAGGAGGTTCTGGAAGGCCCAAGATGATAATGTGTGGAGGGCAGATTTGTTATCAATTACGCCCAACCCTGAATTGCACCCTAGCCTTCCAGGAAGCCTCCACCTGATCTGGTCACAACAGACCACAGCCAACCTATGCAGAAGGATCAGACTCTTGATGGCCTCAGAGGCAGCAGGAATCTCACCTGTATCTCTCTCCCTTGGGACTTCTATTCCAAATGTGCCCCTGGCCAGTGTTTGAACAAATTTCTGAGCCAGCTAGGTATAATCGGGAAAATGTTCCTTATAGCCAACTAGTGTATCCCATCAGGAAATACAATTTATTTTAGTTTCTCTTTTTTACTAAATTATATAAATTTATATAAAATTATACAATTTATATATATAATTATATAATATTTGGGAATTATATATTATATAATAAATTATATAATATATATATAATAAATTATATAATATATATATAATATTTGGGCTCAATTATATAAAATTTGGGAAGTATAAAAAAGTGCCAAGTGTGTGGCAGTCCTACATAGTGGCTGACGGTTAATACAAACAGGATCAGATTCTGGATTTGCTACTTAATATCTATGTAGCCATGGGTCAACTTTTAAACCTTTCCATACCTCACTTTTCTTATATACTAAGTAAGATTATCTTTTTCTATTCATTCTATTATTTCATCAGGATGTCATGGGGTAGGAAAAATAAAAAAAAGGTGTTGATCAGCTATTTTAAGTTAAAATACTTTTTAATGCACATTTAAAAAATAAACATTGTCAAACTATTTTCCCAAACGGTTTTACAAAATTTCACTGCCACCTAGCAACACAGGAGTTGTACCACAATGTTATCAACATAAGGTCATTGTTAGGATGGGTCATTAAACCCAATAAATGTTAGTTATTAACAGTAATCAACTCCCTTTCCAGAAGCAGCAACAGTTAAGTCTTTCCCCATGTTTCTACTCAGTCTTTTCCACATATTTTATTCTTCAGATAGTTGAGACTATGCTGTCTGTACAGTTTGGCATTCTGCATTTTGAATGAATGAATGAATGGCTTTTTCCTTTTTTTTTTTTTTTAAGACGGAGTTTCACTCTTGTCGCCCAGGTTGGAGTGCAATGGCACGATCTCGGCTCACTGCAACCTCTATCTCTGGGTTCAAGCAATTCTCATGCCTCAGCCTCCCAAGTAGCTGGGATTACAGGCATGCACCACCACACCGGGCTAATTTTGTACATGAATGAATGAATGGCTTTCAAACCATCCAAGTGGTTTGGGATACAAGTTGCTGGAAATGCACACAGGCTGAGGACAGAGGGGCCAACTGTGACCACGGTTTGAAGAAACGGCACCAGCCAGGGGTGGGAGGTCTGGATTGCAATGCTGACATTGCCTCTAAGAGTTGGATATTCTCAGACAAGTTTTCTCAGCTTCTCTAGGAAACAGTTGCCTCCTCTGTAACATGAAAGCGCGGACTCAGGACATTTAATGATTGCTCTGGCTCTAATGTTCTTTATTCTCAAACCAAGAAGGTGCCTGGCAGGGTGGCTTAGAACTTTGGGTTCTAGAAAGGGAAGGAGATGGCAGCAGCTTCAGGGTGCCTGGGAAGGATGATGGGCACAAGAAACTGTTCAGAACCCTGGCCAACGGCCTCTGAGAATCCAGATTCTGCGAGCAAAGCCCACCAGGCCAGCCTTACCAGTACCAGAGGAGTCTCCATCCCGTCCTGCTTGCACAAGCTTTCCCGCCCGCCAAATGAGAAGATGCTCCTGTGCTGCCCGGACCACATCACCAGGCCTCACTGTGTCCCTGCCGACCGGCCCTTCTGGTCCCCTTCTCCCCTTCCCCATCTCTGCCCCCACAGCCTTACATTAGTGTCCGTCTCATCCCCTCTACATTGGCTAATTCAATGAGTCCCAGGTCTGTTAAATTAAGCCCACTGCTGCCCCTGCCAGAATCCTCTAACAGCTCTAATTGGAAAAACAGCCTCAGCCTCTGCCTATCAAAGCTGATTATATCCATGCGCACAGAGGCCTGGTCCTTGTCCGGCATGCTCACTCCACCCGGCCCGTGAGATCATTTCGCCTGTTCCCCAGGGCTGTCTGCCAGCTGCAAAGGAGTCAGCCTGGTAGAGGCGCCTTCTCCACGTCAAGGAGCAGCAGCTGGCCTCCCAAGCCGGCCCTGATAGCATAAACAAGTTTGTGCTCATCACAGGGAACTGGAAAACAACTTGTGCTCGAAGCAAGACGTCTTTTTTTTTTTTTTTTTTTTTTTTGATACGGATTCTTGCTCTGTTGCCCAGGCTAGAGTGCAGCAGCACGATCTTGGCTCACTGTGACCTCCGCCTCCTGGGCTCAAGCGATTCTCCTGCCTCAGCCTCCCGAGTAGCTGGGATTACAGTCACCCGCCACCATGCCCAGCTAATTTTTGTATTTTTAGTAGAGACGGGGTTTCACCATGTTGGCCAGGCTGGTCTTGAACTCCTGAACTAGTGATCCTCCCGCCTGGGCCTCCCAAAGTGCTGGGATTACAGGCATGAGCCACCGCGCCTGGCCAAGACGTCATTTTTAACTAACCTGCATTTACCACCCTCATCCCTGCAATCCCAGCGGAGTCTCTCACACTGGAGGGAAGGATTTACTCCAAGTAAAGGTACACTTGCCCCAGGAAGCCATCCCAAGAGAGTATAGTCCAAGTATGTACTAATTCCCAGGTGCCTGCTCATTTGAGCCCCTTTCTCGGGGGTCAGAGCAGTCAACCAACCGAGAACTCTGTGAGGATCTAATACGTGCCCCATGCTATACTGCAGCTAGATGTGGGAGAAGGGGAGATCAGAGAGAAGTGGAATCATGCCTCCACATAAACCAGTGGGTTTTAAAAATATTTTTTGAGGTAAAATTCATATAAGATTCACACTGTCACCATCTGAAAGTGTACAATTCAGTAGTTCTTAGGATAATCACCATATTGTTGAACCATCACCACTATCAGATTCCAGAATATTTTCATCACCCTAAAAAGAAACTCTGTTCCTAGTAGGTAGTCAGGCCCCATGCTCCTCTCTCATCCAGGCCTGGGCAACCACGAATCTACTTTCACTCTCGGTTAAGCCCCTCATTTTAAAGCCATCGTGTATGCTTGCATTTCTCCCCTCGTCTCTACGGTTTTCATAACTGAGTACCACCAGACCTTTGCATGGAGCACATTAGATGCTTTTACTTCTGAGATCTCAAAACACTTAAACACTGCAGTTTCCTTGGTTCTTGCCACATATTATAATCAGCAAATGCCCTCTGTCCTGTCAACACCAAAATGATGAGAACACTCTGATTCTGTGATGAAAGTCTGGTAATACAGCTCTGGTCTAGCTGATGTAACTAGGTAGCATTAGAAGTTTAGCCAATGTCAAGAACCTTATTTTGTCAGGAAGAATGAGGCATTTTAGGCAAACATAAGAAAGCACAAAGACAGTTAATGCAAACTGTCTTGGGGCAGGTACCTGTGTAGGAATCACACAAACTTTAGCAAGTATCAAAATCACCTGGAGGACCTGTTAAAATGTGCATTGCCGGCCCCACCCAAGTTTCTGATTCAGCAGGTCTGGGGTGAGTCTTGAGAATGTGCATTTCTAACAAGTTCCCAGGTGATGCTGATGTTGCTCATCTGGGGACCACACTTCGAGAACCACTGGCATATTGACTAATGGTCACAGCAAGGAAGAACGATCACCGAGCTTATGCGTTTGGCTTTGTTTCAATTTCACTTCTTTAGGCTAACTGATAAGGTTAAAGTCTTGTCTTGATGATGGTCACTGGCAAATAACACTGTTGTATTTCTACAAGTATGTTTTATGTTCAAAATTTTCCATTTCACACTTGGGAGCCAAGATCAGTAATTCCTTAATGTGCTTGCAACAGGGCATAATCAAGTAATAAATAATTTCCTTTCTGAAGAGAAGTGTGATTGTGGATTATTTTATCCTGTCAGTTATGGTCAATCTTTGAGATCTTTACCCATAACATAAATATACATTTGCATAGTCCTGTGCCTTTTGGCCCATTATCTAGAGGGCTCTCTCCCTTGAATATGTGTCATAGTATTCACATGAACCTGCCTGGCCACAAGTGCCCATATCTTGTACTCCAGGGACAGAGCCAAGAGTCAGACTTTGGGTCACAGCCAGGGCATTCTTCAGAGCATGCAATCTTTGTGAAAACAACCATTTATAGTTTTATAGTGTTTTCATATTGTCTAACATAAAGCTCAAAACAACCTTCTCACATAAACTGGGCTGGTATTTCAAATCTATTTAGCACATACATAAACTGTGGCTTGGTTTACTGAGGTGATTTGCCCAAGATGTTCCAGTTAGTGGTGAAGCCAGGCCTCTAACCAACATATCCTCCACTTTATCATTCACGTGGATTCCCAGAGTTAAAGCTCCACTGATCTTTATGAATGCCCTGAGAGTGCCACTTGAAAACAACATAAATCTGTTTATCTACAGTAAGATAGTAAAAAGCCCATATGAGCCGATAAACAGGAAATAGGAATGCACATTACCATTTGGTTTTTAGTCTCAAATGTCTAGAAAGCCAAGATCATGCTCCCTGGAACAACTGTCTATTCATTCAATGGAAACAGCATCTTGTCACTGCCTGAGCTCTTTCTCTGAGACCCATAAATGGGGTCCCACTGGGACTTTTAAGGCTTTCAGGAGGGAGCAGGTCTCTATGCTGGCCAAGAGTCACCCACAGTCCCAAATCCCACCAGCTCTCATTAAAGTATCAGGGGCCAGGGAGGCTCTTCCAAGGCCTGCTTTAACCACAAACTGAAGGCATGATCCTGACTGCTGCAGCCTGCTTCATTCATATCCCCCTGAGCCCTGGTCTAAGCCAACTCCCTCTTCAAAAAGGCTGAAATCCAACCTATTCCTTCTACTCCTGCTACCACAGACTACTGCCAGGATAAAATATTTTATTTTGATATGACTTTTGTTGATCCTTTTCTAATAATATAAATATTGGTAAAGATAAAAGTGTAAGGAAAAGAAAAACTACCCAGATTCTTAACACCCAAATTAATCACCGTTAATATTTTCCATCATTTTTTGATATGAATGTACACTGAGAGCATTTAATTTTGTAGTAACTTTCTAAAACATAACTAGGTTTCTGTCCTGCCTAAACCTTTTGAAGGCTCCTCCAGCCTCTGAGATGACATCTAAATATTCCCTGCCTTGCTGCGTCAGCCTTCCCTCTCCTTATGAACCTCCCTCCCAAACCCTGTGAGTCTAGCTCGGAGCCTCTATTAGGTCTGTGTCTGTCTGTCTGGCTATGCTCCACAGTGTTTGAAGAAACATTGTTACTAGGTGGGTTGCACCCAGCCCCACTACAAGCCCCTTGGCACCTATTTCCTTATACTCTTCCCCCACCCCTCACGCCTTATACATATACGTCAACTGCACACCACTGCAGGCCTTTGAGTTTGCAGCCTGAGTGTCTAGCTATACTGATCCGTGTACCTTTCCCCACACCTGCCTATAAGCCTTTGCTCAAGAGATTGCCCTTGCTTGGAATGCTACTATCTTTCCTACTACTGCTTGTGAGGAAATCCAGATCCAATTCTCATTTTTTTCAGGTCCCATGGTCTGTAAAACGTCTTCCTTCCCTCTGCTCCTGGGGCATGCGATGCTCTACTCCACTCCTTTGCATGAACTGCAGACTCACATAAGCACATGTTCCCTCACCCTCTGGAATTCCTAGTGGCTCGGGATCACCCCATTTGGCCTTTTATTCCATAAAATGCTGTTCACAAGTAGGTGCTTGGGGTCGGTGGAACTGAAACTGATCACAGCTGTGTAAGGCCTTGGGCTCACCCATTTTCACCTGATCAGCACCTGGGGTGCTGTCTCTTCCTTGGA
Source organism: Homo sapiens (assembly GCF_000001405.40). NCBI lineage: Eukaryota > Metazoa > Chordata > Mammalia > Primates > Hominidae > Homo > Homo sapiens. The sequence goes on along the minus strand of NC_000001.11, from coordinate 179,778,285 downwards.
GTCAGGGATATGGGGTGTAAGGAGGCTGCTCTGGCCTCCTCGTGATCTTACCTAGGCCAGCCCTGGGTTCTACGTTCAGAGTTCATGGCAGGAAGACATCTATATTCACAACTGTTAAGATGGGAAAATGATTTGTTACATCTTACCCCAACCTAAAGAGGATTTTAGGTGCTTCAGAAATACAGGTGGTTCCCAACTTATAATTTTTTGACTTTATAATGGATTTGTCAAGGTATGACATGCATTTTCAACTGATGACAGGCTTATGGGAACATAACACCATCATAGTCCAGGAGCATCTGTACACTCAGTAGGATAAAAATGGAATGAAGATCGCAGGGAGGATAGCATAGCAACATGCAGCCAGTCAGTCATGAGGTTGGTCTGCAGAACTGCAGGACGTGAGCTGCAGATTTAACTCTGAGCTTCTTAGCAACCAACGTGAAAAGAGAAATACAGTCAGTTAAACCAAATCACAGTGTGGAGGAGCTTAGTTTTTCTTTCCACTAAGCCTTGAGAGGAATTTCTCCTGAGGATCCTCTTAAAGGGGAGGCTGAGAGCTATAGGGGAAAGTTGTTACTACACCATTACATATTTAAAAAGCAGCTTCTTACTGTATCTCCCAGGGGAGTCTGAGGACTAACACCCAGGTACGGCTCTTTGAAAGGAGTGTACCAGGAAGCAGCAGTGTTCAAACCTTCAGTTTTCTGGCAGGTGACCTTGATCTGGAGCTTGGGGCATCTGCAGCAGCACATCAGAACCGCTGCCCAGAGTCCAGGAGGTCTGAGAGGCTCTTCGGGTCTGTGGGGGGTGGCACACGAAGGCTGATCTCACGGAGCTCCTGGCCTCCTTGTCTAACTCACCCACAGCATTTCTGCCTTTTTATGTTTTTACATGTTAGAATTTGGGGTCAGCTGTTTGACAAAAGAGTTTTGCATCAAAAACTGAAGTTTAAAAACCTGTCATGAGTAATATTTCTCTTCAGTGAGCTTTTGACAAGCATTTGCTGACATAAATTCATGTTTAAAGTTTTTGGGCAAAAATTTAAGAAGATTACCATTCTTAGGTGTATACCCAGAAGATAGGTACTCAAACAAATACAGGTACCTGCATGTTCAGAGCAGCACTATTCACAACAGCAAAAAGGTGGAAACAGTGTTCATGGATGGAGGAATGGATCAAAAATTGTGAGAGGTTCATACAATCCGATGCTACTCAGTCATGAAAAGGAATGGCATTCTGATGCATGCTACAACATGGACAAACCTCCAAGACAGGTTAAGTGAAAAGAGCCATTCACAAAAGTTCACATATTGCATAATTCCATTGGCGTAAAATTTCCAGAATAGTCCAATGCATAGACAGGGTACAGCTTGGGGAGAACTGCTTAATAGGTAAATATAATAGGGTTTGATTTTGGAATGATGGCAATGTGACACTAAATAGAGGTAGTGGTTGTACAACACCATGAATGTGCTAACTGCCATTGAACTGAACACTTTGAAATGGTGCTTTTATGATATATGAATTTCACTTCGATACATTAAACAGATTTAAATTAAACAGATTAAACAGGGAAAATCATCCATATTGCCAATTAAAGACCATTTCGCAATTTGACAGTCGACCAGGCAGAGGGTAGGCCTGGCATCCTATGGAAATGAAGGGGCTTTCTCAGGGCCGATACACACACACTTACCTCCTTATCAGGCAGGGCTGAGGGGATAAGTGGCCATAAGTGAATGCTACGGCAGTAAAGTTGTAGGTGGTTTCTCTCTCTGTTTTTTTTTTTTTTGAAATGGAGTCTTGCTCTTTCGTCCTGGCTGGAGTGCAGTGGTGTGATCTCGGCTCACTGCAACCTCCATCTTCCAGGTTTAAGCGATTCTCCTGCCTCAGCCTCCTGAGTAGCTGGTATTACAGGTGTGCACCACCATGCCCAGCTAATTTTTGTATTTTTAGTAGAGACGGGGTTTCCATGTTGGTCAGGTCTTGAACTCCTGGCCTCAAATGATCAGCTCACCTCGGCCACCCAACAAAGTGCCGGTATTACAGGTGTGAGCCACTGCACCTGGCCAGTAGGTGGTTTCTCTTTCATGTGATTCCTGGCCACGATTTACACTGCTCTTATCTCTTCAGCACCTGGCACAGAATAAGCTGTCCAAGAAATGCTGACTCGTTGACTAGACCAGCACCAAGTGTAGGCCTCTTATTTTGAATCTATGATGCACCTATTTCCCAAACCCTCATATGTAACAATCTCCCTAATGCCACCCAACCCCCACCCCATCTGATCAATTCATTCAGGCTTGTCTGCTGTTGAATTTATAGCAAAGAATTAATAGGAATAAATCTTTTCCGCCAAGGACCCTGGGGAATATTCTGAGGGTAGTAAAATTCAGCCTCACCTCAACAGAGTTACTTCACAAGCTCACACTTATCTTTGTCCTGTTCTTCACTGCTAGAATAAAGGTCGGCCCCAGCTCTTTTCCTGAGAGTCCTCAAAGTATTCTGCGGGCATCTGTCCACACTCATAAGACAATATATTCTTTTATTTTTTCATCCATCTATCCTACTGATATTTATTGAATACTGAATGTGAGTGTTGATCATATGCCAGGCACTGTGCCAGGCTATAACTGGGGCTAAAATTAGACAAAACAAGCAAGGCTCCCCTGAATAGGAATCTACAGACACTAGCCACAATTATAAGTGTGCTGGGCTTTGACAGGGGATATTGCGATTGAGGCAGGAGAATAGGGTCTGGAGGAAAGGAACCTAAGGCCATTTCACGCTGACTTCTTAGAACTAAATTGAAAGGAAAACCCTAACTTCCCATGCCTAAGTAACAAAAGGACCAGAGGCTACTCCCTTTGCAAATCCCCACCTTTTCTGCGTGGCAGATAGAAACTGGCTGTCTGCAACCAATCAGACTGATTGTAGACTAAGTCTTCGTTTGCATAGAAGTGCAACTTTGTAACTTCACCTTAGCCTCTGATTGGTTGCTTTTTGCAACCAATTGGATGTTTGCACAGGAGTATGACCTCTGTAATTTCACTTCAGCCTCTGATTGGTTGCTTTCGGCAACCAATCAGACCGTTTGTAGGCCACCACTTCATTTACATGAGGTGAGAGCCAAGTGGCCAATGGGGAGCCTCTGGGGGTATTTGGACCCAAGAAAATTCTGCACCCAGGCCCTTGAGCTGCTGCTGGCTGCTTGGGCCAACTCCCACAATGTGGAGTGTACTTTCATTTTCAATAAATCGTTGCTTTCGTTCTTTTGTTGCTTCATTCTTTCCTTGCTTTGCCGTGCGTTTTGTCCAATTCTTTGTTCAAAACGTCAAGAACCTGGACAATTTGCAGTCAAGACCTGCTACCGGTAACACTATGGGAATGTTTTTCAGTGGAACAGACGGGCCTGGGGGCTCAGGGAAACTCTCCCTAGCCTTGAGAGATTCACTCAGCCAGAACTAAAAATGAGGTCAGTGGGGACAGCATGGAGATGAGTTCGTCCAGGGTCTGCGGGTGGAAACAGGCTGTCCTGGCCGTGACTTCTGCCTGGACTGAAAGATGCTCACCCCACAGGGAACCAGGAGGATCAGTGTCGCTTCCATCAGCTCAGCCCACCGGTCAAAGCTCAGTGAATTCTCACCTGCTCTTCTGCTCTAGCTGCTTCCCTGCTGTACTCAGCCCTTACCTTCAACTCCCTCAGCACTCCTCCTCCAGTCTCCCACTCTCTGTATCACTGGGGATCATTCTCAGCTGCTAGGAGCTTGTGGATGCCTTTGAGAACCTGACGAAGGCTATGGACAGTCTTCCCGGAGAAAAAAGCACATAGGGAATTCTGCCTACAAGTTTAGAAAATTCATGAAACCCCTAAAGCTCATCCTTGGAGCCCACCACTTCCCTGGGCATCCATGGGCTCAGGACTGGGAAGGCCGGACCTGTAACCCCAGAAGCCTCTCACACTCCATCAGGCCTGGCTGCCTGCAGCACACCTCAGCTGGTAGCACCTGCCCTGCAATGTGCCTGTCCCTCCTCAGGGCAACCGAGAGTCTCAGAGAGCTGTTGTGGGAAAGCCTCAGGCAGAGTTCTGGCTGAGCAGAAGCTCCTGACAAGTGGTTTAATTCCTTCCCATGGGGGCACAGTGAGGTTCAGCAAGGCTGCCCAGGGGTGAGAAAGCAGCTGGTGCTGGCTGATGCCTTAAGGAAGAGAGCTCCAGAACATGGACAAAGATGACAGGATGGAGTACTTTAAAAACCACTTGGAAATATGCTTCAGTACTTCCTGCTCTCACTGCAGTCACTACAGCAACCTGCAGGTCTCAAAAGTCCCTCTTTGCTCACTGCCCCTTTCAATTAGACAAAGTCATTTTCATTCTCTGTTTAGTGGGCAACATGCCTGCGAATACCGGTGCTTTCTCAGAACGGAGGCTTCTGAAGGTAAAAGATGTCCGTTTCATTGGCTCTCTTCAGGGCCATATGGGTGAAGAGGCAAGTGCTTCATAAATACCAGCCATAGCTTTGGGGCCTGCTCTCTAGAGGCCGATGCTTTAATGCAGACAGCACTAACCCGGCAAGGTATGGACTGCTTGGGAAGCACCTTACTGCTAGGTCATGAAGGCCTTAATTATGCTAAGAACCTTGGACTGCTTACAGCGGGGAATGGGTTAGGTTTACAGCAGAGACACTAGTTGCTTATGACACCTCCCCTTCATTATTTTTGCTTCTTCAATGTTTTGTTTTGAGACAGTTGTAGATTTACATGCAGTTGTAAGAAATAATACAGATCCCATATACTCCTCACCCAGTTTCCCCCAATGGTAACATCTTGCAAAACTATAGTGCAATATCACACCAGGAAATTGACACCGATACAATCTAGTGACATTTGGATTTCTCCAGTTTTACATGAACATATGCATGTGTGCACGCTTATCTGTGCATGTGTATATTTAGCTCTATGCAGTTCTATCACTTGCGTAGATTTGTGACCACCACCACAGTCAAGATACAAAACAGTTCTATCATAAGGATCCCTGGTGCTATCCTTTGGTAGCCACAGTCACTTCCTTCTCTACCCACCCCCTGACAACTATCAATCTATTTTCCATTTCTATAATTTTGTTATTTCAAGAATGGTATATAAATTGGATCATACAGTGCTATATGTAAAATTTTGAAAGAACTTCAATTTTTAGCTGAGTATATTGCCACCCAGAACAAAAAACTACTTCTCAGCTTCCCTTGTATCTAGTATGGCCATGTGACCAAATTCTGATGAACTAGATTTAAGTGGAAGTGTTATTTGGGTCTCTTGGGAAGGCTGCTTAAACGTGGGGAGCTGACTCAGCTGGAAGAGTCCTCCTTTTGGCTCTTGTGCTTTTTCTCCTGGTCTGTATTAGGATATGATGGCTGGAGTTCTAGCAGCCATCTAGAGCCAAGAGGTAACTAACCTTAGTGATAGAGCAAGCCATGTTCTAGGAGTTGAAACAGAAAGCTAGGGCCCTGGGTTCCTAATGACACCATGGAGCTGTTAGATCAGCCCTGCACTGTCCATGGCCAAACTCCTTTTAAGTGAGAGAGAAGTAGATTTTTATTGTTAGCTGTTATAGCCAATTAAACCCTATCCTAACTACAACAAAGTGTCTTAGGTCTTTAAGCAGAGAAGAAACTTGCTCAGAGCAATGCTTCAGGGCAGTGGTTCTCAAACGTTAGTATGCATTGAATTACCAACAGATTGCTGGGCCCCACCTACAGAGTTTCTGAATCAGCAGATTTGGAATGGGGCCTGAGAATGTGCATTTCTGACAAGTCTCCCAGTGATGCTGATGCTGCTGGTCTACTTTAAGAACTTTAAATGGACTCGGCAGCAGAGTAGACAATGGTCTGGAGACATAAAGACTGAAAAAGATGATCTGGAGGACTGGGGAGGTAACAAAATGCCAGCACAGTAAGACCTAAACCAAGGGTGAGGGTTGGAGGAACTCAAAGGAGATGGATGTGAGAGCCTGTGGGACAGCAGGGACAGGACCTCTGGGCTGACCAGATGTGTGAGCAGAGGAAAGGAAGGTGGCAGAGGTGGCTATGGGTTTTTAAGCCTGGGGATCAGAGAATGCCAGGACTGTTAACAGAAAGTCCGGAGGAGTTGCTATTTAGAGGGCAGCAGCTTGACTTTGACCTTGATATTCAGTGAAATTGAAATGCAAAATAAGAGCAGGAGAGATGTTCAGGCTAGAGACTGTGACCTGGGAGCTGCCACCTGGAGGGGTCATTTGGAGCAGCTGAATAGATGGTGTGGCCAGAGAACAGAATCTCAAAAAACTGACCTGCAGAGAGGTTAGGAAGATGGGGACATGCCAGCAGATGAGTCAAAGAGCAGATAATCAGAAGCCCAGGCAGGCTGAGGGGTGCCAGGGAGCCTGAGGAGAGCATCTGAGAGCAGAGGATGGCCAGCGGCATCCAGGGCAGCAGAGAGGCCAAGCAGATGACTGAGGATTTGTGATTAGATGGGCATGGGGGGATTTGGCAAGACTGATGTCAGTAACAGCAGTGGAGCTGGGGGATGTGGAGCTGTGATGATGTGGAGGCGGTGAACCGTCTCTGGGGAGGAAAGGGAGCAGAGAGCCAGGATGTGAGCTATGAGGCTCATGGGGCAGGAAGGAGCTTTAGAAGAGACAGATATCCAAGCACAGGTGTAGACGGAAGCAAAGAGCCCAGGATGAGGGGACAGACCAAAGATACAAGAAAAAATGGGGCAGTGCTGGCACAAGGGCCTGAATGAGGAAAGAGAGGGTGAGGTAGACGCACAGGCCAGAGAGGCACTTCAGAGACAAAACAGGAAAAAGAGGGTAGGATGGAAACTCTGCAAAGGAGAGAACAAAAATGACAGCAGCTCTCACAGGGCGCCTCAGTGAGGCCCAGAGGTCAGACAGGTAAAGCTGATGGGCCTGGACCATCTGTGGGCGGGACAGACCCCAGTGCTGGGTGGGACTCTGTGGGTGCAGAGCTGGTGGGGCTGCCAGCGGAGGGGATGCACAGGGGGAGCCGGCACTCTGTCTTGGAACCTCCACTGGGGGCTGAAGCTGTGGACGGCTGGGCAGCTCCCTTGACAATGGGGGAGTGTTCAGAAGGCACTGTCCTGGTCCCGCATGGGGTGGGGTGGTAGTGGCAGGGTTAGAAGATCTAACAGCAGAGTGTGCTTGAGATCATACCGGAAAAAGCAGGCCCTGTCAGCAGAGGGCAGCAGGATAGATTCTGCAGCAACTGGAAAACTTCCTTCAGTGATAATCAGACCAGGGAACATTTGTGGGATGACTTTGAAGGCACAGGGATATCTGCGGACTTGAGGATACTGTGACCTGCTTGTTGCAATACATATTTCTGTACTTTTTCCTTTCTTGCAAATCAAATATATTCAGTCAGCTCAAAAAGAAATTTACTGAACCCCTGTAATAAGGGGGCTAAGTCCTATGATGGGGGCGTTTCCAGGTGAGCACAGAGAAGGAACACCAACCTGACTTGGGGAGAGGAGGTCAAGGGATGCTTCTTGGAGGAAGCGAGGTTCAGCTGAGGCCTGTGGGGTGCGCAAGTCATCCAGACCAAGGCAGGAGGGAGAGTGTTCCAGGCAGAGGGGGCAGCATGTTCAAAGGCCTGGAAATGAGAAAGAGCATGGTGCTTTTGAGGAACTGAAAGAATTTCAGGGTGGCTGGGGCACAGGGATAGAGAAGGCTGGAGATGAAAAATGAGACTGGACAGGCAAAGAGAGGCCAGGTGCCCCCAAGACTCTGGCACTGCTAAAGTTCAGCCTTCATTCCAAGAGCAATGGGAAGGCTTTCTTGTTTTAAGTACACGGGGATGAGTGACACGATCAGAAGAACAGATGGGAAGTTCAGGAAGCCAGGCTAAGAGTGCTGAGTGGGAGGCCAATTAGGAAGTATTGCAATAACCCAGGTAAGAGATGATAGCAGCTTGAACTAGGGTAGTGGCCATGGCCATGAATGAGCAAATATGAGGTATTTAGGAGGCAAATTCAATCACAGCATTGGTTGGATATAGAAAAAGGGAAGAATTAGGGATGAAAGAGGCCAGGCGCGGTGGCTCACACCTGTAATCCCAGCACTTTGAGAGGCCAAGGCAGGCAGATCACGAGGTCAGGAGATTGAGACAATCCTGGCTAACACGGTGAAACCCCGTGTCTACTAAAAATACAAAAAAGTAGCCAGGCGTGGTGGCAGGCGCCTGTAGTCCCAGCTACTCGGGAGGATGAGGCAGGAGAACGGTGTGAACCTGGGAGGCGGAGCTTGCAGTGAGCCGAGATCACGCCACTGCACTCCAGCCTGGGTGACAGAGCAAGACTGTCTCAAAAAAAAAAAAAAAAAAAAAAAAAGAATTAGGGATGAAAGAGTAAATGAATACTTAAAACAAATGAACAAAACAATGTATTTACTTTGTGATGTGGCCAAACTGTTTATAAGTAAGAAAGCTGGTGACTGCCAATTGCCTCTGGTGGAGAAGCACTCTAGGTCCAGGTTCAGGATGGAAGGCCTGATCCCAGAGCACGGCCTGCTCCATGGACAAAGCTCAGCTCCTCATGCCACTGCCACCTCTGCCACGGGGCTACATACATCTGCTGGTGCCGTTCCCGCAGCCTGCAGGGATTTTTGTTGGTGTTTACATTGCCTGCCCAATGGCTGTGTTACTTTATTTTCCAGAGCTTACAATTGATAATAGTCAAAACTCCTCCTATTTCAGCAATAATCTGCTGAGTTCTTGAAGAGTGGGAGGCAGGTGTGACCTATCCAAATGTAAGATGAAAAGAGTTTTTTAAGATTCAAACATTTTTATTTTGGAAGACCTCTGTAATCCCAGAACTTTGGGAGGCCAAGGCAGGAGGACCATTTGAGCCCAGGAGTTCAAGACCAACCTGGACAGTGTAGTGAGATCCCATCTCTACAAAAAAAAAAAATTGAAAAAATTAGCCAGGCATGGTGGCATGCAACTGTGGTCTCAGCTACTCAGGAGGCTATGGTAGGAGAATCATTTAAGCCCAGGAGTTTGAGGCTGCAGTGAGTCATGATCACTCCACTGCACTCCAACCTGGGTGAGAGAGCGAGATCTTGTCTCAAAGTAAATAAGTAAATAAATAAATAAAAAATTTCAAACATATTCAAAAGTAGAGAGAATGGTATAATGAGCCCCCAGCCTAGTTTCATCCATACTTTCCAATAATGATTTTGAAGCATATCCTAGACATCATGTTTAATTTATAATCACTTCAGTATGCATCTCTAAAAGTCTTTTTAAAAAGCATATAACACAATACCATTAATGCGCTGAAACAAATGAACAATAATTCCTTAGTATCTTTAAAAATCCAGTGTCCAGGCCGGGTGCAGTGGCTCACGCCTGTAATCCCAGCACTTTGGGAGGCTGAGACAGGCGGATCATGAGGTCAGGAGATCGAGACCATCCTGGCCAACATGGTGAAACCCCGTCTCTACTAAAAATACAAAAATTAGCTGGGCATGGTGCCGTGCACTTGTAATCCCAGCTACTTGGGAGGCTGAGGCAGGAGAATCACTTGAACCCAGGAGGTTGAGGTTGCAGTGAGCCAAGATCATACCACTGTACTTCAGCCTGGCGACAGAGTGAGACTCCGCCTCAAAAAAAAAAAAAATCCAGTGTCCATATACATAAGACACTTGACCACACCAAAGCCAAAGCTGGATGTTCTCACAGGTGTACAGTGATCAGGACTAGCCCAGCCACCATCACTTGCCCCTGCAGCCTCTAGTAATCTTGGAGAGCCTATTTTCACTAACACCATGTTAGACCAGAGCCCCTAAATGCTGTTGCCAGAATCCAGGAGAGAATAATAAAAATCTGTACAAACAGACATCTTATTGGCTGTGTGGTCTTGAGCAATTATTGCCACACTTATTGGCTGTGTGGTCTTGGTCTTATTGACTGTGTGGTCTTTGTTTATGTGGGTGATGAGTTGCAAAATAAAGGGTTAAAAAAAACTTCTGAGGAAGTGACCCAAATGTCTATCAACAGATAAACAGTTAAAGAGATGTGGTATATCCATACAATGGAATATTATGCAGCCTTAAGAAGGAAATCCTGTCATATGCTACAGCACGGACAGACATTATGCTAAATGAAATAAGCCATTCACAAAAGAACAAATACCATATGATTCCACTCATATGACGTATCTAAAGTACTCAAAATCATACAAACAAAGTAGAAAATGTGGTGGCCAAGGACTGAGGGAAGGGGAGAGGGGAGATTAGTGTTTAATGGTTACAGAGTTTTAATTTTTCAAGATGAAAATTATCTAGAGATCTGTTGCCCAACTATATACTATACTTAACACTACTTAACACTTACGAATGGTTAAGAGGGGAAATTAATTGTTGTGTGCTTTTTTTAACCACAATAAATTTTTTAAAAAAACTTCTGAGGTCCCTTCTGGCTATAGGAATTAGAGGGCCATCGTAAAATTCTGGGATGCTGTTACATTGACCTGTGTTGGGAGGGCATTGGAGCACCAGGATTCTCCTTCTGTGGGGAGAGGGATGGGAGAGAAGCTGCACCTGGAGCAGCAGGCTGCAGGTAGGGGGTGCCAGGGCCTGGACAGGCTCTGTAAGGTAGGAGTGGGGGACAGGGGTTTTTTTCTCACCAAGAGAAACAAAAGAAAGTGGAAGCCTTTATCAAGGGCTGAGTTGTCCTCAGGGAACATTCCAGGGAAAAAAGGAGAAGGCTCCCAGTTGGCTGAGAGCAGCCATGCGGGGGGATGTGAAGTGACAGATACAAATGTGTAGTATACTGGCAGCCGTGTGGGAGATTAAAAGTGCACAATGCTGAGAGCTGGCAGTGGAGGGGAGGGAGCTGGGGAAGGCTGAGTCCCTGAACATCTTCCCAGGGCACTCGGTCTGCAGAGTGCTTTTAGCGCTCATTATCATAGGCCATTTTTCAAATTAGCACAAGCCTGGCCTAAGGGAAGCCAGGCAACAGTGAGCAGGATTGGACTCGAACATGTCCAGCCCCTTCTCTGTGACCTCTTCTGGGAAGGTTTCTCTGGAATCTGAGCATGCCAGAGAGTGGAAGGCAGATTCACTGTACTAGACGGTCATATTGTCTTGGTGCCTGATATCATCTCTGAGGGAAGACACTGGGAGAACGATGGCAGGGAGGACTCCTGTTTGTAGCTTCGAAAAAGGAGTAAAGGCCGGGGGCGGTGGTTCATGTCTGTAATCCTAGCAATTTGGGAGGCTGAGATGGGCAGATCACCTGAGGTCAGGAGCTCGAGACCAGCCTGGCCAACATGGTGAAACCCTGTCTCTACTAAAAAGATAAAAATTAGCCGAGCGTGGTGGCATGTGCCTGTAATCCCAGCTACTTGGGAGGCTGAAGCAGGAGAATCGCTTGAACCCGGGAGGCAGAGGTTGCAGTGAGCCAAGATTGTGCCATTGCACTCCAGCCTGGGCGACAAGAGTAAAACTACGTCTCCAAACCGAAAAAAAAAAAAGAAAGAAAAGTAAAAAGGAGTGAAGTGCATCTCAAATGTGAGGGGCCATTGGGTGTAAAGAGAAAGTTCTGTCTATGCTGTGGGGTGTAAGGAGAAAGTTCCCTTTGGTTCTCTGAAGTTTCACTGAAAAATCAACTCGAAAAAGGCAGATTAATTGGAGGAAAGGCATACACATTTATTTAACATGTGTATCTGGGAGCCTTCAGAATGAAGACCCAAAGATACAAGGGGAAATTGTTCATTTTTACGCTTAGGTTCAACAAAGTATGGGCAGCTGTGTAGAAATATGATTGGACACAAAGGGTCTGATCTAATGTGAATAGACTGAGTGGGGAAACCCAGCCAGGCCTGTGGGTCTGGATTCTTCTTGGCCCCTCTGAGCATGAAGTCCTTCCTCTGGGTGTGGAGCAGGGCCCTCTCTGGAATGGGGGGTCTCATGACCTACAGTCAAACAAGGTGGGTCAGATAATTTCTTTATGGGAAAGCGGAGGGCAAGTTAGGTTAATATTTTTAGGTTTCATAGTTGGCTTTGGGGAAAAGGGGTTCTGGTTTCTATGACCTGTCTTGGGGAAGAGAGATTCTAGTTCCTATGGCTGGACTTGGGGCAAAATGGGACTGAGAGACAGGAATGTAGGGGAAAGTCAGAGAAAAACTTGTGCTTCTGAGGCCTTCATCTTGGGGTATTGTTTTCTGAGCCTGAACAAGGCTTATTTCTGGAACCCAGATTGTTTGGGACAGTTTTGTCCATTCATCCATCATGGAGCTGTAAGAGCCCTTCCAAGGTGGCTGAGAAAGTATCAGATCCCTCCTAGGCAAGGTCACTCTCTGTGAGGGAGTTTTTGGGTAGGGAGCCTGGAGGCCCAGCTTTGGGGACTTCTGTCATTTCAGGCCAGCCATTCTGAACCTCCTGTAGTCACACTGACCATGTGTCATTCCCAGGCACTGGGGGGCACTACACCCTTTGTCCACCATTCAAGAGAGCAAAACCATGGATGTGAGAGAGAAAGACTATCTAAGCAATAGTCTCGAACCAGCTCTGATATTTAAAATCAGCAAAAAAAAAAAAAAAAAAAAAATTCCCAAAGCTCAATTCCTTAACCAGTTGTTATTAACTTTACCTACAATACTCACCACAGATCTCAGCATCAGCCCCACAGACCTTTCATGCCCCGATGGCTTCACCACTCTCTAAGCTGCTCCCCTCAAACACTCTAAGCATATCTAAGCAACTCCCACCCCTGTCCCCAGCACTAATTCTATTTTAGGGTCCTCAGCTGGGCAAGAATATTACCGTCTTTTACTTAGACTCCCACAGGCTGACACATGATGTGGCCTGGCCACATGTTTGTGGCCCATGGAGTGGTCCCAAACCGGCAGTATCTTTGGGAGCTTATTAGAAATGCAAAATTGTGGGCCCCACCTCAGACCTGCTGAATCAGAATCCACATTTAACAAAATTTAACAAGATGCCCAGGTGCTGTGTGTGCATGTTCAAGTCTGAGAGTACTGCACTTGGAGATCACATCCCACCCGCCTGCCATCCCTCAATCCTGCCAACAAGTGAAGTGGGGTGACATCCACTTTGACACAGAGCAAACCAGCCTCCACCAGCGGCAGCCATGGGGCGAGGAAGAAAGGGAAGAGGTGGACGAGGAAGGGGGTTGCTACAACGTGTGGAGTGCATTTAAATTGGGGGGCACTGAGATGAAATCTAAGGAGGCAGCCCATCAGTTCTGAGATCCCGCGATCTCTGTGATTCATCAACAGGCAGATGCTGACAAAGTAATCATGGCTAACAATTACTGAGCTCTTCTTATAAGACAGGCACTATTTTAAGTAAAAGAGCATTTCACGTATGGCTTTATATAATTCACACAGCAACCTCCTGAGGTACAGATTGTCACTACCCCCTTTTTACAAATGAGGCAACTGAGGCACAGAGAGGTCAAGTGATTTGCCCCAGGTGACAGGGATGTGTTGCAGAGCTGGGACTTGTACCCTAGCATGTGCCCAGAGCCCATGCTCTTAACGAACATGTGAGACCACCTCCAGAAATGCTCTCCCCCAACAGCCGTTTCTCTGAAGCAGTTACATACCTCTAGGGCGAACAACCATCCTGGTTTGCCGAGGACCGAGGGGATTCTGTGGATTTCAAACTTTTAGTCATAAAATGGGGAGAGTCCTTGACAAGTTGATTACCCTATCAATACCTCATCTACCATGGAAGGGTAACAGAAGGAAAGTAAATTAAATTTAATAGGAAATCTTTGAGAGTACAGAATTTGAGCTGCTGGAGCACTGAATGAGAGGTTGCACAACCTGTTTCCATTTGAAGAACCCCAAAGTCTATCCACGAGACTTTGAACAAGCTTCACTCCCCAATCATGGCTCAGTTTCTCTGTTCCTCAAAATGGGTATATTCTTATCTGCCTCGTCGTTCCCGCCCCTTCTGCCCAGATGTCATGAGAATAAACCAGAGCCTGTTGCTAGTGGATGCAACACCACCAACGTCCTGAGACAAAGTGGGCAGATAAAAATACTGGCTAGTGTTTCCCTTGTCAAGGTCACCCACACCCACACAGGTGTTCCCATCATCTATTTTCTGCAGTGCTGCCAGCCAGTTCTGTGACACTTGTTTCTTTTGAGCCCTGGGAAGAGTGCTTGATTGGTTCAGCTCTCTATTTCACCTGAGAGTTGTTATGATTCCCCAAATAAAATACAAAGAGCATGCACTCTCTCTCTCTGTCTCTCTTTGTGTGTGTGTAGTCTTTGAGAAATAATATTTAAAAGCAGTTCCCCATCCGAGTTGGATGGGACTGGCAAAGAAGCAGTGGAAGGAATTCAAGGGGAGGAATTCAGACTCCTCCACACACCCAGCTAAGTCCTCTAGGAGAGAAACTCTCCTCAGCCAAGGGAAGGCACTTGTCTTGTACCCATTGCACAAGTCCAAGCATTAGGATTTCTCTGCCATTTTGGGGAGGAGGTCTGGCCTTCAGTTTCTGCATCTGTAAAATGGGACTTGCTATAACCTACCACCAGAAACCCTGTGTCTCCTCTCAGGCTGAGCTTATAGTCCTCCAAAGTCTCCTATGCCCTTTCTCAGAAATCAGCTAAATCTTCAGGTCTTTCCTGATTAACCTTATTAGACTTCTGATTAAAGAATTACACATCCTTAGAGCAGGAAAGTAGGAAAAAGCAGAGTGCATCCCAGCTGCCTTCATTTTTCAGAAGAAACTAGCCAGTCTGGTGTTTTTCAGCCCCTTTGCTCACAACAAGTTTTTTACAATTATTTCGATGGCACTGCTCTGTAATGCTACAGTCAGTGCATATTCTCTGTCCAAGGAAGCTGTTGTAGGAGACCAGAACGTGCCATGCCAAAATATGCCTCTTTGGCATAAGGATGATTTTGAGCTGATTATTTTGAGAAACAACAGATACAGGAGAAGCTCTGAAAAGAGAGTAGAAGTTACCCTTTTGTAAGGGAAAGTTACATCTATAAAGGAAATCACCATTTGTAAGGGTGTCTGTAGCAGGAAGAGAAGCATGGCTAAATCACGAGAAGGTCTTACTAATGGAGCAGGCTTACATCTGCATAACAGACTTTATTCTGATAATTTGCCTGGTCATCTCCCCATAACTGGCCTCCCCCACACCCTTCTTTCTTTTGCCTTTAGCTGAAGATGGTGTTTAAGCCTGAATTCTAAGCTGCCTCTTTGAGATTTACTTATTTTTTCCCTAAGTATCTCCCATGTAGAGATGAAGTATACATGTTGACAAATTTCTATTTGTTTTTCTCCTGTCGATTTGTCTTTTGTTACAGAGAGTCCCAGCTATGAACTCTGAAAAGCAGAAGGAAAATTATTTTTTCCTCCCCTACCCTGGGAACTCCTGGAAGATAAGGACCATCATCATGTCGCCTGAAGTATTTCTCTCCTAGGCCCCCACAGTGTGTGTTCACAATGGCCTCATTCCCCTTGCTGGCTAATGCAGAGCTGGAAGAAGGTATATTCAAGCCTTTTCTTGCACAGCAAGGAGGATGACTAAGGAGCTAAGAGATGTGAGCCGAAGCCTCCCTCAGTGTCTATTTGCTGACCCAATAACCCATCTTGAGCATTCCTGAAGTTGGTGAAAACCAGCTCTTCACTTGATATAATCTTGAATAAAAAAAGAAAGCATTTCCCTCAAATGTGCCCCAAGAAGCTGTGCCATTTGGGCCTCCTTCTCCTCTGTGTCCCTAGACCATGGGTGAGGCAGGCAAATTGCTAGGACAGGGAAGGACCTTGTAAGCAATCTGCAAATGAAAACAGCAGACATCTAGCCTTGTGCATAGGAGCGCAACCAGGTGAACACCTCTCCTCTCCCAAACCGTGACAGGACTGACTGACCCACATACCCAGCATGATCCCAATTCTCTGCAGCCCTGGAAAAAAGACTCTCCTGATGTTTACTCCCATTACAGGCATCTACTTATAAATCTTGGGTAGAAAACAGAAAGAACCATTGAATTCTTGCCACATTCATTTGTAGCAGCTATCTATGAGATAGGTTTCTAACATGATTATCTCTCCCTGCCTTGATACGATTATATGACCTTTTAAAATCATTCTTTCTTTTGTCCATTCATCCATCCATCCATTCAACAAGAGCATTTGGTATCTGCTTCCTGCCAAAATCAATGGGACATTTTCCAAGCTTTAAAATTCCTGGCCGTTAAGCAGCACCCTTTCAGTAGGGAAGTGGAGGAGTGGGGGGTGTTCAGTGCAGAAACGATGTTAAAACACAAGCTCTGTGATTCACCAGCAATTCCTTCTCTCTGAGTCTCCGTTTCAACAGCTCTAAAATGGGAATAATTCCTCCCAGAACTGCTGTGAGGTAAAAGGGAAGAATGTGTTTAGAGCTATACTCAATAGCTGATGCAAAAAAAAAAGGCATTCAATCATTATTAGCTTAAAGGAAGTGACCCAAAAATCCAGTTTGCTGCTCAATACTCGATTATCCTAACACCTCACCGACCCCAGTCAACATTCTCTCCCACATTCATTTTGCCTCTTAGGACAGTGTTCTTGGAGTTTCAATCCTTCGTTGAGCCGGCCCTGTCTTTATTCTGACTGATGGACTATACTATTTTGAGAATGTGATCTGTATCAAAGTCAGCTGGGAAGCTCTTGGAGCTTCTGGGAGGATGGATACATAAAGTCCAGTTAATAAATAAAGACACAGACATCAAGGCTACCGGCTGTCGTAGTAACAAGACTTTATGCTTTCCTGGCTCCTGTCATCTTCGGGACTGAAAGCACTTAATGAATTAGTCTCGCTTGCAGTCCTCCTGGAGAAAAAGACTGCTGTGTCTACAATGTGCAGTCACGGTCACCAGCCAGAGGTCAATCGCTCTTGTGAACATTGCCAACCAGATCCCTAGAGCAGCTTTGTTTGTTGTTTGCTTCTTATCATAAAAGTAATACTTGTGTATTAGAAAAATGTTAAATTACGTAAAAGATAAAAACTAAAATTTGCTATAACTCTGTCCACTTGGAGATAAGCATAGCTAACATTTTGCGATACCCTCATACACACAAAATGCACATACACTTACCAGGATTATACCATGTATGTGCTGTTTTAAAATTAATATATCATGACTATTTTTTCATGTAAAATATGTTTCTACATCATTTAAATGGCTACTGGTTTGCTAAACAAATCCCCTATTATGAAACATTTCAGTTGATATGAATTATGTTAATTGTGAGAACAATCTTGTGCTTTCTCCTTTTAGGAGTTAGGGAGCAGCATGAGTGTGGGCACATGGCGTAGAAGAGAGTGGCAGGTTTGCAAAAGTAAACGTCACTTGGTGTGCCAGGAGTGGGGTGGGAAGAGGACATTCCACAGCCAGATTGCGGGGGTCCTTGTGGGACATACAAGAAGAGATGAACCTTGAGAGGTCTTAAGCAGTTGTAGACTTTAGGAAAGTGCCCCTGGTAGCAAGGGTGGATGTATTGGAGAAGACCAGACAGTGCTGGAGGCCCCACACTTCCCCTCTGCTCCTGCCTTTGCCACTTCATCAGCTGTTCCTGGAGCCTCTGGCTGCATTTGCTGACATGATCTGGCCCTTGTCACCTGCTCCAGTCTCCTCTCTCACCTGTCTCTGGACTTGATGCTTCTGCCCTGCCATGCTGTTGGGATCCTCTGGATCTTTACTGGGTTGTGCTGGGCCTGGCATGCCCATTCTCCCCCACTTTACTTAGTTAGCTAATTAAAGAAAATCAGTTTAGGTGTCACCTTCTCAGTTTTCCTGGATCTCCCCTTCCCCTGAGTTAGATTAGCTTCCCTTCCATGACTTCAACACCTCATGCGTATAGAATCACGGCACCTCTATACTTGGTTATCATTTGTGTCTGTCTCTAATATTGATAGATTTTGGGCTCCCTGGGTCAGCCTTACACATTGGGCATACAATGGGCACTCAATAAATGCTACTGAATAAAGTAAAGGTGGTCCCAGAACTAGTACTTCCAACCCCTGGGCATGACCAATATATGTGAGGCATCAGAAACAAGCAAGGCAAATTCCAAATCCATCCATAACCGTCCAACTCCTCTGGCATGCTCCAGGCTACCCTCAGACTCTCGCCTGGACCGCCATAACCATCTTCCAACTGGCTGCCACTCAGCAGACAGATGATCTTTATAAAACATGAATCTGCACCCATCATTTTCCTACTGAAAACACTGCACGAACATTTGGATTACTCTTAGAATATCATGCTTTACAAAGACCTAAAAAATCAGGCGGGGCGTGGTGGCTCATGCCTGTAATGTCAGCACTTTGGGAGGCCAAGGCAGGTGGATCACCTGAGGTCAGGAGTTCAAGACCAGCCTGGCCAACGTGGTGAAACCCCATCTCTACTAAAAATACAAAAATTAGCTGGGTGTGGTGGCACGTGCCTGTAATTCCAGCTACTCGGGAGGCTGAGGCAGGAGAATCACTTGAACCTGGGAGGCAGAGGTTGCAGTGAGACAACATTGTGCCGCCGCACTCCAGCCTGGGTGACAGAGTGAGAATCTGTCTCAAAAAAAAAAAGGGGATCTAGTTCCTGCCTACCTCCCCAGTCCCACCTTGCACCTCCCTTCCCTTTGGTCCCTATCTGCAGCCTATGAGCCCTCTTTCTGTTCTTCAAACAGCCAAAGCCCTTCCTGGTCTTGGGATGGTCTCTTGCCAGGAATGCTTGGTCCCTTGTCCCTCATGTGACTGGCTCCTTCTTGTCCCTTAGGCCTTGGATTAAGTGTCCCTTCATCCACGTGACCTTGCTTCATAGTTGAACCCAAAGTCAGTCTCCCTTCATTCTCGCTCATGGTAGCCTGCTTGTTTTCTCCAGAGCATCTTTATATTGTTCAACAGTATTTTTATTTTTGTGATCATTTGTTTGATAATACTGTTTATCCTCTCAATGTGATGGGAGTGGGGAGGTGATTTTGCCCCCATAAGGGCACAATTGGCAATGTCTGAACACATTTTTGGCTGTTAAAACTGGGAAGTAAACTATTAGTCTCTAGGGGCAGAGGCCAGGGATGCTCCTGAACATTCTACAATCCACAAGAAAACTCCTCGTGACAAAGAATTGTTGGCCCAAAATGTCAACGGTGACAAGATTGAGAAACCCTACTCTACACTATACATTCTGCAAAGGCAGGTGAACACTTGTTCACTAGTGTATCTCCAGCACCTGGCCCAACATCTGAGACACAGTAAGTGCTTAATATGCAGCTGAATGGAAAAATCGATGCATGGATGCAGGGGTGCTATTAAAACTATTTAACAACTAGTAGGGCATATCATGATCAATCAGAAATGCCAACCATAGTGCTGGAGCTGGGGTGAGGAGGCCATGCTGTGCTAGCCATTATCTCTTTGGTTGCTAGACTGTGGGGAAGTCTGGGGGTCCTAAGGAAGGGGCTGAGGCAGCCCCAGGGGTGGAGGATTCAAGGAACTCCAGGAAGTAGTTATTTACCATCTGATGAGAAAGTATGTAAAAATTTTAACAATCTGCATGGCCCTACCAGTGCATACCTGCTAAAAGTCAGTCCTGGACGGAGGAACAGAGGGACAGGAACACTAATGAAGCAGCTAGGGAGTGGAAGAAGGAAATGGTCTAGAAAGGAGCTGCTTTTTGTGTCTGTGTGGACAAAGAAGCTCTGTGCCCTTCACCTCTACACAAATTTGCCAACTAAGAGAAGGTATGAAGTATGCTAGAAGTATGAGCAGACATAAAGCTGGGGCAGAGAGAAAGGTGATGGAGTAGGGGTGGGGCGTTCACCCTTTTTTTCTTTCTGTTGTTTTTCTCAGCATGTTCTCTGAGCACGGCTTTGCTAATAGAGACAGAAAGAAAAAGAAAGGTACCAGAAGAGTTCTTGTCCAGCCTACTTACTTTACCCCATATGACCTTTTCAACTAACAAGGCATCAGGAATCCAATAATAATATCAACATTGATAAGTCTATATGACTTTGTGCTTAGAGATTCTCCCACAGCATGTTCCTGAACATCTCATTGGTTTTACCGCCTCCTCTGTGTGAGGAAGTCACCACCCGATTCTGCCTAGCAGCCAGCTACGCAGTTCTGTTAGCAGAATCTGGAAGCTGGAGAGGATGCTGGCTTTTAATATACCCTCGAGATATTCTCAACATGTGTAGGACTTGTTCCCATGGATTTTCTGCCACTGCCTGAACTTAACAGCTCCAAAAACATCCTTAGCATCTTCCCCCAAACAATTCCCATTTCTGTCAATGCAGTCATCATTGTTCAGTTGTCTAGGCTCAAACACTTGAATCCTTTAGTTCAGAATACTTCCATTTCCCTTTGGGACTATTCTAAACCTTTGTTCTTTTCACACCTCCACCTGATCCCCATCCTCTTCACTGTTTTTCGTTTTGTTTTGTTTTGTTTTGAGACAGTCTCGCTTTGTCGCTCAGGCTGGAGTGCAGTGGCGCAATCTCGGCTCACTGCAACCTCCACCTCCTGGGCTCAAGTGATTCTCCTGCCTCAGCCTCCTGAGTAGCTGGGATTACAGGCATGTGCCACCACGCCTGGCTAATTTTTGTATTTTTAATAGAGATGGAGTTTCACCATGTTGGCCAGTCTGGTCTCGAACTCCTGGGCTCAAGAGATCCACCCACCTGGGCCTCCTAAGGTGCTGGGGTTACAGGCATGAGCCACTGCACCCAGCCAATCCTCTTCACTCTTAGCAAACAACCTTGTCTACATCATGGAGGGCACTGATGCCATCAGGGGTAAATGATTTAAGCTTCCTACCCCCATCTCCAGCCTAATATGAAATATCCAGGATTACCCCAACTCATTCTCTCCACTCCATGTCTAAAGGCCAAAAGATTCCTCCTGCTGCTCAATCCAGCCTCCCATTTGTAATCTAATCCTGCTTTCTTCTCCTTTCAGACCACGTTCCACTTAGTACTCCCTCTGCCTGTGCTTTCCCCTCTCCCCATCTCCACTCTACCTTTCGGTCCAAGGACATGGTCAAGCTTCTTCTACTCTTAAAAAACAACCCATTGCTTCTCCTCACATCCCACTCATAGCTACTATCCCAACTATCTCTCTTTTCCTTCCCAACAAAGCTACTAGGAATAAAAGTCTATACTTGCTGTGTCCACACCTTCACAGCAATTATCCAGCTTTTGCTGCAGTTCTCTGTACCAATCACAGCAACATTTCTCTAATGTTTGCGTAAACTTGCTGTCTCTACTTCCTTGCAATTTGTTTATTCTGAATTCACAGAAATCTGGCCTCCAACTCCTACTCGCTATTCTGAAACTGCTTCTGAAAAAGGTCTTCAGTGACCCCCGTACTGCCCCTCCCAAACACTCTTCTGCTGACTAGACACTCCTACTGGAAACTTGTTATCCCTAACTTTTCTCCTCTTCAACCATTCATGACACTACTTCTCCTGGTTCAGGCCTTACTTCCTGTTCCCTCCCTGACTCCTGACTCCACACTTCCCCCACCATGAGCTTCCACACATTTCTGTCCCTGCCTCACCATGCCTGCCTTAGGCACTCACCTGCTTATGGATGATTCCCAAAGCTAGATCTCTGGATTCAACCTTCCTTGAATTTCAGACCTGCACTGCCAGTTGACTCCTAGACGTTGTATTCTTAGATATCCCAAAGGAACCTCCAAATCAAATGGTCTAAAACAGATCTTTGCATTTACCTGCTCTTTCCCCCAGAGTACTTTTCCTCCTGTATTTCTACTGTTTAATTAATGGCACCACCATCCATCCTGTCCTCAAGCCCCGTAACTTGTGAGTTACAAGTCCTAGACATGTCCTCTTTCTCTCCCCTCACATCCAATCAATCTCCAGGTCCTGCACATTTTCTCTCTTAAGTGTTTCTAGAACTTGTCTCTTCCTCTATAGACATTGTCTATATTTAGACAAAAATACCATTGTCTCCATTTGGCTCCTCATTACCTCTTGACTAGATAGTTACGATACATTTACCTTCTTTCCTGACTGTCTGTACTCAACCCTAACCCTTAAACTACACAAGGCATTACTGCCTTCTGCTGTTCCAGATGGACCAGTCTGGCTTTTCTGGTAAGACTTTGAGATCTTTGATGGCATGGATCACATCTAGTATTTTGCTGAATCCTCCAATGTGCTCAGCACAGTACTGGGCCTAGAGTAGATGCCCAAAAGGAAAATGAGGCAGCAATGAGACACATCTGCTAAGAGAAGGTTGGTGTTGAACTATCAGCACCTGGGGTAAAGGGTGCTGCTCACCTAATTCCTTTGCCACAGTGAGAGCCTATCCTCAGTGTCAGCAAGACTTCAGCAGAGAGGTGGGGAATGGTCCTCTGAGGGGCCTGGGAAAGGGACCCCACCAAAGACATTATCATGGATTGCGGGGTCACCATGAGGACTCAGCTAAGTTCGGAGACCTTGAATCCATGGGCACTCATCTGTAAGGTTGTATGTGGTCCTCAAGCAGTTCTCAGTGGCCTGGCATCTTGGAAATAGGCCCTACCTGTTTTGTGGTGGTTGCTTCCCCTGGGAAATAAGAAGAAACAGTTCAAATCTTTCATGAATCAATTCTGTTTTCCTGAATTAGAGTGTTCTATTTCCATTATCTTGCAAAAATCCTCATTCCTTTGAGGCCTGTGCCATGTGATTATTCTTCACTCTAACCCCGATCCCACTGCCAACTCTTCTCCACTCACTGAGAACTTTAGCATTTGTTTCCCCTTCATCAAAAATTCTGCCATCATCCTGGAAAGTTTCAACATGCACAAAGATGGCCTCTGTGACATCCTAGCCACAACATTTAAAAATCTCCGTAATGCCAGTGGCTTTTCCTTTCATTTCACTCACCCACTACCATGGCCCCACCTTGGACCCTTATCACTGAAACTGTTTCTGGTCAACCCTCACCTGGACCACCCTCACAGTCTCCTGACCAATCATTCTGCCCCCAATCACAGTGAATCTTGGTTATAACCCCATCCTCCATCCCCATTCTACCCCACTTCTACACTCAAACTATTCTTCACTGACCACTAGAGTGGGAGAATTCTTTAGAGTGACCTTTCTTTTTTTTTTTTTTTTGAGGCAGAGTCTTGCTCTGTAGTCCAGGCTAGAGTGCGGTGGCACGATCTCCACTCACTGCAACCTCCGCCTCCTGGGTTCAAGCAATTCTCGTGCCTCAGCCTCCCAAGCAGCTGGGATTACAGGTGTCTGCCACCACACCCAGCTAATTTTTGTATTTTTAGTAGAGATGGGGTTTCACCATGTTGGCCAGGCTGGTCTCAAACTCCTGGGCTCAAGTGATCTGCCCGCCTTGGCCTTCCAAAGAACTGGGATTACAGGCATGAGCCACGGCGCCCAGCCTAGAGTGATCTTTCTAACATGTAAACCAGAAGGTGTTATGCCTCTGTTAAAAAGTCTACAGTGGTTCCACATCTACAAGGTCAAGTCAGGGTCCTTAGCCCAGCAGGCAGTACACCAGGCTACTGTTTAGCCTCTCATCGCCATAACCTGCCATTTTATGTTCTGACATCACTGAATACAGACAGCTCCCAGTTCCCCTTGCCATCTCTTGAAGCCTCTTGGCCCTCCCTCTGCCTGGAAAGGTCATTTTCCTGCTTCTCTGTAAAGATGTTCATTTCATCTTTACGTCTTTCATCCAGCTCAAATACTAGCTTCTCTGAGGAGCCTTCCCTGCTTGGTCTGGGCAGTTATGCACTTTCTCCTGCACTTCCAGCACTTTCTGATACAGCCATTGCAACATTTATCTTATCAGATTAATATCATGAGGGCTGGAACCATTCCTCTTCATCTGTGTGTCTCAGTCCCGGGTGCAGGCCTGGTGCAAAGCTGGCTTCTGTAGACATTATGAAAGGATTGGAGGAATGAGTTCCAAAGTCTTCTGTATATAAGCAAGGTCAGAAGAGATTGAGCTCTTAAATTACTTAAACCTCTTCTCCCTTTTCCCTGGCTTAGTGCCCTGCCTGTATGATTAAATCCCCTAACAGAATCTACCCTGGCTTAGCACCACATACAAATCCTTCAGCACTGAGTCATGGAAAGGCTTCCAAGTGCTTAGAAAAAAAAAGAGACTGGTGCTTCAGAGATGGGAAGTAAGACAAGTGATAGATACAGAGATGTCCTTCCGCTTCTGAGGTATCACCCGCCTGGGAGAATTGGTGAATATTTTATATTAACATCAATCATGTGGTCAGCACTCTGCTAGCCACCGACAGTGAAGATAAAAGTTAAAACAACAGCATACCTTTGTTAATCACTTTCTATGTACCATCTACAACTTTGTGGGGTAGGTATCATGGTTATTCCTATTTTTTAGGTAAGAAAATGGGCTCAATATCACACAGTTAATAAGTGCTCCAATATTATCATCTTTCTCTACTGTCCTCACCCTTTCTCTCTTCACCGAGTCTTTCTCCTAGTGCTCATCACACGCACTCTAAAATAAACTTCTTCCTCCATCCTGCCTCGCCTTCTATTTACATTTCAACTTCCTTCTTTTCATCAGATGGTAACATTCTTGCCTTCCCACCACCATATACACACCTATTGACATCTGCCCTTATCCTATCCTTCTCTCCAGTTACCCCAGGAGAGTGGTCCCTCTTTCTCCTAAGACCAGTCCCTCCACTGCAGTTTGATGCTGTCCACCCATTTTCTCAGGAAACTACACTATGAATTAACCTTCCTTTCATCTATAATAACATTTCCATTAAACTGTGCCCTTTCCATTGGCTTTTCAAAAAATTATGGTAAGAATACTTAACATGAGACCTACCCTCTTAACAGATTTTGAAGTGCACAATACAGTATTATCCATAAACACAATGTTGTACAGCAGATCCCTCACATAACTGAAATTTTATACCCATTGATTACCAACTCCCCCTTCTCCCTAGCCCTGGGCAATCACCAGTCTACTCTCTGTTTCTGTGGTGACTATTTTAGATGCCTCATGTAAGTGGAATGATACAGTATTTGTCTTTCTGTGGCTGGCTTATTTTACTTAGTATAATGTCTTCAAGGTTCATCTGTGTTGCAAATAGCAGGAATTCCTTCTTTTTAAAGGCTGAATAATGTTCCTCTTTATGTATACACCACATTAAATCCACTATGCATGGATTTTTTAAAAATGTGGTGTATACATAGAGTGGATATGGTTGTTTCCATCTTGGCTATTGTGGATAATGCTGCAAGAAATATGGGAGTACTAATATATTTTCAAGATTCTTATTTTAATTCTTTTGGATAAATACCCAGTAGTGAGATTGATGGATCATATGGTAGTTTTATTTTTAATTTTTTGAGAAACCTCCATATTGCTCTCCACAGTGACTGCACCATTTTACATCCCCCCCACAAACAGTGCACAAGAGTTTCAGTTTCTCCACATCTTCACCAACTCTTATTGCTTTATACTTTGATAACTGCCATCCCAACAGGTGTAAGATAATATCTCATTGTGGTTTTGATTTACATTTCTCTGAAAATTAGTGATTTGGGGCATCTTTTCCTATGCTGTTGTCCATTTGTATATCTTCTTTGAAGAAATATCTATCAAAGTCTTTAGCCCATTTTAAAAATGGCTTGTGTTTTGCTATTGAATTTTATGACTTCCTTATATATTTTGGA
Source organism: Homo sapiens (assembly GCF_000001405.40). Classification (NCBI taxonomy): domain Eukaryota; kingdom Metazoa; phylum Chordata; class Mammalia; order Primates; family Hominidae; genus Homo; species Homo sapiens. The sequence goes on along the minus strand of NC_000001.11, from coordinate 179,752,568 downwards.
AATTAACCCCTGATCAGATGTACAGTTTGCAAATATTTCCTCCCATCCCATAGGCTGCCTTTTCACTCTATTGATTTTTTTTTTTTTTTTTTGGCTGTACAAAAGCTTTTATGGTTTTGTAATCCCACATGTCCATTTTTGCTTTTGTGGCCTGTGATTTTCATATCCATGAAATCATTACCAAGACTAATGTGATGAAGCTTTCCCCTATGTTTTCTTCTGAAAGTTTTACAGTTTCAGTTCTTATGTTCAAGTTTTTAATCCATTTTGAATTGATTTTTTGTGTATGATGTAAGATTGGGGCCCAATTTTATTCTTTTGTATGGGGATATCCAGTTTTGCTAACACTATTTGTTGAAGAGACTATCCTTTCCACTTTGCGTATTCTTGGCACTCTTGTCAAACATCAGTTGACCGTATCATGTGTGGATTTATTTGTGAACTCTCTATTCTGTTCCATTAATCTATGTGTCTTTATACCAGTACCATACTGTTTTAATTACTGTAGTTTTATAATATAGTTTGAAATCAGGCAGTATGATGCCTCTAGCTTTCCCTTCTTTTTCAAGATTTTGGCTATTTGGGGTCTTTTGTGGTTCCATATGAATTTTAGGGCTTTTTATTTCTGTGAAAAATGCTGTTGGGATTTTGATAGGGATTGCATTGTATCTGCCAATCACTTTGGATAGTATGGACATTATAAAAATATTAAATCTTCCAATCTATGAACACAGGATGTCTTTCCATTTGTTTATGTCTTCTTTAATTTCTTCCAGGCCTTGTTCTTGATCTTAGAGGAAAAGCTTTCAGTTTTTCATCATTGAGTATGATGTAGCTATGTTCTCCACACTGGCTTTTTTTTCTTTTTCTTCTTTTTTGAGTCTGCTTGCTAGAGAATACACTGGCTTTTACAGGTCCTCAATTCTGTCATTAAAACAGAACAAAATCACCCTCTTTCTCCCTGACTTTCACAGCAAACCTCTGGAAAGACTTATTTATACGTGCAGCCTCCATTTCTCATCTTCCATTTTCTCCTCCACCAATTACATCTGGCTTTTGCCCTCCACGTCACTGACCTCTTGCTTAAACCACCTATGATCTCTTTTCCTAAGGCCAATGGACCTTTTTAGGTCCTCATCTTAATTCACTCCTCAGCAGCACCTATGCTTTCTCTTTTCGTCTTCAGGAAATGCTCTGCCCTTGGCTTTCATGACATTTCTCCCTCTTGGTTTTTCTCTGATCTCTCTGGTTCATCCTTCTCTGTCTCCTTTTCAGGACCACCCTCTTCTACTTGAGGTTTAATTCCAAGCCTTCTCTTCGAAGCCCACCCTCTCTCCCTAGGCACTCTCATCCATGCCATGGTTTCAATTACCCCTAGATGTTGATGACTAACAGAGGCATAGCTCCTACCTGGACCTCTCCTCTGAACTCCTGCCTGTATATCCACCTGTTCTCTTGACCCATCCACTCAGATGGTTCAAAGTCTCCTGGCTGAGACTCACTCACAATGTTTGCCCCAAAGCCTGGTTCTTTACCACTGTTTCCTGTCTTAGGAAATGGCATCACCAACCACTGGTACAAAGCTGGAAGTCTGGAACTCATCCTCCACACCCTTCTCTCCCAACTCTCACATCCAAACCATCACTTCCTCTCCATTTTACCATCTCGAATTTCTCACATCTATGTCTCTCCACCACCACTACAAACTTTCCAGTCTAAACAACTGTCACTTTTTGCCTGGACTACATCAGGAGTCTGCTAACAGGTTTCCCTGGATCTTCTCATGACCACCTCAAATAAACTGTTCAATTATACAGCCAAAGTGACCTTTTTGAAATAGAAAATCTGTCATCCTACTGCTCAAGTACTTCAGTGACTACCCCTTGCTTTAGAATCAACCTCAAAATCCTTAATGTGGCTGATAAGATGAGGTATGTTTAACCCTTTCCTACCTCTTCCGCTCATGTTGTATGATTTCCCCTCTCATTCTCTGAACCCTAATTCTACTGGCCTCAAAATGCCATATTCTTTCTAGCCATGGTCTCTGCCCATTCCAGGAATATCCTCTCCCATCTCCCAAAGTCACCTCACCTCCTTAGCTCCTACTCATTCTTCAGGTTTTAGCTCAATCATCACTTCCTCAGGATGACTTCCAGCTCCTTCCTGAATGGCCCCAGGCCTTCTGATAAACACTCTTAGAATACCATGCACCTCCACTTTATAGCTTTTATCACAGTGTTACTTTATATTTGTTTTGTGACAAATTTGTTTCCCCTGAATGACTTCAAGCTTCATGAGGGTAGGGTTTTGACTGTCTCCTCCTATCCCCCTGCCTCCAACATTGTATCTCCAGTGACATTCAGTAAACACTTGCTGACATCTTGACAATGCAATCCTCACTTTTCAGCCCCAGCCCCCTCTAGCTTCTGGCCTCACTACTCTACTGATATTGTCCTTGATAAGTCATCAACAACCTTCTGATTGCCAAAACTGCGCTTCTGTGGAGCCCTGGTGTTCTACCAGCTGGATTGAGGGTTTCCTGCATTAAAACAGAATCCTGGTAGTCTTTCCCCAATTCACAGACAATAAATAAGCTGATAGAATATTCTCAATGTAAAGCTTCTGTTCATAAAGTTTTCTTAACACTTGGCACCTGTGCTCTTCGATTTAACTCAAAATTGTATTTTCAGTTATTTTTATTTTTATTTTTTTGACAGAGTTTCACTCTGTTGCCCAGGCTGGAGCGCAGTGGCATGATCTCGGCTCACTGCAACCTCTACCTCCCAGGTTCAAGCGATTCTCCTGCCTCAGCCTCCCAAGTAGCTGGGATTACAGGCACATGCCACCATGCCTGGCTAATTTTTTGTATATTTAGTAGAGGTGGGGTTTCAGTTTCACCATGTTGGCCAGACTGGTCTCGAACTCCTGACCTCAAGCAATCCGCCTGCCTTGGCCTCCCAAAGTACTGGGATTATAGGCGTAGGCCACCGCGCCTGGCCTATTTTTAGTTATTTTAATATATGAATAATTCATGGTATTCTCCAAAAAGCCCCACAGTTTCCATGGGTTTTATGACATAAACAAGTTTTTGAGACCCACTGGCCAAATCCAGAGAAATATTTTTTAGTCCTCTGATTTGTCTTCTTGTTGGTGTCTGCTACTGCTTATCATGCTGTTTATTCATTATAGCCACCATTATTTATTGAGCACACACTAGGTTTTCCCACAGCCCCTTATCCCTGCTTTTATGATGGTTACCACCTTCTTCTGTGATCTCTTCCATGTACTGTGAGTCCCTGGGGAGTATAGAGACCATGCTTTTCCTTTTTTCTCTCTCTCCATCATCAGCCCTCCACTTGGTCCAGGCACAAAGATCATGTTTTTGGAATGCAAGAGTAGATGAATGAGAGAATAAACAAACAAATAAAATGCTGAGGCAGAACTCGAATCCTCATCACCAGCACTCTTACTCCAGTGTTCTGCTACCTTCCCACTGAAATAGTCACAGTGACACAGTAGCTGGATATTTAAATACAACAGAAATGTTGATTTCACATGCCTGTTGTCAATACCTGTTGATTTTACCACACACATGAAAAATCATAGTTGACTATTTTATGGGGATATAAACGTTTCATGTTACAAGTAATTAAAAATGACACGTATTATGTCTGTGGCAGAAGTTAGGTAAATGACGAATTACTAAGGCTTTTTAAAACACTCTGTATTCTACTGTAACCCTGTGTCTTTGCCCAACCTGTTGTCTGAGTTCCACCCTTTCTCCTGAGCTTATGTATCAAAATCACTACTTTACCTTCAAGGCCCAGTTCAAAAATCACCTTCTCCAAGACGGACTTAATAATTTATCAGAGTTCCTTGGGCCAGTCTCTGCTTCACTTTAGCCCTGTGCACCTGACAGCATGTCACTTGCTCCTCTACTTAGTGTTTGCTTCTTTAGTCTGCAGAGTACTGCTGGTGATGTGAATGTTCCTCTCCCGCACTGCCCGTGGGCAACCTGAACCTGGGGGCCATGCCTTGCTCATCCTTCTGTGTTCTCAGGGCTTTGACAACAGACATTTTCTGAATTTGATGTGGTTAAACTGGTCCTCCACTACTTGTATACTATGTAAACATCTTTATTTTTGGCCTAAGGTGATTTTTTTTAAAAACTAATAGGGCTCCCTGACTTTACCTCTCCTTGCTGGGTTCTGGCAGCCCTACCTGAGAGCCCAACCCAGCTTCTTGCTCCCACCACTGTGGGCAACAGCAGCACAAGAAAAAGCAGCTGCCTTGTGCGTTCCAGAATTTATTTGGGGAAAATTAGAGCTGTTTCCTTTTGAAGTGGAAACGGAGTCAGAGGTGAGCCCTGGCTAATGAGAGGGAGGAGGTTTGCAATGAGAGAGGCTCTCAGGTCTCAGGCTGTTTTTTCCAAACAACAGACAGACTCCCAGCACAGACTTGGGGCTTAGTGGCCACCTTGCTGACCTTTCTCCTTGGGTGCAGACACAGGGCCTCACAAGCTCATCTTCACAGCCTTCCACACCACTGGTGTCTGGACCAAAGCAATGAGAAGCTGCCCTCCTCCTAGTCCTCTTCCTCCTCCCCCTCCCCCTCCCCCTCCTCCCCCTTTCCCTAGGAACATCACATGCACAGTCTACTCAGCCCCAGCCCTAATGCACACACAGAAACAGAAATAAGAGAAATGGAAATCCAAACCCAGAACACTGACTGCTTTGTTTCTGAACTGTGCCTTGTACAAATCTATCCATACTGCAGAAATTTCAACTGATCCATCAAAGCATGCAATGCTCAGCCACATACTGTTATAACCCAAAACCAGGTCTGTAAGCACCCATGTGATGCAGTTGCGCCTGTGCTGCAGCTTACTGCGTAGAGAATGGAAAAGTCAGTGAAGGGAGAGCAGAAAGACATGCTGCTTGATACCAAAGAGCCTGGGCTCTCACATATACCCGAGATAAAGAGATTCAATGAAATAGTGTAGGCTTAGCAGAGTGACTGAAACATAGAAAGCTCTCAATGAAGGCTTTCCACCTAATGGTGTTGGAGGACCCATCTTTTGTGGCTGGAAGCAAGTCCTTCTTCCATTGTTTCTGCTATTCAACAGCCTGTCCCATCACCCACCCCAAAAAGAAAGGCAGTACCTAATATCTCCCCCATCCCCTTTGTGTATCCATCGGCTTCCAGGCTGAGGGATCAGCAAAAATGGGTGCTTGGAAGTAGGGGGAACTGAGCCGGGCATCTGTGCTGATAAGAAATGCTCAAAGGGGCATGTAGGACACACTGATTGATGCAGTGACAACTGCGCCAATAATCTTCCTTCTTTCTCTGGGGCAATACAGCCCTAGACTCTAGGATAATGTCAAACCTTTTTTTTTTTTTTCCAAGCATCTCTCTCTTCACCTTTTTGAGGTCCAAATGCAACACCAGAAATAGCCCTCCTACGTATCTTTTGCCCTTTCTGATGTCCAGTCACAGTGTTCCTCTTGCTCCTTTACCCAATCCTATCCAGTCGCTGACACTTTATCCTGTACAAGGGAACATTAGGGCAATAGAGAAAGGGGTGGTTTCTATTTCTGCAGATTGTTTTCAAGGCTGGATGATCATAACTTGCCTACCCAGCTCAGAGAGCCTGCTGTCCAAAGACACCTCTCCCCAGCTTTCCAAGTACAACTCTGTATATTTCAAAGGAATACTGGATGGCCCAGATACTATGGGCACTGTGCAGTCTCACAGCCCTTTGGCTTTTAATCCAAAGGGAACCTCTCAAGCAACCAAAAGGGGGTGGGGTACGTCACCCCACAATGTTAAGCTGGAAAAGTGTTTGAGGGAACATACCAGGCACAGGACGGACAAAGAGAATTTTAAAATAGTTAACGTATTCCCATGGTTCAGAATTCAAAAGGTACAAAAGGGTTTACAGGCCACTTTTCCTGGAGGTAACAGGTATGATTAGGTTTTGTGTCTATAGTTATACACAGACAAGCAAATACCCTAAGACTCTCCTTCCTCTTGTATAACACGAGCAGCAGCATATTATAAACACTCCAGGCATGTTGTTTTTTCCACTTAGCCATATATCTTGGAAATCATTCCATATCAGTTATATAGTAAACTTACTAATTCTTTTTTCCATGAATGAATAGGACGCTATTTGACTCTCTGGAAGTACCATAAGACACTTAACAAGTCCCCCTTTGATAAGCATGTAAGTTGTTCTTTCACAGTTCGAACAGTGCTATAATGTACATATATCTTTGTGCCCATATGCAAGTTTAACAACAAGTTCAATTCCTAAAAATGGAATCACTAGGTCAGATGGCATGGGCGTTTATAATTTTGACAAGTGTTTCCAAAAATGCCCTCCAAAGTTGTACCAATTTACTCTCCCAGCAGCAATATATGAAAGTACCTGTTTTTCTACAACCTCATCAACGGTTTATCTCTTTGATGTTTGCTAGTTGAAAGATTTGTACTTAATAAGAAATTAGTCCTTTGTGTAGGAGTTAAACCCTTGAGTGACAGAGAGAAGGAAGTGCTGGCTGTTTACCAGGCCAGCACTTTCTGAAGTCTAGAGTCTAATGGGGTTATAAATATCTCTTGGATCTACAAGTAAGAGTCTTTATTCACGACAATTCTGGATTTCCAGCTACCACATGTGTGTCTGTTCTTAATTGGAAGAAAGTGGCCCCGAGGAAGGAGTAGTGACTTTGGAACCAAAGAGACCTGGGCTTCAAGCTCTGCTCTGCCATTAACTAGCTTTATGATCTTGGCAAATCGTTTACCCTACCCCCAAACTCAGTTTCATCACACGAAAAATGGGGAAATAATAGTAATTTTGCAAAACCTTGTGTCTGGCACATAGCAGGTACTTAATAAATGTTAGCAACTTTCATTAATGTTAATAATCACCAGGCCAGATTCTAAACCCCAGGGCACTTTTCACAATGGACAGACCCTGGAATGGCCCTACCAGAGTCAAATGACTTTTTTGTTAAGTGGCCACCCAGAAGATTCCCAACTTCTCCTCTCATCCACCTCAGCCTTGTAAAGTTTGCAGATCAGGAAAATCCCAGCGTGGGCCTCTGGGTGAGGACTGGACTGTGCTGGGGCCAGGCTCCCCTGTTACCAGCTGATGTTTGCACTCAGGCTGAAGCACTCCCTGAACTAAGCCGGGGTCATTTCCAGTTACAGACGGCAAGCTAGAGAAAAAACAGAGATTCTTGGGCCAAACAGGGGGACCTGCTCTCATCTGCACGAGCCCATCTCACCTTGCCTTTCCAGAACAGTATGCCTGATGAGGTCACTGAATGCAGATCTCTAGCCCTGGCAGGGCCGCTGCCGATCTGCCTGATGCCCCAGCAGGACCCTCCGAGAGCCACACATTACTTCCCCTCTGGACGCCAGCATGACCCTGTCTGTACCTGCTGGTTTAGATTCTCTTAGGCATGGGAACTGAAACCTCCCTAGAGAAGGCTAAGAAAATCTGTTTTCAGAGCATGTACCTTTACTGTTCCTTCCCCGGGGTCCACCTCTTTCAGGGTCTGAACGTCTGTTACATGCAAGTATTTCATTAGGGCAGAAGGAAAGCTGCCTTTCCCCTCAGGACACAGACTCCAGCGAATCTTAGGCAAAGCGAACATGCGGGATTGAAGCCCGCAGTTATTGTTTGTCTCCCACACGACATAAAACATGTGTCTGGCTCAGCTGCTAGAGGACCAAGCAGGACACAGACGCAACTGCGCAGACGTCGGTCCTGCCAGCCACGCTGCGGCCCCCTCGGAATCTCAGGATGGGGCCCCCTGGGCGCCCTGGGGGAGGGCCCAGGTGGGCGAAATGACAGGAGAAAGTGCCTGCGGGCCTCCGCCTGCAGGTTGGATGACTGCGTCCCCGTCACGTCAAACTTGCCAGGACTAGCAAACTTCCAGGGCCCCACAGTTCCACTCAGAGGAAAGGAACCCCCAGTGTGACAGGAAAACACGGCTGGTGTGTGTCGGCCAAAGGGCGCTGACCGAGGGAACAGATCTGCACCCCTGACTTCCCTCGCGGCCTTCGGAGCCGCAGAGAACCAGGATGCCACCCACCCAGGGCCCCGGCGCGCGGCTCTCGGCCTCTACCCGCCCCACCCAGGCCAGGCCGGGTGGCGGGGTCCCAGCAGCCCAATGCGGGCCTCGTCCCCACACTGCCTTCTGCTTGCCCGCTCTGCTCTCTGCTTGGCCAGGCCCCCCTCTGGGCCGCGGGGCGGAGGCTTCCGTGTGGCCGGCGCCTTGAGCGCGCAGGGCCCTCTGGAATCGGAGTGCGGTCGCCCGCTCTGGGGCCTCGGGAGCAAGGACACCGCGGCCCCACGGGCACGTCCGGCTTCTCCGTCCTACCCCCGCTGTCCTGGCCCCAGACTCGCTGGCCGAGACGCCGGCTCCCACAGGCCCTGCCGCCTGCATGCCCACGCCGCGCCGCGAAGGCACTTCGCCCTCTTTATTTTGTAAAACTTCGGAAAAATCACCAGCAAACCGAGCCCCGGTCTCAAGGCTGCCCACAGTTGCCGGCACGAATCCGGACTCACTGACCGACGGCGGCGCATTGGCCCAGCAGACCCCGCCGGTCGGCCCCCACCCTACCCGGGTCCCCTGCCCCGGCCTCATGCTCCCCGGGTGGCGGCGGGCGCGAGGCGCAGCAGCAGCAGCGGCGTCCGCGTGAGGTCCGGCCCGGCTGAAAGCGCAGAGAAGCGGGTCGCTGCAGACACGCTGAGTAGAGCGCCTTCGGCACGGCCCGGGGGCAGGGACCCGGCAAGTCCGGCCCCGAGGCGCGAGCACCGCCACCCGCGGTCTGGCCACGAGGCCGGAGATGCCCCCGAGTCGCCGCGCCCCTCGGAGCGAGAGGCCCCTGGCGCGGAGAGGGAGAGCCAGGGCGCAGACCCAGACCCAGTGGGGAACTGCTACGCTGAAGGCGGCGCGGTGGGCAGAGGGAGGCAGCCGGGGCGCGCTTACCCGGGTGTTGAGGCGCCCTCGAAAGTACGCGGTGGCCAGACACATCCCCGCGCGGAGCCCGAGCCCGGCGGCTCCTCAGCCCGCCCGCGCCCCGCCCCGCCCCTCCGCTCGCTCCCCTGCACGATGAGGCCCCGACCCGTTACCGCGGCTGAGCAGCTCCGCTCGGGCAGCGACTCCCGCGTTCGGCTCCCACGGGGTCGCAGCGCGTCCTTCCGGGCGCCAGCGGCTGGGGCGGCACACGTGAGGCTCCGCGGCCTCCCCGGCGCTCCGAGGACTGCCCTGCTCCGGGCGTGGAGCCTCATCGCCCCTCCAGGTGGCCAGGGCTGGGGGCAGGTACCGCGCGACCTGATTGGCGCTGGCCGGAGTCCGGGGAGAATCCCCCGCCAGAGAGGCTGATGCACGCGGGCCAAGTGAAGCCACGCAGTCAAACAGCGCAACGGGCGCCTTCCAAACACCCCTGCTTAGCTCCGCTGCCTTTTTGCCTAAGAAATGTAAACGCGGGAGGCGGGCGCCCTGGGAACGCCTCAGTACAGGGGACTTTGCGCCCTACAGATCGGGTCCAGGACGGAAAATTCGGAGAGCATGAGAATCTTAGGGACCAGGGTGTGTCGCTATCCACTGGAAAGAGACTGCCTCGAGAGCCTCCCGAAGGGCTCCTCTGTGTTCCTATTTCCGGCCCGCACTGTGCCCTGGAAATCCAGGGACACCTGGATGTCCCCGCCGCTGAGGGGTACCCGGGCCTCGTGGCAGGGCGGGATCAGATCAGTCAGGGTGTGATTAGAGCTGTGACGGTGAAGTCTGGCAGGAAGAGGCAGGAAGGGAGAGAAGCAATGCCTCGACACGAGGAGAAACCTGAATGGTGCGCTAGATTTCTTGTCTGAAATCACCTTCTTTTAATGTCTTAAAACTCTAGGAGTTGCTTATGTGCTGTAGCCCAGCCAATAAGTTCTGACATCAGTAATTCAGAGGGTCTGCTGAGAGAACATGACGGCCTGAGAGGGGATAAGCTGTCACTTCTCCGCACTTCCGAAGCATCTCTATATGGAACGTTTACCTGTTCCGGTCTGATCATCTTTCTCTTGATCCTGCTTTCCGATCTTGATTGGACTGAAGACAGCGAGGACAGAGGGGTGGGGTCAACCCGGTTAATGCTCGAGGAGGGAGCGTTCCCACTACATCAACAGTTTTCCTCTCTTCTTAGGCAGGTTAGTTCTGGGGATTCAAGGCAAAGGTGATCAGGGAATCCATTTGAAAAACAAAAACAGAAAACTCCAAAACATTTAAAAACTGTGGACCCTCAGCCTAGGTCCAACTTCTAAAGAAGGGGAGTAAGAAATTTAGCACCTGGAGCAACCTTATTATTCCTAATACACTGTTAAAAAACAAAAATCCCAAGGCAAGCCACCACCTCATCATTCCAGCAAGTCTACTGTTGTTGCAGCACACTCCACTTTTTACTCTAACTCTACTCACAGGTTTTACATTTTGAGCTCAGATTTTCATGTGCCGTCTTTTCTCAGCACAGTTAAGGCTCGTGCCTACATTCTTCCTCATCTCAAAGGCAAAACAATGAAATATGAAGAGGACGTGTGATTTTGTTATAAACTGTAACACAGAAAAGTGAAAACAACGTACCTTCATAGCCTAATGAATCATAAACCAAACACCACCCAGGTCATTGCTACCACCCCAGAGGTTCCCCTGCTCCACCAATTCCCTTCCACAAGTCCTTCCCTTCCCCCTAAAGCAACTATCCTGACTTTATGGTAATTACTTCCTTACGTATCTTTATAGTTTCTACCAATTTGTAATGTATCCCTAACCACTACAGTTTAGTTTTGCTTGGTTTTGAACTTTCTATAAATTGAATAATATTGCATGCATATTTTTGTGTGTGCCTGGCCTCTTCTTCCATTTGGTTGTAAGAGTCATCTACTTTTGTGGCATGTAGTTGTAGTTCATTCATTTTCATTGCTACTTAATATTCCCTTGTATGGACATATCACAATTTCTTTGTCCATTCTGGCACTTTAGATATTTGGGTTTTTCCCATTGGGGCTATTACAAGTGCTATTGCTAATGACATTTTTGTGTATATCTCCTGGTATGCAAGTGCAATCTTTAGGATGTATACCTTGGGGTGAAATTACTGGACTATAGGGTATGCATATATTTAGTTTTATTAGATCATGCCAAATTGTTTTCCAAAGTGGCCACAAAATTTAGACTCCCATCAGAGATGTACGGTAATTGCCATTGCTCCGCATCCTTGCCAAAATATAATATTATTAGACTTCTTATGTTTTGCCAGTCTGGCGGAGATGTAATGGTGTCTCACTGTGATCTTCGTTTCATATCCCTAATTACCAATGAAATTGGGCACTTCTACATATGTTTATAGGCTACTTGAGTTTTCTGTTTTCTGAGTGCCTGTTCAAATGTTTGCCCATTTTTTTGAGCTGACTTTTTCTTATTGATTCATAAAAGCTGTTTATAAAGTCTAGCTGCTACCATGCCTTGGTCAGTTAGAGACTGCAAGTATCTTCTACTCATTTAATGGTATCTTTTGATCAAGAGTCGCTTTTTAAATTAGAACTTTCATTTTGAGATAATTGTAGATTTGTAGGCAATTGTAAGAAATAATACAGAGAGATTGCAAGTACCCTTCACCCAGTTTCCCTCATTGGTAATATCTTGCAAAAACTATAGTAAAATATCATAATTAGGATATTGACATTGACACAGTCAAGATACACAACATTTCCACCACCGCAAGATCCCTCATATTGCCCTTTCGTAGCCACACCTGTTTCCCCTGTGCATCCTTCCCCATCTCTAATCTCTTGAAACCACTTACCTGTTTCCCATTTCCAAAATGTAAAATGGTACATTTTGTGATTTCAAGAATGTTATTTAAATGAAATCATTTGTATCCTTTCGTATCAATATATGTAACCTTTTGAATTTTTTCCCACGCAGCAACCTGAGTTGCAGGTTGTTGTATCAGTATTTTGTTCCTTTTTCTTGTAGTATTTCATGGTATGCATGTACCACCAGCTTGTTTAACCATTCACTTAATGAAGGACATTTAGGGTTTTTTCCCCAGTTTCAGGGGTATTACAAATTAAGTTGGCTGAGGTGGGAGGATTGCTTGAGCCCAGTAGTTCCAGACTGGCTAGGCAACATAGTGAGACCCTGTCTCTACATAAAAAAATGAAAAATTAGCTGGGTGTGGCTGCACACACCTGAAGTCCCAGCTACACAAGAGGCTAAAGGGGGAGGATCCCTTGAACCCAGGAGTTGGAGGCTGCAGTAAGCTAGGATTGAACCACCGCACTTCAGCTTGGGAGAACAGAGCAAGACGTCTCAACAACAACAACAACAACAACAACAAAAACCAAATAAAGTTGCCACAAACATTTGTTTACAGGTTTACAAGTGAGCATACATTTTCATATCTCTGGGATAAATGCCCAGGAGAACTATTTCTAGTTTGTAAGGTAAATGCCCAGGGCAACTATTGCTAGATCGTATGGTAGTCACATGCTTAGTTGTTAAAGAGACTGCCAGCCTGTTTTCTAGAGCAATTGTACCATTTTACATCCCAACAAGGAACATATGAATGATCCAGCTTCTCCACAACCTTGGCAGGATTTGGTGTTGTCAATATTTTAAAACTTTCACCCATTCTTATACATGTATAATGATGTGTCATTGTGATTTTAAATTCCATTCCTCTAATGACTACTGATGTCAGACGTCTTCAGGGGCTCGTGCTTACTTGCCATCCTTATTTCCACCTATATGCAATCTTTGGTGAAATCTCTGTTTACGTCTTTTGGTCATTTGCTAATTGGATTGTTTTGTCTTTTTGACTGTTGAATTTTCAGAGTTCTCTATATAGTCTAGATAAGGGGTGTCCAGTCTTTTGGCTTCTCTGGGCCACATTGGAAGAAGAAGAATTGCCTTGGGCCACATATAAAATATAAAATAAAAAACACTAACAACAGCTGATGAGCTAAAAAAAAAATCACAAAACAATTCTCATAATGTTTTAAGAAAGTTTAAAAATTTGTGTTGGGCCGCATTCAAAACCATCCTGGGAGGCTTGTGGCCAGTGGGCCATGAGTTGGACAACCTTGGTCTAGATCCTGGTCCTTTTTCAGATCTGTGGCTTGCAAGTATTTTCCCCCAGTCTTTTCATCCTCTTTACATGCACTTTGTAGAGAAATTTTTAAATTTTGATAAGGTCTAATTTTACTATTTTTTCTATTATGGAGCATGTTGTTGGTGTCAAGACTAAGAACTTTCTGGCTAGCCCTAAACCCCAAAGGTTTTCTCCAATTTTTTTTTTTTCTGTTTCATGTTCTGTTGGTAATCCATCATAAGTTAATTTTTGTATAAGATGTGAGGGCTAGGTTGAGCAGCTCCTTCTCCTTCTCCTTCTTCTCCTTCTTCTTCTTGCCTAATAAGGTCCAGTTGCTCTGGCATCATTTGTTAACCATTTAATTGCTTTTGCACCTTTGTCAAGAATCAGCTGGGCATAGTTGTGTGGGTTTATTTTTGGATTCTCTATTCCATTCCATTGATCTATGTGTCTATCCCTCCACCAATACCATACAGTCTTGATTACTGAAGCTATATAATAAATCTTGAAACTGGGTAGTCTGATTCTGCCCACTTTATTCCTTCTATTCAAAATTGTTTTAGCTCTTCTAGTTCCTTTGCCTTTCTGTTTAAATATTAGAATAATCTCCTCTATATCTATTAATACAAAAATTCTCATTGATATTTTGATATAAATTAGGGAGAAAGCATTCAGTCTTTCATGATTAATTATAGATTAGCTATAGGTATCTAATTTGCCTTCTATTTGTATTTTTCTGAGAATTTTGTCATAAATGGGTGTTGAATTTTGTCAAATGCTTTTACATTAGTTTGTATAGCCATGTGATTTTTTCTTTTTTTAGCCTTTTAATATGGTGGATTGCATTGATTTTTGAAAGTTGAACCAGCTTTGCATTCCTGGAATAAAGCCTACTTGGTCAAAGTGTATAAATCTTTTCACATATTGCTAAATTCTTGGTTTTTAGATTTTTTAAACACAGCTTTATTGAGGTATAATTGATACAAAAAACTACATATTTTTGTGATATTTTTGCTTTTATTATTATTTTAAATTGACATGTAATAATTGTACATATTCATGGAGTACAATGTGATACTTTGATACAAGTATATAATGTGCAATGATCAAATCAGGGTAATTAGCAAATACATCACCTCACACATTTATCATTTCTTTGTGTTGGGAACATTCAAAATCCACTCTTCTAGCTATTTGAAAATATACAATTAATTCTCACCCTAAAGTGCTACAGAGCACTAGAATTTATGCCTTCTACTTAGCTGTACTTTTGTATCTGTTAACCAGCCTTTGGTCATCCCCTCTCCCTATTCCCCTTCCCTTCCTCTCCACTTCTATGATACCAACTTTTATAGATTCCACATGTGCCAAGAACATGCAGATTTATCACTCTGTGCCTGGCTTATTTAACTTAACCTAATGTCCTCCAAGCTCATCCATGTAAACTGCACCTATTTAACGTATTCAATCTAATGAGTTTGGACATACTGCGAAACCATCACTACAAATCAAGGTGATACACATAGGCATCACCTCTAAAAGTTTCCTTGCATCTCTTCGCTTTTTAAGGATTTTTTTTTTTTTTGAGACAGAGTCTCACTGTGTTGCCCAGGCTGGAGTGTAGTGGTGCGATCTCCACTCTCTGCAAGCTCTGCCTCCCAGGTTCATGCCATTCTCCTGCCTCAGCCTCCCGAGTAGCTGGGACTACAGGCGCCTGCCACCACGCCCAGCTAATTTTTTGTATTTTTAGTAGAGACGGAGTTTCACCGTGTTAGCCACGATGGTCTTGATCTCCTGACCTTGTGATCTGCCCGCCTCGGCCTCCCAAAGTGCTGGGATTACAGGTGTGAGCCACCGCGCCCAGCTGCTTTTTGGTCTTTTTTGATGGGGCGTTCGTTGTTGTAAGAACACTTAACATGAGATCTACCCTCTGAACAAACTTCTAAGTGCACAGTCCAGCATTGTTAACTATAGGCATTATGTTGTATGGCAGATCTCTGGAATTTATTCATCTTGTATAACTGAAACTGTATAGCCATTGAACAACAACTCTTCATTTCCTCCTTTCTCCCAGCTACTTGGAAACCACTATTTATTTTCTGCTTCTGTGAGTTACTATTTTAGATACCTTATGTAAGTGGAATTATGCAATATTTTTCCTCTTCTAACAGGCTTATTTTCACTTAGCATCATCTCCTTCAGGTTCATCCATGTTGTCACAAATAGCAGGATTTCCTTCTTTTATAAGGGTGATAATATTTCCTTGTATTTATATACAATACATTTTTCTCCTTACATGTCAGTGGACATTTGGGTTGTTTTGATACCTTGGCTATTGTGATAATGCTGCAATGAACATGGGAGTGCAGGTATCTCTTTGAGATACTGATTTTTTAGATATATATCAGAAGTGGGATTACTGGATCATATGGTTTTCAATTTTAAATTTTTTGAGGAAAAAATTTAAAATTTGAGGAAATGTCATATTATTTACCGCAGCAGCTGTACCATTTTACATTCCAACCAACAGTGTACAAAGGTTCCAATTTCTCCACAGCAATGCCAATACTTGTTACCTTTTGACTTTTTTTTTCTTTTTTCTTTTTTTTTGAGACTGAGTCTTGCTTTGTCACCCAGGCTAGAGTGCAGTGGTGCAATCTCTGCTCACTGCAACCTCTGCCTCCTGGGTTCAAGTGATTCTTCTGCCTCAGCCTCCCAAGTAGCTGGGATTACAGGCTGCCACCGCGCCTGGCTAATTTTTTTTTTGTATTTTTAGTAGAGATGGGGTTTCACCATCTTGGCCAAGTTGGTCTCGAACTCCTGACTTCGTGATCCACCCGCCTTGGCCTTCCAAAGTGCTGGGATTACAGGAGTAAGCCACCATGCCTGGCCCACCTTTTGACTTTTTGAGAACAGCACCACCCTAACAGGTTTGAGATGATATCTCAATATAGTTCTGATTTGCATTTCTCCCATGATTAGTGTGTTGAACACTTTTTTATATACCATTTGGCCATTTGTATGCCTTCTTTGGAGAAATGTTTATTCAGGTTCTTTGTCCATTTTTAGTTGGGTTATTTTTTTTTTTTGTCACTGAGTTGTATTAATTTCTTGTATAGTTCAGATATTAACCCTTATCAAATATATGGTTTGTAAATATTTTCTCTTTCCAAGGTTACCTTTTCATGCCACTGATTGTTTTCTTCGCTGTGTAGAAGCTTTTTCGTTTAATGTAGTCCTACTTGTCTGTTCTTGCTTTTGTGACCTTTGCTTTTGGTGTCACATCCAAGAAATCATTGCCAAAACCAGTATCAGGAAGATTTTTCCCTACGTTTTCTTCTAGGAGTTTTATAGTTTCAGGTCTTACACTTCAGCCTTTAATTCATTTTGAGTTAACATTTTGTGTATGGTGTAAGATAATGGGTTCAATTTCATTATTTTACATGTGGCTATCCACTTTTCCCAGCCCCATTTATTGAAGAGACTCTCCTTTTCCCATTGTATAGACTTGGTACTTTCGCTAAAGATCAGTTGACAGCGAGTCACCAAATCCAGCCCATGCAAGTGCGAGTGCTGCTCCACTTCCCATCCACCCTGTCTTAGAATGTAGCTCTTTCGGCTGGGGGCGGTGGCTCACGCCTGTTATCCCAGCACTTTGGGAGGCCGAGGTGGGCTGATCACGAGGTCAGGAGATGGAGATCATCCTGGCTAACACGGTGAAACCCCGTCTCTACTATAAATACAAAAAATTAGCCGGGCTTGGTGGCGGGCGCCTGTAGTCCCAGCTACTCAGGAGGCTGAGACAGGAGAATGGCGTGAACCCGGGAGGCAGAGCTTGCGGTGAGTGGAGATCACACCACTGCACTCCAGCCTGGGCGACACAACGAGACTCCGTCTCAAAAAAAAAAAAAAAAAAAAAAAAAAGAATGTAACTCCTTTACGGTTCCAACTCAAAGCAGAAGGTGGTTTAGCAACATCCATACCTTTGGTGAGCCATGAACTCCAACTTTTGACCTCTAACCAGGATTGCCAAATAATCCCAGTGACACTGAATACAAGGCTCATTTCTTCTGATTTCTGCCTTTTCTTGGGGCTTAAAACTAGTAACTTCTTATTAACGTATTAGCTCTTTGATGCTTTTAAGAAGATTTTAAACATATTTTATCCAATCTTTTTAGTTATCTTTAGCTTGCCCTTCAGGAGTATGGGTCTGAATTATTTAATCTACCTTTTTCAGAAACAAAATCAGTTGCTTGTCTGTTATTGTTATTGTTTAATCTGGGGGGACTTATTTTGAGTGAAAACTGCCTTTTTACTAAAGATTTACAGAGCTACATCAAGGAAAAACGTAATTACCCACCCCTTTGTCAGGTGCATTCTAGCTCAGTAAGTTCTAATATAAACTTTTTTTGTTTTAACTTTTAATATAAACTCAAAGGACCATTCAGACAGAGGCCACATCACATAACAGGAATGGCCTAAAACTCAAATGTCAACCTAGTCTCCCTGGCCAATTGAAACAGCTCTTCCTCTCTTACCTAATGAGGCCAGTCCTTTCTTCCAATGTATTTTATGTTGGCAGTATAATTGGTGGGGGTGGGATTCTTTTTACTTGAAGACAGGTTCATCTGGTGGAAGCTTCCTGAAATACTGCAATGGACTGAATGTTTATGTTTATGTACCCCCTACCTAAATTCTATGTTGAAATTCTAACCCCCAAGGTGATGGTATTTGGAGGTGGGGCCTTTGGCAGGTGATTAGGTGAATGGGATTAGCACCCTTAAAATAGAGACCCCCGAGGAGCTCATTAGTCCCATCCAGCACGTGAGGACACAGCAAGAAGGAATCATCCATGAATCAGGAAGTGGGCCTCCACCAGAAACGGAGCCTGCTGCTACCTTGATTTAGGACTTCCCAGCTTATGGAACGGTGAGAAATAAATTTCTATGTTTTTATTGATTGGTATTATTATGGCAGCCTGAACAGACTAAGACAGATATAAAAAAAAGGAGTATTCGTTTAATTTCTTCCATTTGGCCAAGTCTGCCATCTGGCATTCAAGTTTTTCTTTTTAAAGATGTCAAGTACTGTTTAGTCAATGATTAAGATGACAGCTTTCTCTAGTCAGGAGCCAGATTATTAAGCCTGGCTCAGTGGTGTTCTCCTATATAGGTCTACAGTCTCTTATTTACAACTTGAATTTCAAAAATTTCTGACAGTCAAAGTTTAAAAAAGATCTGTTGAGTGCAACATTTGAGCTGAGTTGATCTGATTTTGTGGCCAATTTGAAACTAAAGTGAGGCTATCTAAGCCTTTATTCACCTCACTTGGTGTCAATATTTATTCATTTTGCTGCAAAAACATTGATGCGTTTGCTGCTCCAGACACTATTGGGGTGTGTTGTGCTAATAAACAGGAACACACCAATTTACCTTTCTAAAATTAGGGGTAAATTGATTTTCAAAAAATCGTTCTCCATGAGGCAAGAGGAAAACTGTTATTCCTGGGATAGGAGGAACAAGGAGGAAGATAAGACGACAGTGGATACAGGGATATGGGGAGAAGACTTTGAGCATCATCATGTCACCCCTTCCTGTGACCTTCTCCCAAGCCTTCAGCAAAGTTTCTCTACTAACAGCATGCATTCTGGTGAGTGAATTTGTGGATGTGTGGGACCAGGTGGAGGGAGTTGTCTTTGTGCCTGTTTTGAAGTGGGTCAGAAGAGAGGTAGCACGTGTGGATACAGGAGCACAGAGACAGAAATTTGAGTGCTGAGTTCTGAGAACTCCCATAAATTATGGGGGATGAGGGGAGCGTCACTGTCTCACAAGGCCTTGGAATTAGGATTCTGTTAAGGTATCATCAATTATATAAGGAACAGAGCATGCTACCTCTGTGAGGGTCTTAATTTTATCTTGTATTTATTTAGCTTTACATGTTTTTCATAATTTCCTCCCTTTCCTGGTCTCCCTAATACAAGTGAAGCATCTATCCTCTCTTGAGACAAGATTTTGTGTTTTATAGTCATTTCTTGGGAACCAGGAATTATTTAATTTGCATTTCAAATAATCATACTGCAAAAACAGATAATATGGTCAATAGGCAAATGATTAAAATGATTAACAGCTTGAACCTTATAATCAGACAAACTGGGTTTGGATCCTTTCTCAGGGAAGTTAATCTTTCTAAGCCTTAGTACCTCAGTTGCAAAAAGGGAAATAAATACTCCCTATGTATTAAGGTTGTACATGTGGGGGATGCTAGGCACCATGCCCTAAGCATAGTGAGAATGCAATACATGATAGCTTTAAAAAATATTGAGAGTTGTCCTGGTCCCTGCCGCCTCGGTATGTGCTTCATATTCACATTACCAGCCAAGAATCCCTTTTTACTTTCACTCTGTAGGTGGCCTTTCTGAGCAGGTCTCTGTCCACATCCTCTCTTATGGCTCCTGTCACCTGCCCTCATCTCCAGAACCGCTGATGCATGAGACTAACAATCATGTAAACAATCTTTTTTTTTTTTTTTTTTTTTTTTTTGAGGCAGAGTCTCACTCTGTTGCCCAGGCTGGAGTGTAGTGGTGCGATCTCAGCTCACTGCAACCTCCACCTCCCGGGTTCAAGCGATTCTCCTGCCTCAGCCTCCTGTGCAGCTGGGACTACAAGCACGCACCACCACGCCTGGCTAATTTTTGTATTTTTAGTAGAGACAGGGTTTCGCCATGTTGCCCAGGTTGGTCTCCGCCCCTGAGCTCAAGTGATTCACCTGCCTCATCCTCCTAAAGTGCTGGAATTGCAGGTGTGAGCCACCGCATCCTGCCTAAACAATCATTTATAACCAGCACAGCTGCTCTCAAGATCCAATGTGGTCAGTCTCTTATCTTGGGAGGGTATGAATATTACTCATTAAAAAACAATGTGCTGGCTGGGCATGGTGTACTTTGTCATGACTGAGTTAAAGTAATTGGTACAGCAAACTGAGGGTCAAAAAACATGTGTGGTTCTGTGGGGACATAGTAACAGTGCCCACACTGAAAAAAGCTTTGCCCAGCACCAAAGAGCTTTAGCGCATCTACGTTTCCATATAAAACAAAGTTCACATCCAATTTCTGTTTTGGCATGGGTCACCAGAAGATATTTAAGGATGAATCTGTTCTTGAACAAAAAGTCACAAAACAGCTATGGGGTAATGTAGTAAATGAGAAAGGAGCAATTTCTTATTCAGATTTGAAACCTCTGTAAGTGATTCCTGCAATTGCTGTAAAACCTTAAGTCGAAGAAGAATGATTTAACAAAATAGAATTTGTTGGCCTTTGGTCTGTTTTTAGCTACCGGAAATAGGCAAGCTTCCATATTTAACTTTCTCAGCACAATACCATATTCGACAATTAATTCACATGGTTGCGACCTTCTGTGGGTTTATGAGACCTGGGATTATTAGCCCATTTTACACATGGGGATAGAGTATATAGCTGGCTGACTCAAGATTATGCAAAAATATCTGAATAGACCTAGAACTTGGTTGTTGGCACTGTGGTCTCACTTTGCTTTCAAGGATGTAATATTTGCCCTCTACAATGATGTAATATTTGCCTTTTACAATGATGTAATATTTGCCTTTTGCAAATATGACTTTAATGTATTTATAAACAGGTAAATGGGCACGAGGGAGAAAAATGGTATTCTAGTAATAAACAGGCTACATGAAGACACAAGGGAGTTATGAGGGGTTGTTCCAAACCCTGCAGTTTGGCAATGCTTAGTCTTGCTGGGACGGCCTCAGTCCCGAGCATTATTTATTTAGCTCAAGGTGGGCATCACAAGTCAACATTTTCTTCCTATACTGGAAGTTATCGTTAAAAATCTATCACATAAATTTACTTGTTGATTCATATTTCATGCCTTATGGAGCAAACTGCTCTATTTCCTGTGGAAATTTCATTCCGGTTGCTTTCAGTACTGTTATGATCGCTATCTAGAGAAGAACGCTAAATCCTTGTACTGAATTCAGTATTGCTCTCTGAGGCTCTCACATCAGAAATGGTTTGTTCGCTGTCATCTGGCCATTTACAGCTACTTCACTTCTTCCTCTGCTACTCCACATCCAAACTCACATTTGTAGCTTTTCATGGTATATTACCTCATAAATCTATATACCTTCTCTCTTCCCAGGTCATCCTGTCTCAATTTGTTTTAACCCTCCAATATGAAATATATTTGTCCCCTGACTGTATACTCAATACTAGAAAAATCTTTGCTTAAACCTAACGAAGAAAGCACAATTAACCTTTTCAAAAAATGTATCAGGTTTGTATCACCAAAAACTAATTGTAGGTGCTGATATATAACTTTCTCTTTTGCAAATTCATTTTAATTCCAAATTAAATACAAATTATTAAATAAAAAATAAATAAAAATTCCAAAGTAAGTACCTGGCTCAGCAGAGAAACCTCTGTGTAAACCTTGGGCTTTCCTAAAAGAAAAAGCGTTTACTCTAACAATTAGCTGTGGGCACCAGATAGAATTGGCACTCATATTCTTTCCTGTTGTTTTCCCTACCAACACTGATTTTGAGCTTTGTATGCCATCTATTTATTGTTGTTGCTCATGTAGTTTTCAAGATTTGCTGAATGCAAATTAGTGCCTTTTTTCACAAAAAGAACCTTAAGAAAAAAGCTATTTTGTACATAAAAGAGTGCTTTTTTGCATATAAAAAGTTTTAAGAAAAGAGCTTTAAGAGCTCACAAAAAATATATAGATTCTGGTTTTAGATCCAGCACAATAACTTGCATAGCTGAGCAGTTAGTATTTTCTACCGATGACAACAAAGGCGTTAATTTCAGCTACAGAGACATAAACACCTCCTTCTGAGTCTTCCCATGGACTAGTTTCTACTTTATATCAAATGCAGAGAAAGGGGGTGTCACTTAGGGGGCCTTTACTTTCCAAGAAACTTACTGCCAGTCCTCTAAGGCAAGAGTCTAAGTGTTGCTTCTGACTCACCAAAGCTACAAAAGAGGCCAGATGTGAAGGCTGTAACATCTGTCACCCCATGATCACCAGGATTGGTCTGAGTAACTTTGCTTCCTTGGGTGGGGATCGGGGGTTCTCCTCCTTCTGCACCGTCCTACGTTCCCAGAAAGAGGAAATCATTTCTTAGCCTTCATCTTCTGCTGTTTTAAATCACTGTATGGATGCCAGCACGTGGCATTCGGATGGCTTCCCCTAATGGCACTCAGTGCTTGCAAGTGGGAGGATAAATGCCCCTGTGTGATGTGTAAGGTGACTGTGACATCAGGATAGTGAATTAGGATGGGGCTCTTTGTGATACCTAACCTGTCTTTCTTTTTGATTACCTATCTCAAACGCTGTCCTCATTTTGGCCAGGACTGATGGAAGGCCAGATCCCAAAGGTAGGAGGCTGATGCTCAAATCTCCTAATGGAGCTTGACAGCAGCAGGATTAAAAGCACAAGTGCAGCACCCAGAAAGCAGTGCAGGAAGGCATATGCATCCTCGCTATGCCCATTCTCATGCTATCAGCTCTTTCTTTTAGAGAGCTGAACCATAAAGATAAATCTTTTCATAGAAACAGAAGTTTAAAAAAAATACAAATGATGAAAGGGCTTTGGAGAGTGGGAAAAGAGGACAGAAGTAAACTTCGCTGTGGTATTTCTAGGGGCCAGGAGCTGGTCTTGTCTGTAGAATAAATCCCTTTGGGGAAGCAGAGATATCAGTATGCAAAGGACAAAATGACAATTGCAGTAATGCTACTCTGATAGCTAGATTCATTTGTAAAACCAGGCCAACTCTGAAAGCAGCTACTGACTTATTCTCTTAGAACAAGTAACAACTGTTACAGGCAACTAGGAGCCTTCTCAGAATGGCCCAGCTAGGTGACTTTCCTCTGACATCCTTAGCATTGTACCTCTTGGGTCTACATTTCCACATTTGGCACTGAATTATTGTTGCTTTGCTCTGTTATTGAACTGTTTCACCTGAGTATCCCTTGCTTCCCCAGTGAAACTCTAAGATCCTTGAGGGTAGAACAATGTATTAAAACTAATTTAAAAATATTTACAGAGTGTCTATATTATGTACCTAACTGGAGGGAATTCAAATAAGTGTAAGGGGCTCACAATTATAGTTGGCAAAATAAAACACATACATAGAACACCTATATGGCAATGCAAGGCAATGACTGTTGAAGTCACAAATACATAGGATATATTATCAATATACACCAAGTTTCTTTGGAAAGAGAGACTATTCTAAAGAAACAACAAGGGAAGACTTTGAGAGGCAAGAAGTCCAAGAAGAGAAGCCTCAGTATGCTCCCTTTCAGCTGGCAGGAAGAAAAACAAAAGGGTCCGTTCTGATCCTGTGTCCTTGAAGAGGAGAGAAATGTTGTCTTTCCAGACCAATAGCTAATCAACCAGCTACAAACAGATGCACGTACTGAGAAGCTGGGGTTAACTGACGCTTTAACAGGGCTTATATGCTGCACATATGCCCAGGTCTTGACACAAACATGTATCGATGTCTCGGGGAGTGAGCTGGCACTCTGAGGAAAGGCACTACAGTGACTTCAGGACAAAAACCATTTAGTCATCTTTGCCTTCCGCTAGTTTACCTTGATTGTAGATTAAACCAATAGCTTTATTATTTTGCCACTGTGGCTAATCTTTGGTGGTTTAAGTGCTCCTAAATAGTGAAAACTGGGGAAATGTGTCTATTTGGCAGACACTGAGCAAATGAAAGACCAAAAACAAACAAATCACAAACCCACAAACATCAACCCTCCCAAATTATCACAGGGAGATATGGAGATGCCAGAAAACCCATCTGGAGACCACGAATTCACTGGGTGCTCTTACATCTGTGCTATAATCAAAATGAAGCTGCAACAGGAGCTGCAGAGAGAAAAAGGAGAAAGATCACTTACTGCCTGATGTTATGTGCCTGGCAGCACCCCCAAAGCACTCTTTCAGGCTGAAATGAGCTGTCATCTCACCGCATCCTGCCAGCACCAAATGCACTCTGACAGGCCACTTAAAACACAAAACCCTTCCATTTACAATTCCTGAAAAAGTAACTTTTATCTGTAGTGGCCAAAGATACAGTCATTCACAACTGTGGATGACCCTCTGAGTCACCATGTACGTTCCCAGGACTCAAATAAGATAATCACAGTTTGAAAACATTTTTAGGAAAAAATGAACTTTGAATGGACATACAAGGGACTAAGGATAGGAAACATAATATTAAGAATAGGGATGTGCTTACTATGTGACAGGCACTGGGCTCAGCATGTCAGAGGGGCTATTTCATTTAACCTGTGCAACAATATTCCAGCTACTGTCTCCTTTTTCTGCCCACTCACAGCAAAATCTCTGGAGTTGTCTAACATCATCTCATTTCCCATTGATTATTCCACCCATTATAATCAAGCTCCTATCTTTACCCTCCATTCTTAAAGTCACCAACTTTCTTATGTTGGCAAATCTATTAATAGTAGACACATCCCTACATCTTACTCCATCCTTAATATTTTGTCAGTGTTTGACACCACTCACTGTGTTTTTCTTGGGAGCTTCTCTTCTCTATGCTTCCAAAACACCACACAGTTAGTTCAAGATTATGTCAGTGTTCTCATGGTGCTTCTAGAATAATATCCTAACTCCCCATTGTGACCTAGAAGCCTGATGTGATGTAGCTTCTGTCTGCTACCACCACCTTCTCGTCCCCGGCCACCATCTCTGTTGATCACTTCATGGTGGCCATGTAAGCCTCCTTTCTGTTCCTCAGACAATCCAATCTCAGGACCTTTGCAGCTGCTGTTCACGCTACCTGGAAAGCTCTTCTTCCATGCCACCCTTATAGAGTGGGTTCTTCTTAATCTTCAGACTTCAAGTTAATGTCACTTCCCTAGAGTGGCCTTTCTTGACCACACCATCCAAAGTGTCCCCTTACCACCCCTACCTACAGTTATGCTCTCCACCCGCATGTTTCTTTCAGAGCACTTATTAACTTTAAATATCTGTGCCACCTGTTTGTTTGTTTGTCTGTCTCCCTTACTAGGCTGTAAGCTGCACAGCCATGGGAGTTTGTCTAGATTTATTGCATGTCTCCAGTGCCTAATAGTGAGTTAGCACATAGGAGGAGTTCAATAATTACCAGTTAAATTAACGCATGTTACTTTAACCCCATATTATGCTGAGAAAGCTGAGGTTCAGAGATTGCACATTTCTAAGTTTTTGAGCTAAGATTTAATCCCAAGTTTTCAGAGTCCACACTCTTAAAACCATTACCTAGTAGTATTCCAGGGCAGTCTTGCTACTAGGACTTAGTTACAGCTTCAGAGGAAAAAAAATCACATTTCTTTATTTTATAGGGTTTTATAAGGTTTGACAGAAGTGACTTTTAAGGTTTGTCATAGTATCTGTTTGATATCTGAATCTCCTTCATTCAGTCAACAAACGTGGCCCCTGTAGGCTCCATGAAAGTGAATACTGTGTCTGTACCCTAGACTCTGGGTGTGTTCCTGGCACATGATAACCCTTTTAATAATTATTTATTGAAGAAAACATTTATTGACATTTATCAGGCATTCTGCTTAGCACAGGAAAGAAAAACCTGTTTGAGAATATTCCCCTGGCATCCAAGAGCTCATATTTGCTGTTTCTCAAAGAGTAGTCCCAGAACCACCAGCATCAGTACCACTTGGTGTGCTTGCTGAAATTCAGATTTCCTGGATTCAACCTAAGGCCTAATAAAAATCAGCTTTCTGCCTGATGCTTATGCATTCTGAGCTTTGAGATCCACTCCTCTCTAGGGAGGCAGTCATTTAAACAGCCTTCTCCAATAAAGCATGATCAGTTTTCAAAAAGGGTAGCATGGAATCTGGTGGAACCAAAAAGAACACAAAATCCAGACAGATGAGGTAGAGTTGGTAGCAGTTTCCTGGAGATGATGCCCTAAGCTGAATTAGCCAGAGGAAGGGGAAGAGGAAAGCCACTTTAGGCAAAGGGAGCAGCTTATTCAAAAGCAAGGGGGGTTGTTCTCAGAGGATAGGTTGTGAGGGTGAGTGGAAAGAGAAGTAGAACAAATGGGACTTGGAGCTGGATTGTGAAGGGCCTTCCCTGTATATTTTGCAGAGGAACTTGGACTTACTCTTGAAAGCAATGGAATCATTAATTTGTAGTGGCACCAGTTTGCATAGAGTATGATTTTTCCCCAATAGTATGTGGTATCTTGCCTGTATGAATGGTGAAGGCAGATTCACATCAATCCAGGATTATGTTTTGACCCATGGGTAGAGAAAAAGACAAAAAGAATAAGGAATTCAGAGCTGACCAGAGTGGTTAGAATGGCTGGAGAGAAAATGAAGGGAAATGCAGGAAAAGCTGCTGAGAGAAGTCAGAAAGGTGAAAGGACCCACATATGGATGGGTGAAGACGTGTGGTGGTGATAAGGGAGCTAAAGAGCCAGAAGAATGGGAAGTTGTTGTTAGAAAGCAGGATGCTTGAGTTTCATATTTCAGAAATTGAATAGCTCCTGATGACAATGAAAACCAGAATGTAGCCGGGGGCACAAGGGGATGGAGTGAAGACGAAAATCACTGGAATCAAGGTGAAGACACTGCAAAGCTAAGTCGCTGGATGGGTCTTCAACATGAACAGTTTAGTCATCCAAGACAACAGTGTAAATTGGGTCAGAAAGAAAGACTACAAGTCAGGAGCAAAGTCTTTGCCAACTAATTTTTTACAAATTTCCCATTCCCGATGTTCCATTGCTCATGAATTTTTCTATTCTCATTTAACAAATATTTGAATGCATATTCTTTTTCTTTAACCACTTCTCCCTTGGCATGGTCAGGAACTTAGTCAGCGATTAAGATGGCATTATATAAATGGCACTGGGAATCTGGATACATAAAAAATATTAAGTTGGGGCTGGGTGCAGTGGCTCATGCCTGTGATCCCCGTACTTTGGGAGGCTGAGGTAGGTGGATCACCTGAGGTCAGGAGTTCAAGAGCAGCCTGGCCAACATGGTGAAACCCCGTCTGTACTAAAAATACAAAATTAGCCAGGTATGGCGATGCATACCTGTAATTCCAGCTACCCGGGAGGCTGAAGCAGGAGAATTGCTTGAACCTGGGAGATGGAGGCTGCAGTGAGCTGAGATAGGGCCATTGCTCTCCAGCCTGGGCAACAAAAGCGAAACTGCATCTCAAAAAAAAAAAAAAAGAAGGTTGGATTCCTAACTTATTTCTTAGTAAGAATAAATCTCACATAGATCAAAGATTTAGACTTAAAAATAAATATCTTTTTCTTATAATTTTGGAGTTCAGTAGGACTTTTAAGCATAACTCCAAACTCAGAAGCCATATAGGAAGAGGTCAATAGACTATGTGGACTCACATAATCGACTCCGAAAATATACAAACCACACAATAGACAACAAGACTACATATGCTGCATAAGTTTATAAAATCTGATACATGTAAAAGTACAAACACATGCAACAAATTTGGAAAATATTTACAATATATATAACAAAACTCTAAATTATTAATGTATAGAGCTTATACATATTAAAGAAAAAGACCAATAACAATAGAAAAATAGGCAGATGTACAGAAAGTACACAGAAAAGGAAACATGAATGAATTTTAAACATAAAATAATGCCAAACCTCATTTGTAACAAGATAAATGCAAATTAAGGCCCTGAGACACAATTTTTCACCTGTCAGACTGAGAAATATTAAAGTCTGCTTAACACTGAGTGGATGAGGCAGAAACAGGGACTCTAATATATGTTTGGGGTTATAAATTGGTATAAATTAGGAACAATTTGGTAATAGCTTTCAAAATTAAAAATGTTTATACTATTTGAGCTAACAAGTCCATTTCTAGTAATTTATTCTGCAGACACACTAGCACCTCTGTACAAAGATGTTCATTAAAGCATTGTTTGCAATAGAAAAACACTGGAAACAGACAATGTTTACTAGTAGAGGATTAGAAGTAAATTATGGTGTAGCAATAAAAGACAACACTATACAGCAGTCAAAATGAGAAAGTCTGTAAATGTGTACTTAGATATACTGTTAAGTTTTTTTTAAAACAAGATGCAAAACACTACATAGAGCATGTTGTTATTTGCTATATATATAAATACATAAATAGGGCCAGGTGCAGTGGCTCACGCCTGTAATCCCAGCACTTTGGGAAGCCAAGGTGGGCAGATCATGAGGTCAGGAGATCAAGACCATGCTGGCCAACATGGTGAAACCCCATCTCTACTAAAATACAAAAAAGTTAGCCAGGGGTGGTGGCGGGTGCCTGTAATCTCAGCTACTCGGGAGGCTGAGGCAGGGAAATCACTTGAACCCAGGAGGCGAAGGTTGCCGTGAGCTGAGATCATGCCACTGTGCTCCAGCCTGGTGGCAGAGTAAGACTCTGTCTCAAAAAAAAATCTCTCTCTATATATATATCTATATAGATAGCTATATAGATATATATATGCCAGATGTGGTGGCTCACGCCTGTAATCTCAGCACTTTGGGAGGCTGAGGCGGATGAATCGCCTGAGGTCAGGTATTCGAGACCAGCCTGGCCAACATGGTGAAACCCTGTCTCTACTAAAAATACAAAAATTAGCGAGCATTGTGGCACATGCCTGTAATCTCAGCTACTCAGGAGGCTGAGGCAGGAGAATCACTTGTACCCAGGAGGTGGAGGTTGCAGCGAGATGAGATAGCGCCACTGCACTCCAGCCTGGGCGACAGAGCAAGACTCTGTCTCAAAAAAAAAAAAAATTAAAAAAAGATGTATATATACCTATTCATATCTATATGTGTGTGTGTGTGTGTGTGTGTGTGTGTGTGTGTAGATCCTCTGAAAGGATGTTAAAATGGAAGGAGTATCCCTGCTTCTACCTAAGGCCAAGCCCTCCTCTTGTGCCCTGTTCCTATCCCCTCTTACCTTCTCAAGGACTTTATTTTTGAAATGATCTTCTTTCTTTCCTGAATTAATTTCTTTTTCTTTTAGATTATTTCATGTGCATATAAACATGCCTTAATATAATACATTTTAAGAAAAACTCCCCTTGATGCACATTTCCCATTACCTGGGCTCTGCTGCTTCTCTCACATATTTTTAAATCAATATTCCTCCAGCGGATTAGTTGTAATTTTTATATCCCCTCCTCAGCCCATTTCAATTGAGCTTTTGATTGTACCAGTTCACTGAAACAATTGGCAAGGTCACCAATCACCATTACTTGGCGGGCCAATAGTCAACACTTTGTTGCTATCTCACTTGACCTTTCTACAGCATTTGACGTGGCTGACAACTCCCTCATTCTTGAAATCCTCATCTTTTCTAAGTTTTATGAAACCATACTCATCTGGTTTTTCTCCTACCTCAAAGCTGCTCCTTCTCAGGCTATTTTATTTTTGTCATACCCAAAGCTATTTTGTTTCTCTTCATGCTAGAATGTAAGCTCATTGAGGACAGGGACTCTATTTTGTTCATGGCTTTATCCTCAGGACCTAGAACAGTGCCTGGCAACATTCCCCCTGGGATAAGAAATTTGATGACTAGGCCGGGCGCAGTGGCTCACATCTACAATCCCAGCACTTTAGGAGGCCAAGACGGGCAGATCACCTGAGGTTGGGAGTTCAAGACCAGCCTGACCAACATGGAGAAACCCTGTCTCTACTAAAAATACAAAATTAGCCAGTAGTGGTGGTGCATGCCTGTAATCCCAGCTACTTGGGAGGCTGAGGGAGGAGAATCGCTTGAACCTGTGAGGTGGACGTTGTGGTGAGCTAAGATCACGCCATTGCACTCCAGCCTGGGCAACAAGAGTGAAACTCTGTGTCAAAAAAAAAAATTCGATGATTAAAGAAAATGGATGGATAGAGACTTTTTTCTATAGGACCCCTTTGAATCTTTTATGTTTTGTACAACTTGTACATATTAGCTATAAAAATAATAATTACACAAAATTCCTCAAACATTGAATTTTACAATATGGGAAGTTGAAGAATCTTGAGAGTCATTCAGTCCTCTTCTCTACCGTTTACAGGGCCATGCCAAAAAAGTCTCACTCTGTAACCCAGGCTGGAGTGCAGTGGCAGGGTTTTGGCTCACTGCAACCTCCACCTCCCAGTTCAAGCGATTATCCTGCCTCAGCCTTCCAAGTAGCTGGGACTACGGGTGTGTGCCACCAGGCCCAGCTAAATTTTTTTGTATTTTTAGTAGAGACAGCGTTTCACCACATTGCCCAGACCGGTCTTGGACTCCTGGCTTCAACTGATCTGTTCACCTCGGCCTCCCAAACTGCCAGGATTATAGGCATGAGCCACCGCACCCAGCCAGGAAGTGATTTTTATAGGTCCCCTTTGGCTTTGGTTTTCTTCCCATCTCACCCAAACCCAGATGTATTATCAGTTGTTTCATTAGACATTGTCAGTAGCTATTCATGATTCTAAGAAAATGTTTTACTTGTGAAAAATGGGATCTTTCATCAACCCTATAGTCATGCAGCGAGATTCCTTGATGTTGATTGTCCTTGGAAACTGGGAGACAGTTCAGGTTTTATAAAACCTGGCCTGGGTTCTTGGCCACAGATGCAAACTTATCTATAATTAAGCAGCCGATAACTTCGCAGGGAAGAAAGGTGATTTGTGAGCTCAATGTGATTCGTGAGCCCAAGACAGATTTAGGATGGTATATGCCTGTTTCTCTGCTAAAATATCAGACATGGCCTCTTGTAGGTCTGAACCAAATGGTGGGAGTCATTACTGAGGTAAGAAGATCATAAATCATGGAAACAGATTGAGGCACTCCTCAGGGTTCTTGTCACAAGTCATTCTTCTTTTTCTGGGACCTACTGTTCTTGGGACAACTCTGGAGAGTTCGTGTCCTAATACTTGCCAAGACTGAGGTTGTGAGCAAGAGAGTTACATAATGCTATTGAGTGATTAAGGAGATATCTGATTTTCACTAGAATTCACATTTCCTTTCAGATTACCCAATATTAATCCTTATTTAAATTCTTTTTATTTTTTACATATTCCATGGCTACTGTTAGGGAAAACTAGTAATTTCTAAAGGCTTAGGGGTTCAGACATAAATTGATATAGTGACGGGAAAGTAAATAACGTTTATTGACTACCTCCTACATGCCTGACACATTTGAGATTTTGGCATGAGTTTGGGAAAAGAAGCATCAGTGACCAATATACTTTGTAAATATTCTCCATGAAATATGAGAGGTAGACAGCAATTATTCTTAGAATATGGCAGATCAATCTTGGTATAGAATCAAATGACTTACAATGAAAGGCATCTGGATTTCCTAATTCTGGTATCTAATGTTATATTCTAACAACTAGAAAGTCCTAAACATCTAAAGCAGAGATATATACCATTTTCATCACCACAGAAAGAAACTCCATACAAATTAGTAGCCTCTCCCTGTTCGCCTCTCCCACCAGCTGCTGAAAATCACTAATTGACTTTGTGTCTGTATGCATTTACCCATTCTGTATATTTCATATGAATGCAATCATCCAATATGTAGCCTTTTGTGTCTGGCTTCTTTCACTTACCATAGTTGCAAGGTTCATCCATGTTGTAGCATGAATCAGTACTTTATTCCTTTTTATGGATAAATAATATTCCATTGTATGGATATACCCCATTTTGTTTATCCATCGATCAGTTGTCATGAGTCAGTAATTTGGGTTGTTTCCACTTTTTGGCTATTACAAATAATGCTTTTATGAGCAATCATTTACAAGTTTTTGTAAGAAGTTAACTTTTCATTTCTCTTGGTATATAGCTAGGAGTGAAATTTCTGGGTCATATGGTAATTCCATATTTAGTTAGACTGTTTTCCAAAGTGACTATATCATTTTACATTCTCACCAGCAGTGTATGAGGGTTCCAGTTTCTCCACATCCTCACCAACACTTATTAGCTGTCTATTACAGCCAGGCTAGTGAGTGTGGGGTAAAGTATTAGGTTGTGGTTTTGCTTTGTATTTGCCTGATGACTAATAATGTTCAGCACCTTTTCATGTGTTTGTGGGACATTTGTTTATCTCTTTTGGAGAAATGTCTATTCATATTATTTGTCCATTTTAATGGAGCTATTTGTCTTTTTATTGAGTTATAAGAGTTCTTTATATATTTTATATGCAAGTTCCTTATCATATATATGACTTGCAAAAATTCTCTCCCATTCTGTGGGCTGTCTTTTCACTTTCTTGAAGGTATCTTTTTGAAGCATGAAAGTTACTAATTTAGGTGAAGTCCAATTTATGTATTTTTTCTTTTGAAGTCCTAATTTTTCTTTTGTTGCCTGCATTTTTGGTGTCATAACCAAGAAATAATTGTCAAATCCAAAATCACAAAGATTTATGCTCACTTTTTTCCCTAAGAGTTGTACAGTTTCAGCTCTTAAGTTATTGATCAATTTTTAGTTAATTTTACATATAGTGTGTGATAGGGTCCAACTTCCTTCTTTTGCATGTGTCTATCCATTTGTTTCAGAACCATTTGTTGAAAAAATGACCCTTTTCCCATGAATAATCTTGATACCCTTGTCAAAAATTAATTGTAAATGTATGGGTTTACTTCTAGACCATTAATTCTATTCCATTGTTTTATATGTCTATCTCTATACAAGTACCACACAGTCTTGATTACAGTAGATTTATAGAGAGTTTTGAAATCTGAAAGTATGAGTCCTCTAACTTTGTTCCTTTTTTGTTCTTTCCAAGATTGTTTTGGCTATTTAGTGTCCCTTGTATTTACATATGAAATTTAGGATCAGCTTGTCAATTTCCACAAAAAGCCAGCTGGGATTTTGATAAGGATTGCATTGAATGTGTAGATCAATTTGAAAAGTATTGGCATCTTAACATGCTACAAAGCTTGCTCTTCTTACCAGGTTTCAGCTATTTTTCTTGACTAAACATTCTTTGGATTGCTGCAAGTCTTTGGCTAAGTTTCAGAGTTCTGAAAAAGTTGATTCTGTCAATTTTGCTGCTGTTTTTATTGCCTTTATGGAGGAAAGGATTTTTGAAGATCTTTACTCTGCCAATTTCCCAGATGGCTTTAGGTCCTGGGCTGATCAGTTGTTTCCTTCTCAATCTTAAATAACCAGTTGTGACTGATGCTTCCTCAAGAGATCAACTGATTTGTCTTTCCACTGCATGCCTAAGAAAATACCAACTTTAGCAAAGGAAAATGATGTATCTGTTAAGAAAAGGAGCTTCAATTCATTGTAAGTGATTAATTGGAATTGTGAAAATGGAAATCTTCTGTTTCCAAAAGGTCGAAAGGAGATAAATGTAGTTCAATATTTATCCCACATGAACAGCTTTCCTAGGAATGTGGGGAAATTTTCATGAACTCTGCACACTTAAATGTATGTACAGAATAAGATATAGCTGAAACATTGGGTACATATGGACGTAAAGATGGGAAAAATAGACACTGGAGACTCCAAAAGGGGAGGGAAGAGGGAAAGCTTGAAAAACTACCTGTTGGTTCACTATCTGGGAGACAGGTTCAGTTGAAGTCCAGACTTTAGCATCACGTAACATATTCATGTAACAAACCTGTACATGTACCCCCCAATCTAAAATAGAAAAGGAAAGTAAGATATTG
The DNA here is from genome assembly GCF_000001405.40 of Homo sapiens. Classification (NCBI taxonomy): domain Eukaryota; kingdom Metazoa; phylum Chordata; class Mammalia; order Primates; family Hominidae; genus Homo; species Homo sapiens. Next base: position 179,718,726 of record NC_000001.11, on the reverse strand, counting down.
CTGGAGAGGCCAAATGCCAATGGATACTGTTCTCTGAATAGACCCAAGATACACATATAAAATTGCTGTTTAGAATTTTAGTATTATTTATTTGTTTTCATACAAATATATTGTGGAGACAGGACATGGAAAAGAGTTGCATTTTCTGAGTGAGATCTTTGGACTCTTTCTTTTTCAAGGGGAGATACTCTGATTCTCTCTATCCCCTATGTCTTGCTTTAGGCCTTCATTACTTCTGCATGGATTATGGACTATTGCAATAACCTCTTAACTAGTCTTCCTGTTTCCAATCTTGCCTCCTTCAAGTCTATACTTCATATTTGCTGTCAAAATACATCTTTATAAAGTGCATTTGAAATCCTTCAATGGCTCCCTATTAAACTCAAAAATCTCAACTCCTTTGTATGGCCTGCAAGGCCCATTTTCACTTGGCTTCTGCATGCTTGGGTAGCCTTATTTCTCTATCATCTTATTTGCACCCAGTGATCCAATCATATTTACCTATTTGGAACATTGTGTTCCTGGTCCCCACATCTCTATGCCTCTGCACATGTGGGTCCTCTTTTCTTGGTACACATCCACTATCCATCTTGTTTAATCTATGCACTCGTCTGTCAATTTATGTGCAATGAATGAAGTGAAGAAGAAATGAACTCCTTTTAAATATCTATACACTAATTAAAAATTACTCAGTTTAAACACACATCAAAAATTTTGGATATTGTGGTGGTCAAATTCAGCAGAAAGTGCCGTAAGCACAGTGTTGCACTACTTCCATCAGGATGGAAGATGATTCCCTGTCAGGTATAGCTAAAGCAATCTAGATAAAGAAGAGCAAAGCTGCAAGCATCACACTTTCTAAATTGTCACATGATGCTACATGGTTCTGGTGTTCTCAAATTAATCTTTGCAAATGTATATGCTTTCTGAGAGAATTTTTAAATCACAAAGAAAAACATAAACTAACACCACCATAAAGCCTCCAGATGATGCAGAGAAAAACTATCCCAGTTAGTGTACATGGGTGGCAGAACAATAGTTGAGATCACTGCCTAGAAGAGAGTGCTGAGTCTAGAACATAATTGCAAATCATTCTTTTCCTTACTATGGAAAAACAGAGGGTAATGTGGTTGAAGGGGGTTGGGTAATATCAGTAAATTAGTAACTTTTATTCACCAAAAAACTTTTAGAACTAATAAATTCATTAAAGTCAAAAAATACAAAATCAACATAAAAATAATGAATTATCTGAAAAAGAAATAATGAAAACAATCCCGTTTATTATAGCATCAAAAAGAATAAGATAGGAACAAATTTAATCAGGAGGTGGAAGATCTGTATACTGAAAACTGTAAAACATTGATGAAAGGAATTGAAAACACAAATAAATGGAAAGATATCCCATGTTATGGATTGGAAGACTTAATACTGCAAAAATGTCCATACTACCCAAAGTGATCTACAGATTTAACATAATCTTCATCAAAATTCCAATGACGTTTTTCACAAAAATAGAAAATAAATTCTAAAATGTATATGGAACCACAAAAGACCCCAAATAGCTAAAGAAATCTAGATAAAGAAGAGCAAAGCTGGAAGCATCACAGTTCCTGATTTTGAATTATATTACAAAGCTACAGGAATCAAAACAGTATGGAATTGGCACAAAAACAAACACATAGATCAGTGGAACAGAATAGACAGCTCAAAAATAAAGCCATACATATACAGTCAACTAATCTTTGACAAAGGTGCCAAGGATACACAATGAGAAAAGGATAGCCTTTTCAATAAATGGTGTTGGGAAAACTGAATAGCTAAGTGCAAAAGAATAAAATTGGAGCCTTATCTTACACTATACACAAGAGTCAACACAAAATGGATTAAAGACTTAAATGTAAGACTTGAAACTGTAAAACTCCTAGAAGAAGACATAGGGAAAAATCTTGACACTGATCTTGGCAATGATTTATTGGATGTGACACCAAAAGCACAGGTCACAAAAGTAAAAATAGACAAGTATGACTACATTAAACTAAAAAGCTTCTGCACATTAAAGGAAACAATCAGTGGCATGAAAAGGCAACTTTTGGAAAGAGAGAAAATATTTGCAAGCCATATATTTGATAGGGGCAATATCCAAAATATATAGGAATTAACATAATAGCAAAAAAATAAAAAATAAAAATAAAAAATAAAAAAATGAGCAAAAGACCACAATAGACATTTTTCCTAAGAAGACATACAAATGGCCGACAATATATGAAAAGATGCTCAACATCACTAATCATCAAGCAAATGCAAAACAAAACCATTATCACCTTATACTTGTTAGGATGGCCATTATTTGTCAAAAAGACAAATATCAAATTATCAGAAAGACAAAAGACAAATGGTTAATGTTGATGAGGATGTGGAGAAAAAGGGACCCTGGTACACTGTTGTAGAAATGTAAAATGGTGCAGTCAAATGTAAAATAGAAAACAATATGGAGATCCCTCAAAAAATTAAAAATAGAACTACCATATGATCCAGCAATCCCACTTCTGGATGTATATCCAAAGGAGATGAAATCAGTATCATGTAGAAATATGTGCATGCCCATATTTGCAGCATTATTCACAAGAGCCAAGATGTGGAAACAGGTTGGTGATGTTAGCAAGATGGTAGAATAGATCTCCTGGCATCACTTCCCCCACAACAATACAAAGAGAAACCATCTAAAGAAGAATACCACTATGAATTCACCAGAACTCAGGGGAGAAGCAATGAAACCTCCTGGGCCCACAGAGTTGAGAGAAGCTGCAACTGGTAAGAGAAATGGTCATTTCAGAATGAGCTAGCCACTCCCCAAGCTGGCATAATGCCACTCACAGAGAATTTCCCTAGACTTACAGTTTCTGAAGTGAGAGGAGGGAATTGGAGGTGGACAATGGATCTCCTCACCAGTCTGGGAATTTTCACAGGAAGTTGACTGTGGTCTCACCCTGCAGGAACCACTAGGGGTAATAGGAGAGTTGAATCACTGGGGTGAATTGGAGCCAAAGAAGAAGGCATTGATGACAATGACTGATCCATGGATCTTAGAGGTTATTCTGTGCTCTGGACAGCAGGGACACCACATTCAAGAGACTGGCTTGCCCCATAGCACTGCAAGGGGCACAATTCATGAGAAGGCCCAAATTCCTGGCTGAATTTTTTACAAAGCCCAAGTGCTTATGTGGAGCCTTTCTCTGGCTTGGAAACAACTAAAAGATCAGGATTAAGTTCCAGTGCCTATTTAAGTAAGCCTTCTCCAGACTAGGAAATAATAGGGTAGCAATATAGTTCCAGGGCAATGTTTGAGTTCTGATGTTTGCTGTTAGTATTCCCCAGATGAAGAAATAATGAAAGAGCAGTGAGTTAGTTCCATTGCAGTGTTTTCATTCTGGTGCTCACTTTAAGTCCTCCCCAGAACAGGAAGCAATGTTGACCAGTGCTTAAGTTCTGATACTAAGTAGTAAAACTCTAATACCACCTAAGAATACCTGCAAAACCTGAAAAAAGTGGCTATCTCTTCAAATGCACAGGTGTTGATATAAAGCTGCAAAGACTGTGAAAATTCAGGGAAATATGACACCACCAAGAGAAATGAACAAAGCTCCAGCAATAGACCCAGAAGAATTGTGGATCTGTGAAATGTCTCACAGAGAGTCAGAATAATCCTCTTTAAAAAGTTCAGGGAATCATAAGAAATACAAGAAAAGACAGAAACTAAATGAAATTTGGAAAACAATCCAAGAACAAAATGAGAAATTTTACAGATAAATAGAAACAATTTTTAAATATCAAATGGAAATACTGGAAATAAATAATACAATAGCTAAACTGAAAAACTCATTAGAAAGCTTCAACAGCAGGCTTCATCCAACAGAGGAAAGAATTAGCAAGCATGGATACAGAACACATGAAATTATCTAATTAGAAGAGCAAAAAGAATTTTAAAAAAGAGTGAAGAAGGCCTAGGGGAATTATGGGACACTGTCAAGAGAACTAACCTTCACATAATAGAAATTCCCAAAGGAGATGAGAGAGGAAAAAGGCCTAGAAGGCATCTTTAGGGAAATAATGGCTGAAAATGTTCCAAATCTGGAGAAAGACAACAGCATCCAGGTATAGGAATCTCAGAGGTCACCAATCAAATTCAAAACAGGAATTCCTCAAGGCACATCATAATCAAATTAGTAAAAATCAAAGACAAAAAAAGAACACTCAAGACATTTAGAAAAAGGAAACATATCACATTCCATAGAGTCCCAATACAGCGTTCAGCAGATTTCTCCACAGAAACTCTGCAAGCCAGGAGACATGGGATACTATATTCAAAGTGCTGAAGGGAAAATACTGCCAACCAAGAATACTGTACCCAGTAAAGCTATCCTTCAAATAGGATGCAGAGAGACTTTTCCAGACAAACAAAAACTGAGGGAATTAATCTACATAGGACCTGCCTTACAAGAAATGCTAAAGGGAGTTGCTCAACCTGAAAGAAATAGATGCAAATGTGAAATGAGAAAACACCTAATGTAAATGACGAGTTAATGGGTGCAGCACACTAACATGGCACATGTATACATATGTAACAAACCTGCACATTGTGCACACGTACCCTAGAACTTAAAGTATAATAATAATAAAATATACATATATATAAGAAAAGGGTGATAATAATGATGATAACACAAGCCACCATCAATAAAGTACCTTTTTTTGAGATTAAAAAAAAAACCTGAAGGTATTAAACTCCTGGTAAAAGAAAGCAAACAGATAAATTCAGAATACTTTAATATTGTAATTGTGGAAATAAACCACTTATATCTTAAGTATGAAGACTAAAAGACAAAAATATTAAGATATGGAGACAACCTAAGTGTCCATCAACAGATGAATAGGTAAAAAATTGTGGCAGATAGCTAGCTGGCTATGTGTTTGTGTATGTATGTGTGTGGTTACTAATCTTTTGCAAGATCCAAATATTTTTCCCATTCTGTAGGTTGCCTTTTCATTCTATTGGTTGTGTCCTTTGATAGAGTTTCAAATTTGGGGGTAGTCCAATTTATCTGTTTACATTTGTTGCCTGTGCATTTGGTGTCATATCCAAAAACCATTATCAAACTCAATGTCATGAAGCTTTCCCACTACATTTTTTTCCTAACAGTTTTATGATTTTAGGTGTTACCTTTAGGCCTTTGATCTATTTTGAGGTGTATTTGTATATGGTATAAGGCAAGGGACCAACTCCATATTTTTGCATGTGGATATTCAGTTTTCCCAGCACCATAAGTTGAAAAGACTGTCCTTTCCCCATTAGATGGTCTTGGCACCCTTGTTGAAGATTCAATCACCATATAATTGGACATTTATTTCTGCCATCTCTATTCTATTCATTGGTCTATATGTATTTCTTTACACTAGTCCCACACTATTTTGATTACTGTAGCTCTGTAGTGGGTTTAAAATTTGGAAATGAGACTTCCAACTTTGTCTTTCTTTTTCAAGTTATTTTTGGCTGTTCAGAGCCCCTCAAGTTTCCATGTGAATTTAAAAACCTAATCCTTATACAAAAAAATGGTGAGCTAATTTCAAAGTTTTATTTAACTCTTTAATGATGAACTCTTTAATGATGAAACCAGTAGGATGGCCAAGTAGGTTCCAAAAAGAGTTTGAGAAACTGAGATTTTTATAATGAGGGGGAAAAAAGGAATTCTGCAATAAATTTGCTAGTTACATATTGTCGTATAGGAAAAATATACCCACCCACCCCCCCTTTTTCTTAACCAATGTAAAGAACCTTTTCTACCAATATAAAGAAGATGATCCATGGGTCTTCTTTACACTGGTAGAAACAAAAATCACCTTATAAATTTTACAGACTTGTAAAATGTTTGAGTCATGATCAGTTGTGTAAATAAAGTAGGCTCATTAGAAAATGTTGTTAGCATGACATAAAAAGTCATATAATCATCTTTTATCTACAAGTTTTAGGTAATTTTCCTTTAACTTATTTTATTTTATTTTATTTTTTAAGACAGAATCTCACTCTGTCACCAAGGCTGGAATGCAGTGGCAAGATTTTGGTTCACTTCAACCTCTGCCTCACAGGTTCAAGCGATTCTCATGCCTCAGCCACTGGAATAGCTGGGATTACAGGCATGCGCTACTACGCCCAGCTAATTTTTGTATTTTTAGTAGAGATGGGGTTTTACCATGTTGGCCAGGCTGGTCTCGAACTCTTGACCTCAAGTGATCTGCCTGCCTCAGCCTCCCAATGTGTTGGGATTACAGGCATGAGCCACTGCGCCTGGCCCCTTTAACTTATTTTTTACTTTTTTCCCCACCAACTGGGAATAATATCTCCCACATTTCCTTTTTTTCTTTTGTGCTTTTGAAATACCATTTATATGCTTTGGAAATACCTTCCATACACTAAAACTAGAGACAGGTATATGACCTTTAAAATCCAGCACAGGTTTTTTTTGAGAAATCTTCCTCCAATATACCCTTCTCTCCAACCCTAGAGTGAGTGAAGTGTTCTGTGCTCCCAATGTTCCCTGTACGTGCTCCATAATGGCACTTATCACAGCCTGTCGTAGTTGCTTATTTTAAGTTTCTTCTGCCCTGTCCCACCAAACTGTGAGATCCCTGAAGACAGGAACAGTCTTTCATCTTCAGCATCGAGCCTGATGCCTGGCACACGGTAAGTCCTCAACAAGTATTTGTTAATTAAATGAAGAAGTTGAGCTTTAGCCATCCAGAATCAATTGTCTAGATGTCTGTTCACATTTGGTTCTAGTGTCTCTTCTTACAGCCTCTTCATAAGTTTAAAATGGATCCTTTAAATTTGTGAGGAGCTAGAGACTTATCTTGGAAGAACTCTAACAACCATCTTTCATTTTATATGTGATTAAATTATACATTGTTAAAGTGATGAAATTTAACATCTTTTCATAGTTTAAAAATGCTATGTCCTATTGACATATATGAGGAGTTAGAAATGAGGGACCTACTGACTGGTATTTGTCTGGAAAAGGGAGGATTAAGAAGTGCAGTTGTCTCATTTACTAGAAGGGTCAATGTAATGTTTTGTCCTTGGCAAAAATCTCAAGATTTTAGTTAATTCTCATATTACTTTGAGAAATAGAATAGAATCTAAGAAGGTTCTATTTGGTTCTGGTCATTCAGAGCCTCATTTTCTTATTTATTGCCTCTCCAAAAGGCAAGCACTCCAGGAAGTTATCTAAACTATTATAGTCACTAGTTTATTCCTTTTCAATTGGTTTTGTCACATTCCCTTGCTAGATAGCAATATTTTTTGGGTATTTGTTTTGTTTTTTGAGATGGAGTCTCACTCGCTTACAGCTGGGATAATAATGTTTACTGCACTGCACTCCAGGCTGGAGTGCAGTGGCGTGATCTCAGCTCACTGCAACCTCCGCCTCCTGAGTTCAAGTGGTTCTCCTGCCTCAGCCTCCTGAGTAGCTGGGACTACAGGCACACGCCACGACACCCAGCTAATTTTTGTGTTTTTTAGTAGAGACACAGTTTCACCATAATGGCTAGGCTGGTTTCGAACTCCCGACCTCGTGATCCGCCTGCCTTAGCCTCCCAAAGTGCTGGGAAGACTGAGGAATAATTTCAGACTCTAAAATGTGGAATGGGTCAGTGTCACCTAGCAAGGTCCTTGGGTGGGTTGTGATAGGGGAGGGCAGGGCAGGGGGACTTTGTGGCCACTCATGGGGCAGAACCAAATAATGGTCAGAGGGAAAAGAGCTGAAAATGAAAATTGGAGAATGTTGAGGATCAGTATGGCTCACTTCCCAGTTTTGCCAGGCCAGCTCTGCCTGACGAGATCTGCCAGGTCTATCTATGATTTTCCTCTAGAATGTTGGGTGTCATCCAAGGTGTCCTGAGTTCTAGCATCTGGTCATTTTTTACAAGAAGAAAGAACAAGCTCTTGCTGTGGGCATTTAGTTAATGCCAGGGCCGACTTTTTACCCCTCTATGCCTGGTCACAGTTGCACTAGGGAGCTACCCTCTTTAGTAAAGGATGAGCTCTTTTAGTCAATTTAATACCCTGGAGACAGGAGGTGACACAGCCTGTGTCAAACAGGCCCCCAGTAAATTTTCATTGAATTAGAAAATGACAGCTCTGTAATTTGGTGACTAGGGACATGCTGGAGGCCCACCTGGAATGAAAGGGGAAAGGGAGAAGAGAAAAGGGCATTGCAAACCATGCTCCCCTCAAGATACTTCTTTCTCCATTTTCTATTGTGTGTGTTTTAGCCATGTTAATACTACACCTCTGTAACCTGCCCTAGACTTTTCCAGCTAGCAATTGCATATTAAGATGGTATTAGGCTGGTGCAAAAGTAATTGAGGTTTTTGTCATTGAAAGTAATAGCAAAAACCGCAATTACTTTTGCACCAACATAATAATATCTTTAATCAGTAATTCCAGACCCTAATAGTGCAGAAATAAGGTGGGTCAAAAATTTACACAAGGCTGTTGAGTAAACATTATTATCCCAGCTGTAATGATTTTTTTTTTTCTCCTGGGACTTTCCAGGGGAAATGATTTTCAGCAGCAAATCTGCTTCTCTGCTCCACCTTCCTGTTGGCGTCAATGGAGACTGACGCCAACAAGCTTCCTGCGCTTTAATTCATCTCTGCTGAGCTACTGCATTGGGGTCATAGAGAGGTTACAGCAGATGTTCTTCTCACTGCTCCTGCTTAACATTCACTTTGGTTTTCTCTTGGGGGTTACCAAAGTAGGAAATAACCTGGGGGGAGATGATAGGATATAAGGGCTTGTGGCCCTTGCGGTGATTCTGGGCAGTCAGGCCCAATTCTTTTTCATTTTATCAATCAGGCAAGAACCTCAAGCTCATTGCCTGGTCCTCCTAGGTAGCATTATCTTGTTTATCCTTGTATTCTTGGAGGTCAGCACAGGAACTGGCACATAGAAAATACACACTTTTTTGTTGTTAAATAGAGGGCAATACTGAGGGTGTGGGGAATGTGGCAATTGCCTGGGCAGAGAGCTGTGGACAGTTCTGTGCCTTGAACCAGACTGTCCCACAACAAAAGGACCACTCCAGCTGAGGTGTGAGCACATTCTCCACCTCTGCCCGTAATCTCCTCTCCAGGCTGTGCACTCTCAGTTTGTTCAGATATTTATCGTAAGTTGAAACAGAGGGAATATATAATGCAATGGAAAGGAGCAAAAGCCTTTGAAATCATTCATTCACAATAAACAAACAATTATTGTGTACAGAGGTGCTATTGTTCTAGCCTCTTGGGATATGATAATGCACGAAATGGACAAAAATACCTGCCCGGTGGAGTTTAGATTCTGGTTGGTGGAGACCTACAGTTCACAATAAAAAGAATGAGTCATGTTAGAAGTCAGGTGCTATGGAAAAAAGTGGAGCAGGATTAGGGGCATTGGGAGCACAGCGTTGAGAAGTCATTTTAGAAATTACCTCTTTGAGAAGACGCAGATGCTGGAGGAAGAACAGCCAAGGCAAGAGCCCAAAGTGAGGAGCTATGCACTGGAAGAAAGTGAGGAGGCCAGTGTGGGGGAGTGCAGTGAATAAGGGGGAGATCATGGGAGATGAGGTCAAGGAGGTAACGGGGGGCATATGTAGAGCTGGTGGATATGCCTGGCAGATTTAGCAGATAAAAATTTGCAATCTCAGCTAAATTTGAATTTCAGATAATAATTTTAAAAATACAGATATGCCTCAAATATTGCATGAAACCATACTTAAACTAGAAAGTTATTAGCTGTTTACCTGAAATCCGTATTTAACTGGGCATCCTGCATTGTCTTTGGCAACACCGCTGTGGACCATTGTAAGGACTCTGAGTAAGACTGGGAGCCCTCAGGGGGCCTTGGGCAGAGGAGGGATGCCAGCTGCCTTGGAGCTTGAAAGGGCCCCTCTGGCTGCTTTGTGGAGAGCAGAGTGAGAGAGCACTGTGGACAGCAGGGAAGCCAGACAAGGCTGCGAAGTGGTCCAGGCTCAGTACAGTAACTCTGACCTGGTGGTGGAGGTAGGGTTGGTGAGAAGCCGGCAGATTCCAGACACATTTTGGAAGCATAGCCAACAGGATTTCCTATAGATGTAGATGGTAGTTAAAGCCAGGAGACTGGGGGAATTCCCAAGAGAATGAGGCCTGGTGCCCTGCAGCATTAAGAGGCCAGGAAAAAGAGGAGGAGGCACAAAAGATGCTAAGGCTTTGACCAATGAGTACGAGGAAACCCTAGAGAATGAGATGTGCTGGGAGGACAGAAAGTGTCAGGGAGGAGGATTGTCAAGTGTATCAAATGCTACTGATAAGTCAGATGGGATGACTGAGGGCTGACTAGTGGATTCAGCATGGAGTTGCTGGAGACCTTGACAGGAGCAGTTTTGGTGGAGTGGTGTAGGTGGAACTGGAATTGGTTTAATAGGTAATCGGAGAAGTATAAGAAGATAATATGGGCAACTCTTTGGCGAAATCTGACTTATTTAAGGTCCTACCACTTACTAGCGTGATTCTTGGTAAATAATTTTCTGATCCTCAAGTTTTTCCTCTTGTAAAAAAAAGAATAGTAACAAGGATGCTGTAAATATTAAATATGTAAAAGTTTTGGCATATAATGAGCATTTAGTAATTGGATATTAAGATTATTGTAATACAATATTAATTTCTGACATGATGTTGGCAAAATGCATTTCTGTGCCTTGATTTCCTTATCTGTAAAATGGGAGTAATAACACCACCTACCCCATGGTGCTGTTGCAAGGATTACATGATGTAATCTATATAAAAGCACACAGAATAAACAGCTTGTGGCACATATGAACTCCATAAAACTCTTATTATCCGATCAGTTCTCTTGTGAATGCTGGTCTATCTTCTTTGTAAACGTTTTGCTTCCTAGAAGCCAACAGAGGTGTAGAACTTATCAAACTACTCCCTTGTCTTATATACTATCCTTGTGTTAATGTGATTTAAACTTTAGTTGGCAGCAGCCTCTGCTGTTTTGCAATTTGTAAAGTCCTCTGTAAGTGATGGTTATTAGAGCTGACTCCTGATGTGAGTTAAAACCAGGCTCTGACCACAGAATTTGCTTGTCTTCATTTGAGAGTGAAGTCACAAGGGTTAATCAGTTTTCCATCTCACCGAGAATCTGGTGAGCAAATAGTCATATTACAGGATGCAGAATTCCTACAGGCATTCTTGTTTTTGTTTTTTGAGATGGAGTTTCACTCTTGTTGCCCATGCTGGAGTGCAATGGCGCGATCTCGGCTCACCACAACCTCTGCCTCCCAGGTTGAAGTGGTTCTCCTGCCTCAGCCTCCCGAGTACCTGGGATTACAGGCATGCACCTCCACACCTGGCTAATTTTGTATTTTTAGTAGAGATGGGGTTTCTCCAGGTTGGTCAGGCTGGTCTTGAACTCCCAACCTCAGGTGATCTGCCCACCTCGGCCTCCCAAAATGCTGGGATTACAGGCATGAGCCACTGCGCCCGGCCTCCTGCAGGCATTCTTAATCATTTTTGAGAATCTGAGCAAGCCAAGAACCTTCCCCCAGAAAGGCAGACAAACACAAAACTTAATGCCCTGGAATTAAAAAAATCATTTTAAAGACTAAAAAATGTGCCAAAATTGTAAAAATTTTCTATTTTTTCCTATAGCAGTAATTTATAAAGGAGGTGAAAACACATCTGCATGGAAAGGCCAAAATAAAGATGGCAAAGTGATTTTTTTTTCTTAAAACTTTTTCAATGCAGCAAGATAGAATCAGTACTTGTAGCTTCTGAAAGAGATTAGGGGTTGTTGGTGTTTCCCCACCACCTTCAAAGAATAGATAACTATACAGTATTAAAGTTTAAGTTCTGTAAAAAGGGAGTGCTCTGTGGCCATTTCCTGGAGGGTAAAATTAGAAAGGGAAATTTTAATCTGTGGGAAGATCACACATTAAGAACCTATTTCCAATGAATTCATGTTCTAGGTCACTTAACTTGTTTTTTTTTTTCTTCCAAGTAAAAAGAGGGGTTGGATGAAGTTAGCTCTTAGCTCCATTTTTAACTCTAAAACCTGCGATGAAACACACAAGGGAAGGATTTTTAGCAGCTGGCCTGGCAACAGAACTCCTGTCCTAGAGCGCCACCTAGCAGCAAGGAAAAAGCAAAACCCTCTAAAGAATAATTAATTTGACTTTAGAACAAAACAATTTTTTAAAAATCCAGCTTTGGTGAAGTAGTCCCCTCACCAAGTCTACTCTGAGGAGTAATTCAGGTAGAGAAATCCTGGGCTTATCATCTCCAAGTTGAAAACTCGAATGAGGTTTTCACACACTACTTTGCCCTGGCTCTCCGTTTTAGCAGCTGCTGCTGAAAGCTCAGCTATCCGGGCAGTATTACCAACTAACCCTCGGCCAATGCCCTTATGACACCAAACACTCCTTATGACACCCTGACACTCCTAAAGACTCATTTCAAAGACAACAGCAAATTCAGTTTTGTTAAGATTTCACAAAGGTTCCAATGATATCAGTTTATCTTGCCCAATCAATGTCATGGCATGAACAAACAAAAGAAGAGTTGCCACCGGCTTCACTGTTGGGAAGGTTGTTTCGACTCTCCCCACGTTGCCATCCGTTTGGCCAGTATTGTGAGAGGGGAAAAAAGCCATCACAATTCAAGTATTGTTCATGATATGGCCCACATTACATTTTTTACAATATTTGGTAGGAAAATACCACTATGGGAGATAAAAGAATATAGAACTTACATAGTGGATAATCAAATTCAGATGAGTTACAGTAACCTATTGCTACTCTATTTCACTTATTAAAAATAAAATTACTTTCTAACATAGGAGTTCTCAGCTTCTTATGCCCATGCTCGCATGTCTGAGGGATAAAACCCTTGGATATGTCACAGTGGCTGTCACTTTCATTTGGGAAGAAAGAATTGCAATTCATGGCATACAGGGCGGTCTTTGGTATGTCTGAAGAACAAAGAGAAGGTTGGGGGTTTTATAAAAAAGAGAAATGTGGCCAGGTGCAGTGGCTCACGCCTGTAATCCCAGCACTTTGGGAGGCCGAGGCGGGCGGATCAAGAGATCGAGACCATCCTGGTCAACATGGTGAAACCCCGTCTCTACTAAAAATACAAAAATTAGCTGGGCATGGTGGCGGGCGCCTGTAATCCCAGCTACTCGGGAGGCTGAGGCAGGAGAATCGCTTGAACCCGGGAGGCGGGGGTTGCAGTGAGCCGAGATTGCGCCACTGCACTCCAGCCTGGTGACAGAGCTAGACTCCGTCTCAAAAATAAATAAATAAATAAACAAATAAAAATAAATAAGAGAAACGTTACATACTGCTCTTTGAGAAAGTTCTTTGGCACTAATAAGGTTCTAGGGAGCTGCAAGTTTTGATTAGTGAGTGATGGCAGTAGATAAAATTAGTCATAAAATTGCAGCAAATCATTTTAGCAACTATTTGATGAAATGGGTTTCAGATTACAGCACGCAGCTTCAGCAGCCAGGTGTGCAGAGAATTACATTTTTGGAGCAACGTTTTGGGTCCTGAGTTCTTTTCCCTCATGGCTTCTCAACTGTTTCATGTGGGTGTGACAAGAATGGCCCAATTCATATGATCAGCTTTCACAGAAGGACTGAAGAAATGGGGCGGGGAGGAGGGGCAGTGTGAATAGATTGATGAAGTTCTCTCTTCATCCAGGCAGTGTGCTCCTCCAACTCCTTCCCTTGAGAATCACCACTTTAAAGTTTTAGTAAGAAAGGTCAGGACATATGTTTGTTTCTTGTATGTAGTTGGTGTTACCCTCCCGCATGGTAGTTCTCAGCTCTTGTTGCTCATTAGAATCAATCACGTAGGAGCCACTAAATCAGTCTTTAGGAGATATGTTCCAAGCAGAGGAAGTTTTTGAAAGCTCCTCCAGGGGATGAAAGTGCAAGGCCAAGCTTGCAAACTGCTGCTGTGCCTGCTGCATTGGCAATGCTTATTTTAATGCATTTTATTCTTCAGTGTGAATCCATGATTTAATCTTTGTTATCTAATAGAAACAAAGTTGGTGGTACTTTCCTTGCTCATTTCTTTAGTTGTAATATTATTTTTTAAAATCACATTTTCTCACACTATGCCACATTCAAAACAAAACAAAAATCTCATGATTTTAATATTCAGAGTCAATATATACTTAAAAAGGATTAATGGAAGAAAAGCCACCACAAAATACAAAGACATTTCTTGGTAAGTGGAGCAAATTCTTTGGTTTCTTTCATTTTTCTTTTGTCCCTGGAGTTCATTATTTGGCACAACACATAGCCAGTGCTCACACCAGCACACACACACTCTCTCTCTCTGACACACACACACGTCCCTTGATTTAGCTACAAACTTTTAAGACCACCAGAAGGTCCACAGAATGAAGTTGAAGTTCAAGATAAATATTAACTCTAAAGGGCAGCTTTAAATGAATTTCTTTTGACTTGTGTTTACCTGTTGCACTGGGGTTTGTGGTGTTAGAAAAATTTTCTGGAAAATAAACCATGAAGTCAGAGGTGAGCCTCAGAGAATGAGGAACAATAAATTAAAAGGAGCCAATTTGGTAAATCAGTGTTTTCTGGGGAGAGTAAGAGGCTGTTGCTGAAAAGCAGAAAATGTCAAATTGCTTTTCTGGGGGGACAGTTTCCTTCACAAACCCAGCCAGAAAAATGATCAAATATGGTTTCTGCAGAAGAGTAACCTTAACAAAATACTTCCTGCCTTTCTACTCAGAACTCTTATCTGGAGGACGTGCTTTTCATCCAATTCTAAATGCAAAGTTTAAATGGGATGTTTGCTCATGTTTGATTAGGCTCTTCCCAATAAGTCTTCTGTTTTATAGATATTCAGAACACAGCATTGCAGAAAAAAGATCAAGATTTCAATGGCCTTAATTTATATCCTATTCCCTGTCCTATCTACTCATTCTATCACTCAGTAAAATTTACCGAGCATCTACCACGTGCCAGGAAAGACATGGAAGTGGCTTAGCCTAGGGTGACAGCAGGTCTACAGAGAAAGAGGGACTAATGAGATAATGAGGAGGTAGAATTTGACAGGCCTTGAATGTGAGGCATGTCATCCAAAACCACCAGGATGGCTAAATAGTAAAAAGGAGAGCTTTATTGGTGGTATCAGTTTGCAAACAGGGAAGAGATAGTCTCCAGCATGGATGAAGGTTCTTCCTCTTCTAAGAGGCGAAGAGAGGTTGAGTTTGATAGCTCACTGGGCTGTAACACATAATAGTCATACACATTCAGCAGGACTGGCAGAAAAGCTATACATATTTATGAAGGGGAGGGGCCGAGCACATGCCCAGTGGATAGACGTATGTGTAACACACATCTCATGTTCACTCTAGAGTGGGCTTTTAACATTAAAATGTGGTAGAATTTGGCTCTTTACATTAAAAGGTGAACTACAGAACACAGAGTTTGTGTACAGCCTCTATCAGCTGGCTGAAACTGGCTTAGAGTCGGCAGGTGTGCTTATCAGAAAAGAATGTTTGTAGGGCTGGAAATCAGTTAGGAGGAGTCTGATAGCTCCTATTGTTAGAGGGTTTAGCAAGAGTGTAGTTTTCCTTGTCACCTAGGCATTCAGGAAGGTATCATGTCAACTGAGCCCTGAACCCTTGACCCGTAGGTAACTTTTGTTTTTTTAACCTTAGTGTCTGTCTTAGTTGATAAAGGGGCATTTTTATTTTTATTATTTATTATTTTTTTATTTTTTATTTTTGTCTCTCAGATCACAGGATGAAGGGCTGGGAGTAGCCAGAAGGAGTCTATTCCTAGTTCATATCTAGGCGAGGAACACAGGGCAGAGGTGGGGCTTGAGCAAGAGGGAGATTTTTCTGAACTTCTATTCAAGAAAGTCTGGGCCAGCCACGGTGGCTCATGCCTGTAATCCCAGGACTTTGGGAGGCCGAGGTGGGAGGATTGCTTGAGGTCAGAAGTTCAAGACCAGCCTGGGCAACATAGCTAGACCCTGTTCCTAATAAAAATTAAAAAAACAGAAAATTAGCCAGGCATGGTAGCATGCACCTGAAGTCCCAGCTACTCTAAGGCTGAGGTGGGAGGGTTATTTGAGCCCAGGAGTTTGAGGCTGCAGTGAGCTATGAGTGCACCACTGCACTCCAGCCTGGGTAACAGACCAAGACCCTGTCTCTAAAAAGAAAGTTAATGACTCCATAAAAGTTGGAGATCACTTGTCCCTAGCATATAGAAACTTGAAAAGTCTTAGACATTATACTCATGTCAAACAGGGTATCATGAAGAGGAAATACATGGGGATATTCTTTGTCTAACAGTCAGTATCCTAAGTGGTACATACCATCTTATTTAACTGAAAGGTGTTTTCATATATATGGTATCAGAAGAGATTCTCTATCAGAGTAACAACACTGCAGTAATGCATGCTTTTGTCAGGGAACCATTTGCTCTAGTAAGTAATGAATTGAACTTGTTTACAGCTTCTACTTATGGTCCAGTGGAATGACAGATGAAGGAAAAGTTTGGAATTTCAGAACCATCTGGAAATGTTCTGCTCTAGGCAGAAGAGCTGGACTGCAGCAAAGGCTCTGAATGTGGAATCAATAAACCAAGGAGGCAGCTGAATGAGCACTGAGTTATAGTTGCAAGACAGAATTAGGTTTGGTATTTGGTGTGTGGAACAGATTCAAAAGAGAATTTAAGAACCTAGATGATGACTTAGGGTTTGACACGTTGCTATACAAAAGATAAATAATTCTTTGAAATGTAGCTGTCAGGTACTTAAGAAGTGGCTCCAACATTAATGAATTTCCAATTTCATGGAATTATCTAAAATATAAGAAAGGCTGACTAGGCCAGTACTTTGAAAATAAAGAGGTCATGCCAAAAATGAAGACAAATGGTTTAGTCAAGAATCAAATCTGTTTTCTAACTACATAAATTTTGCATTTTACTCAAGTCCTTTACATATTTAAATGAAATGTTCATTCCTATAGAATCAACAACACTAATTTACAAACACCGAGACATTTTTGAAAAAACAAATTCCAACTTCATAAGTATTTAAATCAAACAAAATGTTGTTACATACGTAAGTATTTAAATCAAACCAAATGGTAATCTTTAACCAAAGATTAAAGATTAAGCTAATCATTTCTTGATTCCAACAACTTCCCATTAGTTCTGTAACAAAAGTTTAGAGGGCAGAGATGGAGTTATACATTTGGCTTCATCATCAGATTATTTATTTAAATTGCACCAAGAAGTTAAAATCAAGTAAATATTATTTATTATATCTTTTCCATAAATTAAAAAATTTTAATGGAAACATACAACAAAGTTTAGGCCAAATAGAAAGCTAAAAGCATTTCCTGAAAATGAAGCTTAAAAAACCAAGAAAATTTAGTCGTGAATAAATTCTCTATTCAGTTTTGAGGTACAGTCACTCAATTTCACATGAAAAGTGGCACACAAGTCAATTATGATACTAAATATTAAAGAATTCCCTGAGTAGTTACAACATCTTCTGTCCACAGTTAAAACAAGTATCTAAGGGATTCTGGTTTCAAGAGGCCAGTGGGACCTAAAACTTGCTAGAATGACTGGTGACTGTCCAAATGAAACAAACGCCACTTGTTAGGAATGGGGCTAAATTCAAAGTACATAGATTTAGTTCATACAGCTATGCTCCTTGATTGGAATCTTGGAAAAGGTCAAGCTTTGAATGGGCTTCAGGAAATGAAATATATTCAACATCTTAGTGACAGCTCCTGCAGAATTATAAATAAGGCATATAGTGAATGCTATCCATTGGACTGTATATGAGATTATGAAAAGATATCAAAAATGTTAGAAATGCCTATTAGCATAAATGTTAATAGAAAGCTTCAGAAAGATTTCTCTGTAAGAAGTTGGTTTCTCATTCCTTATGCTAGCCTATCCCTTTTTCAGATTCTTCAGCTGTAGAACTGGCCCACTATTTAAGTATCCACATTCAAGGATATGACCAAGCCTGCCAATTAGTCCCTTGCCCCACCACCACCAACAAGCACCTTTCTTATGGACTGATCTATCAAAGCTGTGTCTTCTGGCATCAAATCATTTCAAGTACACAAGATGGAGCTGCAATATTTCCTGTGGAAAGGGCACTGAGCTAGGAATCAGCAGATATGATAATTCAAACTGTGTGACCATAGGCAAGTTGATCTTTTTTTTTTTTAATTTAAGTTCTGGGATACATGTGCAGAATGTGCAGGCTTGTTACATAGGTGTACATGTGCCGTGGTGGTTTGCTGCACCCATCAACCCGTCATCTACATTAGGTATATCTCCTGATGCTATCCCTCCCCTAACCCCCCACCCCTCGACAGGCCCCCGTGTGTGATGTTCCCCTCCCTGTGTCCATGTGTTCTCATTGTTCAACTCCCACTTTTGAGTGAGAACATGCAGTGTTTGGTTTTCTGTTCCTGTGTTAGTTTGCTGAGAACGATGGTTTCCAGCTTCATCCATGTCCCTGCAAAGGACCTAACTCATCATTTTTTATGACTGCATAGTATTCCATGGTGTATATGTGCCACATTTTCTTTATCCAGCCTATCATTGATGGGCATTTGGGTTGGTTCCAAGGCTTTGCTATTGTGAATAGTGCTGCAATAAACATACATGTGCATGTGTCTTCATAGTAGAATGATTTATAATCCTTTGGGTATATACCCAGTAATGAGATTGCTGGGTCAAATGGTATTTCTGGTTCTAGATCCTTGAGGAATCACCACACTGTCTTCCACAATGTTGAACTAATTTACACTGCAACCAACAGTGTAAAAGCATTACTGTTTCTCCACATCCTCTCCAGCATCCGTTGTTCCCTTTTTAATGATCACCATTCTAACTGGTGTGAGATGGTATCTCATTGTGGTTTTTATCTGCATTTCTCTAACGACCAGTGATGATGAGCTTTTGTACATATGTTTGTTGGCTGCATAAATGTCTTCTTTTGAGAAGTGTCTGCTCATATCCTTCACCCACTTTTTGATGGGGTTCTTTCTTGTAAATTTGTTTAAGTTCCTTGTAGATTCTGGATATTAGCCCTTTGTCAGGTGGATAGATTGCAAAATTTTTCTCCCATCTGTAGGTTGCCTGTTCACTCTGATGATAGTTTCTTTTGCTGTGCAGAAGCTCTTTAATTAGATCCCATTTGTCAATTTTGGCTTTTGTTGCCATTGCTTTTGGTGTTTTAGTCATGAAGTCTTTGCCCATGCCTATGTCCTGAATGGTATTGCCTAGGTTTTCTTCTAGGATTTTTATGGTTTTAGGTCTTACATCTAAGTCTTTAATCCATCTTGAGTTAATTTTTGTATAAGATACAAGGAAGGGGTCCAGTTTCAGTTTTCTGCATATGGCTAGCCAGTTTTCCCAACACCATTTATTAAATACTGAATCCTTTCTCCATTGCTTTTGTCAGGTTTGTCAAAGATCAGATGGTTGTAGCTGTGTGGCATTATTTCTGAGGCCTCTGTTCTGTTCCATTGGTCTATATATCTGTTTTGGTAGCAGTACCATGCTGTTTTGGTTACTGTAGCCTTGTAGTATAGTTTGAAGTCAGGTAGTGTGATGCCTCCAGCTTTGTTCTTTTGGCTCAGGATTGTCTTGGCTATAAGGGCTCTTTTTTGGTTCTATATAAAATTTAAAGTAGTTTTTTATAATTCGTGAAGAAAGTCAATGGTAGCTTGATGGGGATAGCATTGAATCTATAAATTACTTTGGGCAGTATGGCCATTTTCACAACATTGATTCTTCCTATCCACGAGCATGGAATATTTTTCCATTTGTGTCCTCTCCTATTTCCTTGAGCAGTGGTTTGTAGCTCTCCTTGAAGAGGTCTTTCACATCCCTTCTAAGTTGTATTCCTAGGTATTTTATTTTCTTTGTAGCAATTATGAATGGGGGTTCACTCATGATTTGACTATTATTGATGTATAGGAATGTGTGATTTTTGCACATTGATTTTGTATCCTGAGACTTTGCTGAAGTTGCTGATCAGCTTAAGGAGATTTTGGGCTGAGATGATGGGGTTTTCTAAATGTACAATCATGTCATCTGCAAACAGACAATTTGACTTGCCCTCTTCCTATCTGAATACCCTTTCTTTCTTTCTCTTGCCTGATTGCCCTGGCCAGAACTTCCAATACTATGTTGAATAGGAGTGGTGAGAGAGGGCACCCTTGTCTTGTGCCAGTTTTCAAAGGGAATGCTTCCAGCTTTTGCCCATTGAGTGTGATATTGGCTATGGGTTTGTCATAAATAGCTCTTATTATTTTGAGGTATATTCCCTCAATACCTAGTTATTATGAAAATACCTAGTGTTTTAACATGAAGGGATGTTGAATTTATCAAAGGCCTTTTCTGCATCTATTGAGATAATCATGTGGTTTTTATCATTGGTTCTGTTTATGTGATGGATTATGTTTATTGATTTGCATATGTTGAACCTGCCTTGCATCCCAGGGATGAAGCCAACTTGATCTTGGTGGATAAGCTTTTTGATATGCTGCTGGATTTGGTTTGCCAGTATTTTATTGAGGATTTTTGCATTGATGTTTGTCAGAGATATTGGCCTGAAATTTTCTTTTTTGGTGGGTCTCTGCCAGGTTTTGGTATCAGGATGATGCTGGCCTCATAAAATGAGTTAGGAAGGAGTCCCTCTTTTTCTATTGTTTGGAATAATTTCAGAAGGAATGTACCAGTTCCTCTTTGTACCTCTGGTAGAATTTGGCTGTGAATCCATCTGGTCCTGGGCTATTTTTGGTTGGTAAGCTATTAATTACTGCCTCAATTTCAGAACCTGTTATTGGTCTATTCAGGGATTCAACTTCTTCCTGGTTTAGTCTTGGGAGGGTGTATGTGTCCAGGAATTTATCCATTTCTTCTAGATTTTCTAGTTTATCTGCATAGAGGTGTTTATAGTATTCTCTGATGGTAGTTTGTATTTCTGTGGGATCAGTGGTGATATCCCCTTTATCATTTTTGCATCTATTTGATTCTTCTCTCTTATTATGGCTAGTGGTCTTCTATTTTGTTGATCTTTTCAGAAAACCAGCTCCTAGATTCATTGATTTTTTGAAGGGTTTTTTGTGTCTCTATCTCCTCCTTCAGTTCTGCTCTGATCTTAATTATTTCTTGTCTTCTGCTAGCTTTTGAATTTATTTGCTCTTGCTTGTCTAGTTCTTTTAATTGTGATGTTAGGGTGTCAATTTTAGATGTTTCGCACTTTCTCCTGTGGGCATTTAGTGCTATAAATTTCCTTCTAAACACTGCTTTAGCTGTGTCCCAGAGATTCTGGTATGTTGTGTCTTTGTTCTCATTGGTTTCATAGAACTTATTTATTTCTGCCTTCATTTCATTATTTACCCAGTTGTCATTCAGGAACAGGTTGTTCAGTTTCCACATAGTTGTGCGGTTCAGAGTGAGTTTCTTAATCCTGAGTTCTAATTTGATTGCCCTGTGGTCTGAGAGACTGTTATGATTTCCGTTCTTTTGCATTTGCTGAGGAGTGTTTTACTTCCAATTATGTGGTCAATTTTGGAATAAGTGTGATGTGGTGCTGAGAAGAATGTATATTCTGTTGATTTGGGGTGGAGAGTTCTGTGGATGTCTATTAGGTCCACTTGGTCCAGAGCTGAGTTCAAGTCCTGAATATCTTTGTTAATTTTCTGTCTCGTTGATCAAATATTGACAGTGGGGTGTTCAAGTCTCCCACTATTATTGTGTGGGAGTCTAAGTGTCTCTGTAGGTCTCTAAGAACTTGCTCTATGAATCTGGGTGCCCCTGTATTGTGTGCATATATATTGAGGATAGTTAGCTCTTCTTGTTGCATTGATCCCTTTACCATTATGTAATGCCTTTCTTTTTTTTTGATCTTTGTTGGTTTAGAGTCTGTTTTATCAGAGACTAGGATTGCAACCCCTGCTTTTTTTTTTGCTCTCCATTTGCTTGGTAAATATTCCTCTATCCCTTTATTTTGAGCTTATGTGTGTCTTTGCACATTAGATGGGTCTCATGAATACAGCACACTGATGGGTCTTGACTCTTTATCCAATTTGCCAGTCTGTGTCTTTTAATTGGGGCATTTAGCCCATTTACATTTAAGGTTAATATTGTTATGTGTGAATTTGATCCGTCATTATGATGCTAGCTGATTATTTTGCCCATTAGTTGATGCAGTTTCTTCATAGTGTCGATGGTTTTTACAATTTGGTATGTTTTTGCAGTGGCTGGTACCAGTTTTTCCTTTCCATATTTAGTATTTCCCTCAGGAGCTCTTGTAAGGCAGGCCTGGTGGTGACAAAATCTCTCAACATTTGCTTGTCTGTAAAGGATTTTATTTCTCCTTCTCTTATGAAGCTTACTTTGGCTGGATATGAAATTCTGGGTTGAAAGTTCTTTTCTTTAAGAATGTTGAATATTGGCTCCCACTCTCTTCTGGCTTGTAGGGTTTCTGCAGAGAGATCCGCTTATAGTCTGATGGGTTTCCCTTTGTGGGTAACCCCGCCTTTCTCCCTGGCTGCCTTTTTTTCCTTCATTTCAACTGTGGTGAATATGACAATTATGTGTCTTGGGGTTGCTTTTCTCAAGGAGAATCTTTGTTGTGTTCTCTGTATTTCCTGAATTTGAATGTTGGCCTGTCTTGCTTAGGTGGGGGAAGTTCTCCTGGATAATATCCTGCAGAGTGTTTTCCAACTTGGTTCCATTCTCCCTGTCACTGTCCAGTATACCAATCAAACATAGGTTTGGTCTTTTCACATAGTCCCATATTTCTCGGAGGCTTTGTTCATTCCTTTTCATTTTTCTCTAATCTTGTCTTCTTTATTTCATTAAGTTGATCTTCAATCTCTGATATCCTTTCTTCTGCTTGATCGATTTGGCTACTGATACTTGTATATGCTTCACAAAGTTCTCGTGCTGTGTTTTTCAGCTCCATCAGGTCATTTATGTTCTTCTCTAAACTGGTTATTCTAGTTAGCAATTTGTCTAACCTTTTTTCAAGGTTCTTTGCTTCCTTGCATGGGATTACAACATGCTCCTTTAGTTCAGAGGAGTTTGTTACTACCCACCTTCTGAAGCCTACTTCTGTCAATTCATCAAACTCATTCTCCATCCAGTTTTGTTCCCTTGCTGGAGAGGAGTTGAGATCTTTTGGAGGAGAAGAGGCATTCTGGTGTTTGGAATTTTCAGCCTTTTCAAGCTGGTTTTTCCTCATCTTTGTGGATTTATCTACCTTTGATCTTTGATGCCGGTCACCTTCGGATGGGGTTTTTGTGTGGATATCCTTTTTGTTGATGTTGATGCTATTCCTTTCTGTTTGTTAGTTTTCCTTCTAACAGTCAGGACCCTCTGCTGCAGATCTGCTGGAGGTCTACTCCAGACCCTTTTTGCCTGGATATCACCAGTGTAGGCTGCAGAACAGCAAAGATTGCTGCCTGTTCCTTCCTCTGGAAGCTTCATCCCAGAGGGGCACCCACCAGATGCCAGCCAGAGTTCTCCCGCATGGGGTGTCTGTCGACCCCTGCTGGGAGGTGTTTCCCAGTCAGGAGGCATGGGGGTTAGGGACCCACCTGAGGCGGCAGTCTGTCCCTTAGCAGGGCTCGAGTGCTGTGCTGGGAGATCCACTGCTCTCTTCAGAGCCGGCAGGCAGGAACGTTTAAGCCTGCTGAAGCTGCGCCCACAGCTCCCCCTTCCTCCAGGTGCTCTCTCCCAGGGAGATGGGCGTTTTCTCTATAAGCCCCTGGCTGGGGCTGCTGCCTTTCTTTCAGAGATGCCCTGCCCAGTGAGGAGGAATCTAGAGAGGCAGTCTGGCTACAGCAGCTTTGCTGAGCTGCAGTGGGCTCCAACAAGTTCTAACTTCCTGGTGGCTTTGTTTACACTGTGAGCAGAAAACCACCTACTCGAGCCTCAGTAATGGCAGACACCCCTCCCCCTACCAAGCTTGAGTGTCCCAGGTCGAGCTCAGACTGCTGTGCTGGCAGCGATAATTTCAAGCCAGTGGATCTTAGCCTGCTGGGCTCCGTGGGGGTGGGATCTGCTGAGCTAGGCCACTGGGCTCCCTGGCTTCAGCCCCCTTTCCAGGGAAGTGAACGGTTCTGTCTTGCTGGCATTCCAAGCACCACTGGGGTATGAAAAAAAACTCCTGCAGCTAGCTGTCTGCCCAAATGGCTGCCCAGTTTTGTGCTTGAAACCCAGGACCCTGGTGGTATAAGCACCCAAGGGAATCTCCTGGTCTGTGGGCTGTGAAGACCATGGGCAAAGTGTAGTACCTGGGCTAGAATGCACCATTCCTCATGGCACAGTCCCTCACAGCTTCCCTTGGCTAGGGGAGGGATCCCCAACCCCTTGCATTTCTTGGGTGAGGCAATGCCCTCCCCTGCTTCGGCTCACCCTCAGTGGGCTGCATCCACTGTCTAACCAGTCTCAATGAGATGATCCTGGTACCTCAGTTGGAAATGCAGAAATCACCCACCTTCTGTGTTGATGTTGCTGGGAGCTGCAGACTGGAGCTGTTCCTATTCAGCCATCTTGCCAGCCACCCCGGCTGCTGTCAAGTTGATCTTTCTAGACTTCAAATTTCCTCATGTTAAGTTCCCTTCTAGATCAAAATTCTGTAATTCTAAGTCTCTAGGTTAGACATAGGCTGATTGTGGGCAGAAGCCTCTAGTTACTCCCCATGCCTTGAAATGGGCAACTGACATCTCAAACCTGAAGTTTAGAGGGGAAAGGCTGCTTGCTGCTGGAATGGCTCCTCTTTTGGTATCTCATGGGTTGTTTTTTTTTTTTTTTTTTTTTTTTTTGAGACGGAGTTTTGCTCTGTCGCCTAGGCTGGAATGCAGTGGTGCGATCTCGGCTCACTGCAACCTCAGCCTCCTGGGTTCAAATGATTCTCATGCCTCAGCCTCCTAAGTAGTTGGGACTAACAGGTACATGCCACCAAGTCCAGCTAATTTTTGTATTTTTAGTAGAGACAGGGTTTCACCATGTTGGCCAGGCTGGTCTCGAACTCCTGGCCTTAAGCGATCCACCCACCTAAGCCTCCCAAAGTACTAGGATTACAGGCATGAGCCACTCCCCACCCCAGGCTTTTGGGGTATTTTTGGATGGGAGATGGGTAGTATTGGCTACAAGCCACTGGAGGTAAAACCAGAGTCGCTTTTAGTAAAGCCAGTCCCTCTTCCATCCCTAAGGAGTTTAGCACCAGGATTTTCCTTTATGTTCTCACTCATTTCCTTTCACATACCTCAGGCTCCCATTTCCCATTCAACATTCACTGGGGACCTCCATTACTGCAAACAGGTCTTGAATACCAAAAATGTTGGGGGTGGGGCAGGGAACTGTTCAAAGTATAGATGTCAGCCCATCTTTTGACAATAAAATAAAATTAACTCTAAAACACATAGCATCTACATATCTTTTGTACATTTCTTTCTTATCACTGTTCCTGCCCATATACAGAAATCTACTCATTTTCAAATGATGTATCTACTTTGATTCTTTGCTGATAGTTTAGTTTAGTTTAGTTTACTAGACAAAGCCCACATTTTTGGGAGACAGTATAATAAGTAAACAGATTGACAGGGTGGCTATCCTAGTCAAAGCCAAGTAGTCAACATTACAAGCCTCTGAAAGGCTCTTTCTTCACACCAACTGAAATAAGGTATTAATCATTAATTACTAAATAGGCTTCTTTCAAAGTGTGTTGACACTCATTTGAAAGAAGTTTGAGATAGTTTTGTCTAAATGATTCTCTATCCAGCCACAGGCAAATGAGATTCTGAAACAGCCTTAGCACAGTTATTTCATAATCCCCATCCAGTTTGCAAGGTGTAAAATTAGTCCCTATCAGATTATGAAACCAACTATCAAACTTGCAAAAAGGCTACCCAGCTTTGGCAGACTTCCTTCTGGTATCTGAGTGCTATTATAGAGAGGGTTACAGTTTGGCTTACTAAATGTGTATTTCCATCAACCCTTACGACATACTGCTTCTACCAGAGTCATCTTGCCCCAAACCCAGTTTAGTGTTCACCTGGAAAAGTAAAATATAATATCAGATTTGGCTTCTTCTTTAAAGGAAGAATCAAAAGTGCCATCACTTCACAATGAATTTTCTTCTTTTGAAACATATTTTGTCTAATTATCTAAAATTATATGAAAAACTGCTCCACCGGTTCATACCAATTAAGCATCATATATATATATATATATATATATATATATATATATAATATTTAACCATCACATTATATTTAACTGTCCACTGACCCTCCATATCTAACTCTCCACCTGCCTTCTCCAATAAAGATGTCTGATAGAAAATCACAAAAGCCCAAAACTCTTTCATCAGTTGGATTAACTATCAGTGATGTTTCCAGATTACTTTTGTCTTTTTTTGTCAGTTAGTGTATCCTTACATTATTCTTATAGATATATTGGAATTATAGGTGAATCTGAGCTTTTAAATTGTACGACATTTAAACATGTTTTCTCTAAGGCTTTTAAACAGAAAATGATCAGTAAAGACTTTTGGTTTACCTTTGTCTCATGATAATACTCTGAATGTATTTCTGTATTTACCCCCCTCCTACTCCCTTCCTTAGTGGATATTTTGCTAATTAAGTAGTTGGGAAGGAAAGAGGAGAAATTCCTTATTGTAGAAAAAGAGAGAGGAACCAGGAGACCAGCTCTGTCATTTAATGCCAAAAAAAGGAGGCCTTAGAAGAGCAGCTATGTGGGTGAGAACCTTGTTACATGAAGCATGCTATTTACATCTCTTTCTCAGATTTTACTTCTAAGAAATGATTCTGTTTTGGGGGTTAATTCTGTGAGTAAAATATTTTTAAAATCTGGGTATAAGTCTGGTAAAAAAAATTAACTAGCATTACTCACATTTTAAAATTTCACCTTCAGTCTTTTTTGATGATCTATACTATGAGCTCAACAGACTACCATTATCACATTTCACAGAATCTGACCTCAGAGAACATCATGTTATATAAATGCTTAAACAATGCCACTGTTGAACGATTGCTACATTAAGGCTCTTGGGAACTGTGATAATTATAGAGATGGCTCAGCTACATTTCAGAAATTGCCTTTACTGCAAACAGCTTAATTTTTTTGAAATGTAAAAGTATTCGTATGACCAAAGCTTCAGGGTGTAGATTTTCTTATTGATCCCAATATTTCAAAGACATAATGGTGCTCTATGATATAGAAGACTTCAAGTTAGAAAGCAGCCTTAAGAGTCAGACATCTTTTTTTTCTGGAGATAGGAATGTGAGACTATTTTGTCTTGCCAAATATAGATCACAAACATTAGTTTTTCAATTTTCATTTATCAGTCATGATAATGTACAAGAAAAACAAACACAAAAAAACAAATTCCTTTAAACTACATTAAAAACAAAGGTGAACAAAATGACACAGAATAAAATCAAGAAAAATCAAGATTAACAGTAAATATCAATACTTACTTACACATCAAAGTAGACTGTTAGCATAATAAAGCTAACATATAGTCACAGAAAGACAAAAGTATCAATGATCAAGATACTATTTTGCTTCAATAACTCCTCATTTTGGCCTGGGAGTTCATCAAAGCCTAAGCGGCTGGATTCTGTTTTTCTCCCTCCTCCCTCCCTCCCTCATGCTTCCATCCTTTTCACACTGGGGTACCAGTGTAGGAGGCTCCTGGATGTAGCTAACCGTGCGGCAGCACCTAAGGCAGCAGTGGCTGTACTTCGAGGAATGTAGAGCTTCTGAGAAATCTGGCACTCATAAGACAAAATCAAAGACAGCTGGTCTACAGATTCTTGACGCTTGTCTTTGTACAATGTAATAGCACGGCTGCTAGAAAAATCTTCATTCTTTAGGATCTCTGGTGAGCTTTCCACTGGAAAAGAAAGAGTACACAAACATCTTTTCAAGGGGTACTCATACTCACTGCCTCCTCTCCCCCATTCTAGTTCTATACTAATATGTGTTACAATCATTTTCTGTTAGGTAGCGACAATTACCAATGGCTAATCAGAGAAGATGAGACTTAGAAACCAGTCAACAAATGGAAAGGAAATGGGGAATCATGAATTGAGATAAAATAAATCTTGTCAGGATGAAGGTAAGTGAGAGAGGGAAAATATACCATGAACAACGAAGGGATGCCTTATTTCTAGGAATGTCATAAAAATAAATTGGATATAACGGAAATCCCAAAGAGCCCATAAGTGCTTCTATTTCCTTCCAGCACTAAGCTAAATGGTGTCCCACAGGCATTCTATTGCCACAGTTGTTCCAATTCCAAGTCTGTGCCAGGGTAAAAATAAAACCATCCTAGACTGTGGTTGCTAAGAAGTCCCCCAAACCAGTTATCAGCCATAAAATAAATGCCGAGAGGTTCTAAGATGGCTGAATAGGAACAGCTCCAGTCTACAGCTCCCAGTGTGAGCAACGCAGAAGATGGGTGATTTCTGCATTTCCAACTGAGGTGCTGGGTTCATCTCACTGGGGCTTGTTGGACAGTGGGTGCAGGACAGTGGGGGCAGCCCACAGAGCATGAGCCGAAGCAGGGTGAGGCATCGCCTCACCGGGGAAGCGCAAGGGGTCGGGGAATTCCCTTTCCTAGCCAAGGGAAGCCGTGACAGATGGCACCTGGAAAATCGGGTCACTCCTACCCTAATACTGCACTTTTCCAACACTCGTAGCAAATGGCACACCAGGAGGTTTATATCCCATGCCTGGCTTGGAGGGTCCCACGCCCACGGAGCCTCACTCACTGCTAGCACAGCAGTCTGAGATTGAACTGCAAGGTGGCAGTGAGGCTGGGGGAGGGGTGCCCGCCATTGCTGAGGTTTGAGTAGGTAACCAAAGTAGCCAGGAAGCTCGAATTGAGTGGAGCCCACCACAGCTCAAGGAGGCCTGCCTGCCTCTGTAGACTCCACCTCTGGGAGCAGGGCATAGCTGAACAAAAGGCAGCAGAAACTTCTGCAGACTTAAACGTCCCTGGCTGACAGCTTTGAAGAGAGTAGTGGTTCTCCCAGTGTGGAGTTTGAAATCTGAGAACGGACAGACTGCCTCCTGAAGTGGGTCCCTGACCCCTGAATAGCCTAACTGGGAGTCACCTCCCAGTAGGGGCCAATTGACACCTCATACAGCCAGGTGCCCTTCTGAGATGAAGCTTTCAGAGGAAGGATCAGGCAGCAACATTTGCCGTTCTGCAATATTTGCTGTTCTGCAGCCTCTGCTGGTGATACCCAGGCAAACAGGGTGTGGAGTGGACCTCCAGCAAACTCCAACAGACCTGCAGCTGAGGGTCCTGACTGTTAGAAGGAAAACTAACAAACAGAAAGGACATCCACACCAAAACCCCATCTGTACATCACCATCATCAAAGACCAAAGGTAGATAAAACTACAAAGATGGGGAGAAACCAGAGCAGAAAAGCTGAAAATTCTAAAAATCAGAGCTCCTCTTCTCCTCCAAAGGAACGCAGCTCCTCACCAGCAATGGAACAAAGCTGGATGGAGAATGACTTTGACGAGTTGAGAGAAGATGGCTTCAGATGATCGGTAATAACAAACTTCTCTGAGCTAAAGGAGGATGTTCGAACCCATAGCAAAGAAGCTAAAAACCTTGAAAAAAGATTAGATGAATGGCTAACTAGAATAAACATCATAGAGAAGACCTTAAAGACTTGATGGAGCTGAAAACCATGGTATGAGAACTGCGTGATGCATGCACAAGCTTCAGTAGCTGATTCGATCAACTGGAAGAAAGGGTATCAGTGACTGAAGATCAAATGAATGAAATGAAGCAAGAAGAGAAGTTTAGAGAAAAAAGAGTAAAAAGAAATGAACAAAGCCTCCAAGAAATATGGGACTATGTGAAAAGACCAAATCTACGTCTGATTGGTGTACCTGAAAGTGATGGGGAGAATGGAACCAAGTTGGAAAACACTCTGCAGGATATTATCCAGGAGAACTTCCCCAACCTAGCAAGGCAGGCCAACATTCAAATTCAGGAAACACAGAGAACACCACAAAGATACTCCTTGAGAAGAGCAACTCCAAGAAACATAATTGTCAGATTCACCAAAGTTGAAATTAAGGAAAAAATGTTAAACGCAGCCAGAGAGAAAGGTCAGGTTACCCACAAAGGGAAGGCCATCAGACTAACAGCGTATCTCTCTGCACAAACTCTACAAACCAGAAGAGAGTGGGGGATAATATTCAACATTCTTAAAGAAAAGAATTTTCAACCCAGAATTTCATATCCAGCCAAACTAAGCTTCATAAGTGAAGGAGAAATAAAATCCTTTACAGACAAGCAAATGCTGAGAGATTTTGTCACCACCAGGCCTGCTTTACAACAGCTCCTGAAGGAAGCACTAAACATGGAAAGGAACAACTGGTACCAGCCACTGCAAAAACGTGCCAAATTGTAAAGACCATCAATGCTAGGAAGAAACTGCATCAACTAACGGGCAAAATAACCAGCTAACATCATAATGACAGGATCAAATTCACACATAACAATATTAACCTTAAATGTAAATGGGCTAAATGCTCCAATTAAAAGACACAGACTAGCAAATTGGATAAAGAATAAAGACTCATCAGTGTGCTGTATTCATGAGACCCATCTCATGTGCAGAGACACACATAGGCTCAAAATAAAGGGATGGAGGAAGAACTACCAAGCAAATGGAAAAAAAAAAAAAAGCAGGGGTTGCAATCCTAGTCTCTGATAAAACAGACTTTAAACCAACAAAGATCAAAAGAGACAAAGAAGGCCATTACATAATGGTAAAGGGATCAATTCAACAAGAAGAGCTAACTATCCTAAATATATATGCACCCAATACAGGAGCACCCAGATTCATAAAGCAAGTCCTTAGAGACCTACAAAGAGACTTAGACTCCCACACAATAATAATGGGAGACTTTAACACCCCACTGTCAACATTAGACAGATCAATGAGACAGAAAGTTAACAAGGATATCCAGGAATTGAACTCAGCTCTGCAACAAGCAGACCTAATAGACATCTACAGAACTCTCCACTCCAAATCAACAGAATGTATGTTCTTCTCAGCACCACATCACACTTATTCCAAAATTGATCACACAGTTGGAAGTAAAGCACTCCTCAGCAAAGGTAAAAGAATAGAAATTATAACAAACTGTGCCTCAGACCACAGTGCAATCAAATTAGAACTCAGGATTAAGAAACTCACTCAAAACCGCTCAACTACATGGAAACTGAACAACTTGCTCCTGAATGACTACTGGGTACATAACAAAATGAAGGCAGAAATAAAGATGTTCTTTGAAACCAATGAGAACAAAGACACAACATACCAGAATCTCTGGGACACATTTAAAGCAGTGTGTAGAGGGAAATTTATAGCACTAAATGCCCACAAGAGAAACCAGGAAAGATCTAAAATTGACACCCTAACATCACAATTAAAAGAACTAGAGAAGCAAGAGCAAACACATTCAAAAGCTAGCAGGAGACAGGAAGTAACTAAGATCAGAGCAGAACTGAAGGAGATAGAGACACAAAAAACCCTTCAAAAAATCAATGAATCCAGGAGCTGGTTTTTTGAAAAGATTAACAAAGGAGATAGAACACTAGCAAGACTAATAAAGAACAAAAGAGAGAAGAATCAAATAGATGCAATAAAAAATGATAAAGGGGCTATCACCACTGATCCCACAGAAATACAAACTACCATCAGAGAATACTGTAAATACCTCTGTGCAAATAAACTAGAAAATCTAGAAGAAATGGATAAATTCCTGGACACATACACCCTCCCAAGACTAAGCCAGGAAGAAGTTGAATCCCTGTATAGACCAATAACAGGCTCTGAAACTGAGGCAATAATTAATAGCCTACCAACCAAAAAAAGTCCAGGACCAGTCAGATTCACAGCCGAATTCTACCAGAGGTACAAAGAGGAGCTGGTACCATTCCTTCTGAAACTATTTCAATCAATAGAAAAAGAGGGAATCCTCCCCAACTCATTTTATGAAGCCAGCATCATCCTGATACCAAAGCCTGGCAGAGACACAACAAAAAAAGAGAATTTTAGACCAATATCCCTGATGAACATGGATGCAAAATCCTCAATAAAATACTGGCAAACCAAATCCAGCAGCACATCAAAAAGCTTATCCACCATGATCAAGTGGGCTTCATCCCTGGAATGCAAGGCTGGTTCAACATATGCAAATCAATAAACGTAATTCCTCATATACACAGAACCAAAGACAAAAACCAAGTGATTATCTCAATAGATGCAGAAAAGGCCTTTGACAAAATTCAACAGCCCTTCATGCTAAAAACTCTCAATAAATTAGGTATTGATGGGATGTATCTCAAAATAATAAGAGCTATTTATGATAAACCCACAGCCAATATCATACTGAATGGGCAAAAACTGGAAGCATTCCCTTTGAAAACTGCCACAAGACAGGGATGCCCTCTCTCACCACTCCTATTCAACATAGTATTGGAAGTTCTGGCCAGGGCAATCAGGCAGGAGAAAGAAAGAAAGGGTATTCAGTTAGGAAAAGAGGAAGTCAAATTGTCCCTGTTTGCAGATGACAAGATTGGATATTTAGAAAACCCCATCATCTTAGCTCAAAATCTCCTTAAGTTGATAAGCAACTTCAGCAAAGTCTCAGGATACAAAATCAATGTGCAAAAATCACAAGCATTACTATACACCAATAACAGACAAACAGAGAGCCAAATCATGAGTGAACTCCCATTCACAATTGCTTCAGAGAGAATAAAATACCTAGGAATCCAATTTACAAGGGATGTGAAGGACCTCTTCAAGGAGAACTACAAACCACTGCTCAACAAAATAAAAGAAGATACAAGCAAATGGAAGAACAATCCATGCTCATGGATAGGAAGAATCAATATCATGAAAACGGCCATACTGCCCAAGGTAATTTATAGAGTCAATGCCATCCCCATCAAACTACCAATGACCTTCTTCACAGAATTGGAAAACACTACTTTAAAGTTCATATGGAACCAAAACAGAGCCCGCATTGCCAAGACAATCCTAAGCCAAAAGAACAAAGCTGGAGGCTTCACGCTACCTGACTTCAAACTATACCAAGGCTACAATAACCAAAACAGCGTGGTACTGGTACCAAAACAGAGATATAGACCAATGGAACAGAACAGAGGCCTCAGAAATAATACCACACATCTATAACCATCTGATCTTAGACAAACCTGACACAAACAAGAAATGGGGAAAGGATTCCCTATTTAATAAATGGTGCTGGGAAAACTGGCTAGCCATATGTAGAAAGCTGAAACTGGATCCCTTCCTTACACCTTATACAAAAACTAATTCAAGATGGATTAAAGACTTAAATATTTGACCTAAAACCATAAAAACCCTAGAAGAAAACCTAGGCAATACCATTCAGGGCATAGGCATGGGCAAGGACTTCATGTCTAAAACACCAAAGCAACGGCAACAAAAGCCAAAATTGACAAATGGGATCTAACTAAACTAAAGAGCTTCTGCACAGCAAAAGAGACTACCATTAGAGTGAACAGGCAACCTACAGAATGGGAGAAAATTTTTGCAATCTACCCATCTGACAAAGGGCTAATATCCAGAGTCTACAAAGAACTTAAATAAATTTACAAGAAAAAATCAACCCCATCAAAAAGTGGGCAAAGCATATGAATAGACACTTCTCAAAAGAAGACATCTATGCAGCCAACAGACACATGAAAAAATGTTCAGCATCACTGGCCGTCAGAGAAACGCAAATCAAAACCACAATGAGATAATATCTCATACCAGTTAGAATGGCGATCATTCAAAAGTCAGGAAACAGCAGCTGCTGGAGAGGATTTGGAGAAATAGGAACACTTTTTCACTGCTGGTGGGACTGTAAACTAGTTCAACCATTGTGGAAGACAGTGTGGCGATTCCTCAAGGATCTAGAACTAGAAATACCATTTGACCCAGTCATCCCATCACTGGGTATATACCCAAAGGATTATAAATCCTGCTGCTATAAAGAAACATGCACATGTATGTTTATTGCAGCACTATTCACAATAGCAAAGACTTGGAACCAACCCAAATGTCCATCAATGATAGACTGGATTAAGAAAATGTGGCACATATACACCATGGAATACTATGCAGCCATAAAAAAGGATGAGTTCATGTCCTTTGTAGGGACATGGATGAAGCTGGAAACCATCATTCTGAGCAAACTATTGCAAGGATAGAAAACCAAACACCACATGTTCTCACTCATAGGTGGGAATTGAACAATGAGAACATTTGGACACAGGATGGGGAACATCACACACCGGGGCCTGTTGTGGGGTGTGGGGAGCAGGGAGGGATAGCATTAGGAGATATACCTAATGTAAATGACGAGTTAATGGGTGTAGCACAACAACACGGCACATGTATACATATGTAACAAACCTGCACGCTGTGCACATGTACCCTAAAACTTAAAGTATAATAAAAAAAATGAAATAAAAGCTGAAGTAATTAGTTTTAATGAAGAAGAAATAAGAATTTAAATAAAATGACTGGAAATGCGATGCTTGAAATTTCCTAATAGCCAAGGAAGGGGATGCTAAGCACTCTGAGATGTGTACTCGTAGCTGGTCTATAAACCGCTTATTACCTGCCTACAATGAAAGAAGGCCCTTTTTCTGGCATCTAAACCAACACATTGCTTCCTTCAAGAAAGTCCTGCTTAAAAAAAAAATTCAGGTGAGCTAAGCAACGTGTTCAGCAACGTAGCTGCTTGAATACTCTGGAACAAACTCCTTACAGTATAGTCCACTGCTGGAAACCCTTCAAATTGGCACCAGTATGTAGACCACATTTTGAATAGCACTGTTCTAGATCTTAAAAACATAGATTTCAAAAAATTCAGAGAAAAAGGAGGCATAATCCATTATTTTATTCATCTTTGCATTTTTAGCATCTAGCAGAGTAACATGTAGTATATGTTCTACACTTTTGTGATGAGTTATGTTCGAGGAGGATTTGACAGCGTATTCTAAAAAGTGAAATTCTGATCATAAAACTATAGTGTCTATTAGAGAGGAAAAAGAATAATTTTTAATTAAATAATGTGATTTTACAGGAAGTCTTAGGTGAGCTCGGATATCAAAAGGTATGAAAAGCAGGAACACGTGACCAAAGATTTAAGAGTAGCAAAATTTCTGCTTTCAGTCATGGTGTTTTTCAACGAGAATATTTACTCTCTTGCCTTACACAACTGGAAAACTGGACAAAATGTATGAAACAACAGCTTTCAGACATTGAACAAGCATCCCAGGACAGTGACCTCTGAGAGAAGGCAAACTGTAAGTGCTTTTGCTCACTGCCCGAAAAGAATTTTCAGGCTGTAGTATGAGAAGGAGGAATCCAGACTGAACCAGGTAGTCTTACTGAGTTGAGAAAACAGAGTTCAGAACTCAGAAAGGCCAGTCATCTAAAATTTGTGGATATAAAGTACCAGAGAGGAGGCAGCTGCAGAGAGAGAGAGAGAAGAAACTGAGGATCTGCTGAGAGGTCTCCTTGAATCTTGGAATGAGTAGTCATCTGACTCCTGGGTGTGTCAGCAAACTACCAAGGCCAGGGAAAAACTACCAGAAAGCAGCAGGCAGAATAATCATTAGATCTTACGTTGGGACAAAACAGTTTGTGTTCTCACCAGCCATAATGGAAAGACATCCTAACACATGCAACATCAAGTCCATCAATAATCTCAGAAGGTATTAGGTATTGCCTAAATAGCAGAGCCAAACCAGACCTAGACCACAGGCTTTTCCAGACCAGCCTAATAAACCTAAAAGGAACACTGAAAGAAAAAAAAAAAGGGAAATTAAACTGCATCTCCCCACCCCCCAAAAAAGACAGGAAGAAAAGGAGAAAGGGAAGAAATTAAGCCAACACACATATACACCATGGAATACTATGCAGCCATAAAAAAGAATGAGTTCATGTTCTTTGCAGGGACATGGATGAAGCTGGAAACCATCATTCTCAGCTAACACAGGAACAGAAAGCCAAACACCACATGTTCTCACTGAGAAGTGGGAGGTAAACAATAAGAACATGGGCACAGAGAGGGGAACATCACACATTGGGGCCTGTTGGTGGGTGGGGGGCAAGGGAAGGGATAGCATTAAGACAAATACCTAATGTAGATGACAGGTTGATGGGTGCAGTAAACCACCATGGCACGTGTATACCTATGTAACAAACCTGCACATTCTGCTCATGTATCCCAGAACTTAAGTATAGTAATAATAAAAAAAGAAATTAAGCCAACAATGTAAAATTCACAGTGTCTGGCATTCAATAAAAAATTACCAGAGACAAAGAATGTATATGACCTGTAATCAGGAGAAAAAAAATCAATATAAACAGATTCAGAAATGACACAGATAGAATTCAAAAGTTATATATATGATAGAATCATAAGACATGGATATTAAAACAGTTGTTTAAAGAGCACTTCTCCAAGTGTACCAGTCTTGTCCAGTTTCTAATTCAGTGTGTTTTTCTTTTTTTTTTTTTTTAAGACAGAGTCTCACTCTGTCTTAAAAAAAAAAAAAAAAAAAAGAAAAAGAAAAACACACTGAATTAGAAACTGAACAAGACTAGTACACTTGGAGACATAGTAGTAGAAACAAACTCAAATGAGACACAGTAAAGACTGAGAGTAAGAAATGTATCAGTGAGCAACAGAACAACATCCAATGGTCTACCAAACCTGTAACTACAGTTACAAGAAAACGGGGCGAAGGGTGACAGAAAAAAAATTAATTTTTTTTTGGTCCTGTGGACCAAATCCAACACAGCTACTCTCATTCATTTACCTGTTGTCTGTGGCTGTTTTCACGCTATAACAGCAGAGTTGAATAATTGCCACAGATCATATGGCCTACGAAGCTGAAAAGATTTATTTTTTGGCTCTTTACAGAAAAAGTTTGCTGAACCCCAATTTATACACTGGAATGAAGAACACTGTAATGGAAAATATGTGACTAAACATAAAAGACATTTCTCATTTTTAATTTCTTTATAAGATAATTGACTATAAAGCAAAAATAGCAAGAACTGGATATTTTTGATATCCAATCCAAGAATTGGATTGTGGGGTTTACGATGTATTTAAAAAGTAAAACGACAATAGCTAAAAGGCTGGCATGGGAAAAAGGAAAAGTTTTAATATTATACATAAAGTGATATCATTTGAAGGAGACAATTTAAAGATATATACAACATTTTGTCTGTACAAAAATTTTTTAAAAAACTAGCCAGGTGTGCTGGTGTGCAACTGTGATCCTAGCTGCTTGAGAGACTGAAGCAGGAAGATCACTTGAACCCAGGCGGTTGAGCCTGCAATGAGTGGTGATTGCAGCAATGTGTTCCAATCTGGGCAGCAGAGTGAGACCCCATTTCAAAAACATAAAAATGTAGATAGATAGATAAAATTTTGTAAACACGTGGTGCGGTTTTGCATTTTTATCAATCTTGACAATCTCTTCTTTTAATTGGAATCTTTGGACAACTTAAGGTGACAATTGATATGCTTGGGTTAAAATACATTATTTTGCTATTTGTTTTTTGTTTGTCCATTTGGTCATATGCCCTTTTTTCTCTTTTCCTACCTTTAAAGTGAGGTTTTTTTAATTCCATCTTTATCTCCTTTATTGGCTTGGTAGTTTTGTTCTTTTTTAGTGGTTGCTTTAACATAGTACAGACAGGGTCTCACTGTGTTGCACAGGCAGATCTCAAACTCCTGGGGTCAAGTGACCCTCCTGCCTTGGTCTCTCAAAATGCTGGGATTACAGGCGTGAGCCACAGCACCTAGCCAAGAAACCTATTTTAAGTATAAAGATACAGACAGGTTAAAAGTGAAAGGATGGCAATAATAT
Source organism: Homo sapiens (assembly GCF_000001405.40). NCBI lineage: Eukaryota > Metazoa > Chordata > Mammalia > Primates > Hominidae > Homo > Homo sapiens. The sequence continues at coordinate 179,680,619 of NC_000001.11, read as the reverse complement.
GCCCTGCAAATGCAAATCAAAAGAAATTTGGAGTGTCTTTATTCATATCAACTAAATAGATTTCAAAGCAAAGAATATTATGAAGGATAAAGAGTAAATTAATAATGATAAATGGATTGATTCATCCAGAGAGCATAACAACCCTAATTAACAGAGCTTCAAAGTTCTTGAAGCAAAACCTGTTCAAACTGAAAAAAGAAAAAGACAAATCAACAACTATATTAGAGTTCAACAATTATCCCTCAATAATTGATTGAAAAATTAGAAAACTAGTAAGGATACAGACGATTCAAACAACACTATTCATCACCTTGACTTGATATTATGAAATACTTTGCCTATCATCAGACTATATACATCGTTCTAAAGTACAGGTAAAGCATTTACAAAAATAGAGCATACTGTAGGCTATAAAAGTGTCAAAAATGTTAAAGAATTAAAATTTATGTTACTTGATCACAATAAATTAAATTAGAAATAAACAATAGAAAGACATCTGGAAAACCCCCAAGTATGTGGAAATTAAACAACATAATTCTAGATAACCAATAGGTCAAGAAGAAAATTCACAAGGGAAATTATATTTTGAAATGAATGAAAATGAAAATGCAACATATCAAAATTCATGGAATGCAGCAAAAGCAGGGTTTAGAGGGAAAATTGTATCACTAAACATATATTTAGGAAAAACTGTAAAATGAATGATCTAAGGTTTCAATTTGAAAAACTAGAAAAAGAGAAAAATTAAGCCCAAAGTAATCAAATGGAAGGGAAAAGAAAGAACATAAATCAATAAAATAGAACACAGATAAACAGGAAAATCAATGGAACCAAAAATCTGGTTATTTGAGAAGCTCAATAAAATTGATAAACCTCTAGATCGGGGGGAAAAACCTCTAGATGGGGGGAAAAAGATGGCACAAATTACTAATATCTACAGATATTAAAATAAGGGAATAATATGAAAATTTATGTTAATAAATTTTACAGTTTAGATGAAATGGATAAATTCCTTGAAAGACAAAACTACCAAAGTTTACTTGAGAAGAAATTGATCATCAATAACCTTGTATCTATTAAAGACATTAGCTTAAAATACCTTCCTTCAAAGAAAACTCTAGGTCCAGAGGTCCTCATTATTGAATTCTACCAAACATTTAAGGAAGAAATAATATCAATTCCACACAAATTCTTCCAGACAATATTAATAGAAGAGGAGGAAACACTTCCCAACTTATTTTATGACAGCATCATTATCTGGATACCAAAACCAGACAAAGACATTATAAAAAAAGAAAACTATAGACAAATATCCCTCATGAACATGGCCATAAAAATCCTTAACAATATTTTAACAAATAGAGTCTAACATTCTATAAAATGGATAGTATATCATGACCACGAGGGCATTATCCCAGGAATGTAAGGTTGGTTTAATATTTGAAAATCGATATAATTCACCATCCCATAAACAGTCAATTAAAACAAGCAACAGCATAACCATCTCAATAGACGCAGAATAAGCATTTGATAAGATTCAACACCGATTCATAATAAAAACTATCAGAAATCTAGGAATAAATTGGAACTTTCTTAGCCTACCAACAGCATCTACAAAAAGGCTACAGCTAACATTACACTTTATTTGTAATAAGATAAAATGCTTCCTATAAGATCAACAACAATGCAAGGATGTCACTCTGGCCTCTCCTATTCAACTCTATAATGGAAGTCCTAACCAGTACAAGGAAAAGGAAAAATGGCAAACAATTTCACAAGTAGTAAACTGATTTTTTTCCCCCACATATGAAATGTCTATACAGAAAATCCCAAAAGAGCTATTAGAACAAATGAGTTTAGCAAGGTCACGGAATATATGAAAACCAACTATATTTCTATATACCAGTAATAAAAAAAATTGAATTTAAAATGCCATTTATTCAACAGTATAAAAATATTACTTAGGGATAAATTTAACAAAAGATGAAAAACACCTATGCACCTGAAAACTACAAAATATCATTGCTAGAAATTAAAGAAGAATAAATGTTTAAATATAGTCGATTAAGATGGCGGATAGGAGGCAGGACTACTCTATAGCTCCTGCCTGGACGGACAAAGTGGCATGTGGAGACTCACATCATGAACTTATGTTCCTGTGGTAGTTCTTGGAGCAAATAGGGAAAGCTGAGAGGATCCACAGACCCTTTGAAGAAACTGGATCACCCCTGAAGTTTCCCTGAGATGCTGAAAAACTGTGAGTCTGCTTGCTTTCTCAACGGGGAGGCTCATGGTCTGGGGCAAATTCTCAGCCCTGGTCACCAGCTGCCTAGAAATAGACTCGGTGCTGTTGAGGGAGCCACGGTGGGAGTGAGACTAGCCTTTAGAACTGCAAGCTACCCTGGGAGCGGAGTGAGGCCCGTGACTGCCGGCTTTCCCCCACTTCCCTGGCAACCTGTATGACTCAGCAGAGGCAGCCATAATCCCCCTGGGGGTGTAATTCCACTGGACTGGGAACCACACCCCCACCCCCATAGCAGCCGCAGCAAGCCCTTCCCAAGGAGGGGCTAAGCTCAGACACACCTGTCCCTGCCCCCACCTGGTTGGTGATCTTTCTCTACCTGTCTTGGTAGCCAAAGACAAAGGTCATAATCTCTTGGGAGCTCTATGGCCCTGCTCACTGCCTGAGAAACCTGAGTACTTAACCAGGTATGCCTAGGGCAAGTTTGCATCCTCCCTATAGGGCCACAGCTGATGTACTTTTGAAAGCACCACCTCCTGGCTGGAGGTCAACCAACACAAAGCCAGTGTACTAAACAAAAACACAACCAAGGACCCTCAAAGAGTCCACTTCACTTCCCTGCTACCTCCACCAGAGCAGGTGCTGGTATCTATGGCTGCAAGACCTGAAGATGGATCACATCACAAGACTCTTTGCAGACTCTCCCCAGTACCAGCCCAGAGCCCAGTAGCTCCACTTACTGGCTAAACCCAGAAGAGCAAAAACAATCACCACAGTTCAGTTCTCAGGAAGCCCCAATCCTAGGGGAAAGAAGAGAACACCACATCAAGGGAGCATCCCGTGGGACAAAAGAATCTGAACAGCAGCCCTTGAATCCCAGATCTCCCCTCTTATATACTCTACTCAAATAAGAAGGAACCAGAAAAATCATTCTGGTAATATGACAAAATAAGGTTCTTTAACACCCCTAAAAGATCACACCAGCTCACCAGCAATGGATTCAAACCAAGATGAAATCTCTGAATTGCCAGAAAAAGATTTCAGAAGGTTGATTATCAAGCTAATCAAGGAGGCACCAGAGAAAGGTGAAGTCCAGCTTAAAGAAATCAAAAACATGATACAGGATATGAAAGAAAAATTCTTCAGTGAAATAGAAAGCATTAATAAAAAACAATCACAACTTCTGGAAATCAAGGACACACTTAGAGAAATGCAAAATGCACTGGAAAGGCTCAGCAATAGAATCGAACAAGCAGAAGAAAGAACTTCAGAGCTCAAAGACAAGGCTTTTGAATTAACCTGATCCATCAAACACAAAGAAAAAATAATTTAAAAAAATGAACAACGCCTCCAAGAAGTTTGGGACTAGGTTAAACATCCAAACCTAAGAATAGCTGGTGTTCCTGAAGAAGAAGAGAAATCTAAAAGTATGGAAAACATATTTGAGGGAATAATCAAGGAAAACTTCCCTGGTCTTGCTAGAGATCTAGATATCCAAATACAAGCAGCTCAAAGAACACCTGGGAAATTCATTGCAAAAAGATAACTGCCTAGGCATACAGTCATCAAGTTATTTAAAGTCAAGACCAAGGAAAGACTCTTAAGAGCTGTGAGGCAAAAGCATCAGGTAACCTACAAAGGAAAATCTATCAGATTAACAGCAGATTTCTCAGCAGAAATCTATAAGCTAGAAGGGACTGGGGTCCTATTTCTAGCCTCCTTAAACAAAACAATTATTAGCCAAGAATTTTGTAGCCAGCAAAACTAAGCTTCATAAATGAAGGAAAGATAGTCTTTTCCAAACAAACAAATGCTGAGAGACTTCGCCACTACCAAGACAGCACAGGAACTGCTAAAGGAGCACTAAATCTTGAAACACATCCTCAAAATACACCAAAATAGAACTTCCTTTAAAGCATAAATCTCACAGGACCTACGTAACAATAACACAATGAAAAAAACAAGGTATTCAGGCAACAAATAGCATGATGAATAGAATAGTACCTCACATCTCAATACTAACATTGAATGTAAATGGCCTCAATGCTCCACTTAAAAGATACAGAACTGCAGAATGGATAAGAATTCACCAACCAAGTTTCTGCTGCCTTCAGGAGACTTGCCTAACACATAAGGACTCACAGAAACTTAAGGTAAAGAGATGGAAAAAGATATTCCATGCAAATGAACACCAAAAGCTAGCAGGAGTAGCTATTCTTATATCAGACAAAATAAACTTTAAAGCAGCTGCAGTTAAAAAAGACAAAGAGGGACATTATATAATGATAAAAGGACTAGTCCAACAGGAAAACATAGCAATTCTAAATATACATGCACCTAACACTGGAGCTCCCAAATTTATAAAACAATTACTACTAGACCTAAGAAATGAGATATCGACGGCAACACAATAGCAGTGGGGGACTTTAATACTCGACTGACAGCACTAGACAGAAAGTCAACAAAGAAACAGTGGACTTAAACTATACCCTACAACAAATGGATTTAACAGATATTTATAGAACATTCTACCCCACAAAATGCAGAATATATATTCTATTCATCAACACATGGAACATTCTCTTAGACCACATGATAGGCCACAAAACAAGCCTCAGTAAATTTAAGGAAATTGAAGTTATATCAAGTACTCTCTCAGACCATAGTAGAATAAAATTGGGTATCAACTCCAAGAGGAACACTCAAAACCATGCAAATAGATGGAAATTAAATAACCTGCTCCTGAATGATCATTGGGTCAACAATGAAATCTAGATGGGGATTTAAAAATTCTTTGAGGGCCGGGCGCGGTGGCTCACGCCTGTAATCCCAGCACTTTGGGAGGCCGAGGCGGGCGGATCACGAGGTCAGGAGATCGAGACCATCCTGGCTAACACGGTGAAACCCCGTCTCTACTAAAAATACAAAAAATTAGCCGGGCGTGGTGGTGGGCGCCTGTAATCCCAGCTACTCGGGAGGCTGAGGCAGGAGAATGGCATGAACCCAAGAGGCGGAGCTTGCAGTGAGCCGGGATAGCGCCACTGCAGTCCAGCTTGGGCGAAAGAGTGAGACTCCGTCTCAAAAAAAAAAAAAAAAAAAAAAAATAATAATAATAATAATAAAAATTCTTTGAACTGAATGATACAATCTATCAAAACCTCTGGAATACAGCAGAAGTGGTGCTTAGAGGAAAGTTCATAGCATTAAATGCCTATATCAAAAAGTCTATAAGAGCACAAATAAACAATCTAAGGTTATACCTCACAGAATTGGAGAAACAATGACAATCCAAACCCAAACTCAGCAGAAGAAAGGAAATAACCAGGATCAGAGGAGAACTAAATGAAATTGAAACAATAAAAGGTACAAAAGATAAGTGAAACAAAAAGTTGGTTCTTTGAAAAGATAAAAATTGAAAGACCATTAGTGAGATTAACTAAGAAAAGAAGAGAGAGGATCCAAATAAACTCAATTAGAAATGAAATGGGAGATGTTACAACTGATACCACAGAAACACAAAAGATTATTCAAGGCTACTTTTAACACCTTTACAAACGTAAACTAGAAAACCTAGAAGAGATGGATAAATTTCTGGAAATATACAACTGTCCTAGATTAAACCAGGATGATACAGAATCTCTGATCAGACCAATAACAAGCAGTGAGATTGAAATGGTAATAAAAAAAACTGTCAACAAAAAAAGTCCAGGACCAGATGGATTCACAGCTGAATTCTATCACACATTTAAAGAAGAATTGGTACCAATCCTATTGACAGTATTCCAAAAGATAAAGAGGAAATCCTCTCTAAATCATTCTGTGAAGCCAGTATCACCCTAATACCAAAACCGGGAAAGGACATAACAACAACAAAAAAAAACTACAGACCAATATCCCTGATGAACACAGATGCAAAAATCCTCAACAAAATACTAGTGAACTGAATCCAGTAACATACTGAAAAGATAATCCACCATGGTCAGAGGGGTTTCATACCAGGGATGCAGGGATGGTTTAACATAAGTCAATAAATGTGATACACCACATAAATAGAATTAAAAACAAAAATCACTTGATCACCTCAATAGATGCAGAAAAAGCATTTGACAAAATCCAGCATCCCTTTATGATTAAACCCTCAGCAAAATCGGCATATAGGGACATACCTTAAGGTAATAAAATCCATCTATGACAAACTCACAGCCAACATTACACTGAATGGGGAAAAGTTGAAAGCATTCCCCCTGAGAAATGGAACAGACAAGGATGCCCACTTTCACCACTTCTATTCAACATGGTACTGGAAGTCCTAGCCAGAGCAATCAGACAAGAGAAAGAAATAAAGGGCACCCAAATCGGTAAAGAGGAAGTCAAACTGTCACTGTTTGCTGATATGATTGTATACCTAGAAAACCCTAACGACTCATCCAAAAAGCTCCTAGAACTGGTAAATGAATTCAGCAAAGTTTCAGGATACAAAATTAATGTACACAATCAGTAGCTCTGCTATACATCAACAGTGACCAAGCTGAGAATCAAATCAAGAACTTGTGAAAGGAAAATATCTTGCACCCCCAAAATCACTAAGGAAAACTCAAGCTGGAAACTGCTTAGGGCAAACCTGCCTCCCATTCTACTCAAAGTCACTCCTCTGCCCACTGAGATAGATGCATATCTGATTTGCCTCCTTTGGAAAGGCTAATCAGAAACTCAAAAGAATGTAACCATTTGTGAATCACCCATCTGTGACCTGGAAGCTCCCTCCCTGCTTCTTGCCTTTGCTTCAAGTTGTTCCATCTTCCAGACCGAACCAATGCACTTCTTACATATATTGATTGATGTCTCATGTCTCCCTAAATGTATAAAACCAAGCTGTGCCCTGACCACCTTGGGCACATGTCATCAGGACTTCTTGAGGCTCTGTCACAGGCACATCCTCAACCTTGGCAAAATAAATTTTCTAAATTAACTGAGACCTGTCTCAGATTTTCTGAGTTCACAAACTCAACCCCTTTCACAATAGCTGCAATAAAAATAGAATACTTAGGAATATAGCTAACCAAGACGTGAAAGACTTCTATATGGAGAAAAACAAAACACTGCTGAAAGAAATCATAGATGACACAAACAAATGGAAACACATCTCATGCTCGTGGATGGGTAGAATCAATATTGTGAAAATGATCATACTGCCAAAAGCAATCCACAAATTCAGATCAATTCCCATCAAAATACTACCATCATTCATCACAGAACTAGAAAAAACAATCTTAAAATTCATATGGAACCAAAAAAGAGCCCACATAGCCAAAACAAGACTAAGCAAAAAGAACAAATCTGGAGACATCACATTACCTGACTTCAAACTATACTATAAGGCCATAGTTACCAAAACAGCATGGTACCGGCATAAAGATAGGCACATAGACCAATGGAACAGAATAGGGAACCCAAAAACAAAGCCAAATACTTACAGCCAACTGATTTTTGACAAAGCAAACAAAAACATAAAGTGGGGAAAGGACACCCTATTCAACAAATGGTGCTAGGATAATTGGCAAGCCACATGTAGAAAAATGAAATTAGATCCTCATCTCTCACCCTATATAAAAATCAACTCAAGATGGATCAAAGACTTAAATCTAAGACCTGAAACCTTAAAAATTCTAGAGTATAACATTGGAAAAACCCTTCTAGACATTGGCTTAGGCAAATAATTCATGATCAAGAACCCAGAAGCAAATTCAACAAAAACAAACATAAATAAATGGGACTTAATTAAACTAAAAAGCTTCTGTACAGCAAAAGAAATAATCAGCAGAGTTAACAAGACAACCCACAGAATGGGAGAAAATCTTCACAATCTATACATCCAACAAAGGACTAATATCCAAAAATCTACAAAGAACTCAGCAAGAAAAAATGAAACAATCCCAAAGGACTTGAATAGACAATTCCCAAAAGAAGATATACAAATGGTCAACAAGCATATGGAAAAATGCTCAACATCACTAATTATCAGGGAAATGCAAATTAAAACCACAATGTGATACCACCTCACTTCTGCAAGAATACCCATAATCAAAAAAATAAAAAAATAATAGATGTTGGCATGCATGCGGTGGAAAGGGAATGCTTTTATGCTATTGGTAAGAATATAAACTATTACAACCACTATGGAAAACAGTGTGGAGATTCCTTAAAGAGCTAAGATCTACCATTTGATCCAGCAATCCCACTACTAGGTATCTACCTAGAGGAAAAGAAGTCATTATACGAAAAAGATACTTGCACACACATTTATAGCAGCACAATTTGTAATGGTAAAAACATGGAACCAGCTCAAATGCCCATCAATCAATGAGTGGATAAAGAAAATGTGATACACACACACACACACACACACACACACACACACACACACACACCATGGAATATTTCTCAGCCATAAAAAGGAACGAAATAATGGCATATGCAGCAACCTGGATGGAATTCGAGACTATTATTCTAAGTGAAGTAATTCAGGAATGGAAAACCAAATATCGTATGTTCTCAGTCATAGGTGGGAGCTAAGCTATGAGGACGCAAAGGCATAAAAATGATACATTGGACTTTGGGGACTCAAGAGAAAGGGTGGGGGGTTTCGAGGGATAAAAAACTACACATTGGGTACAGTGTATACACTCAGGTGATGAGTGCACCGAAATCTCAGAAATCATCACTAAAGAACTTTCAAGTAACCAAACACCACCTGTTCCCCAAAAACCTATTGAAGTAAATTTTTTAAATTTTAAAAATCATATAATTTGTCCTAGGTTTTTACAAAATATTTTATGAAAATTATACATAAGAAGTACAGTATAACTGAACAACTTACATTCTAATGAAAACTTTGTTGCAAAACAAAAAATGTAGTATGTGGATAGACTTAATATTGTTAAGATGAGAATTCTCCTCAAATTGATCTACAAACTTAAATTTAAAAAATCAGATCAAAATCTTAGCAGGCTTTGTGCAGATACTGACAAGCTAATTCTAAAATTTATGTGAAAATCAAAGGACCTATAATAGCAAAACAACTTGAGAAAAAGAAAGTTGGAGGACTAACATTATGTGATTTCAAGACTTATTATAAAGCCATGGTAATTAAGATAGTAGTACAAAAACAGACATATAGACCAAGAGGACAAAATGGAAATTTTAGAAACAGATCCTCACAAATACAGCCTATTGACTTTTGGCAAAGGTGTCAAGGCAATTTACTGGAGATAGTCTTTTCAACAAATGGTGCTGGAACAAATGGACATTCAGATGCAAACAAAATAAACATTGATCCTCACATCATACCCTATACAAATATTAACTTGAATTGGATCTCAGACTTAAAACTACAAAAATTTTATAAGAAAATGTAGGAGAAAATCTTAGTTATTTGAGTTAAAGATTTCTAAACAAGATACACAAAGCTCAAATTGTAAAGAGAAAAAAATCAATAAACTGGACTTGAAAACTTTTGCTCTTCCAAAGATACTAAAAGGCAAGCCACAGACTGGAGGAATATTTATACCTGACAAAGAATGTGTATACAGAACAAAGAACTTCTACAGGTAGGTAAGAAGATAACCCAATTTAAAAAGTAAATAAATACTTGAACAGGCACTTAGCTAAAGAAGATATATGAATGGCAAATAAGCACACAAAAAAGATGGTGAACATTGTGGTAAACAGGAAAATGCAAATTAAAACTACAATAATATACCACTACATACCCAACAGACTGGCAAAATTTAAAAAGATCGACAATAACATCTACTGGCAAGGATGTGGAGTGCTTGGAACTTTTATTCCTTGCTGGTGGGACTGCAAATTGGTGCAATCACTTTAGAAAATTTTGGCAGTTTCTAAAAAGTTAAACATGCAGTTACTGTATGACCTAGCAAATCGACTCCTATGTGTGTGTACATATATAATTTTTTTTTTTTTTTTGAGACGGAGTCTCACTCTGTCACCCAGGCTGGAGTGTAGTGGCACGATCTCGGCTCACTGCAACCTCTGCCGCCTGGGTTCAAGCAATTCTCCTGCCTCAGCCTCCCCCAAGTAGCTGGGATTACAGGCTCCTGACACTGTGTCTGGCTAATTTTTGTATTTTTAGTACAGATGGGGTTTCATCATCTTGGCCAGGCTGGTCTTGAACTCCTGACCTCGTGATCCACCCACCTCAGCCTCCCAAAGTGCTGGGATTACAGGCGTGAGCCATCGTGCCCAGCCTCTTATGTATATCTTTAATAGAAATAAAAACATACGTCTACAGAAAGAGCTATGTGCAAATGTTCATAGCAGCTTTATTCATAATGGTCAAATTCTGGAAACAACATAGGTGTCCATTAACTGGTAAACAGGTAAATTGTGGTATATCCATGTAACTGAATACTATTCAGCAAATAAATAGGAGCAACTTTTTGATACTGGCACAACATAAACGAAACTCTAAAATATTACCATAAGTGAAAGAAGCCAGCCAGACATAAAAACTACACATAATTCCATTTATATGAAATTCTAGAAAAGGGAAAGTGACATGCCAGAGGCAAGTAGGCAATGGGACTGACTGCAAAGGGGCACAAGGAAACTTTTCAGGCTGATGGAAATGTTATCATGATTATGGCTGTGATGACGAGACTATCAATTTGTCGAAACTCAAAGAACTATACACTTGACAACCAGCAAATTTTACTCTATATAAATGGGACGCCCCACCCCTCCGGCAAAAAAACAAAAGTGCAGAAAAAAAGAAGAGTGGCAAAGTTAAAGGAACAATTGAGCCCAAACATAAAACAAGGACTTAACACAAATGCTAACGTCAGTAATGTTTCAAGGTATATTTTGCAAGGGATAAATGAAGGTTTGTTTTAGCAACATGGCAAACCATCATGTTTGTCAACTGTGAGCATGCACAAGTACACACAAACATACCAGAACCAGAGGGCTTTTCTGCGGAATCATCCACTGCAGTTGTTGAACAGGGTGCTGCTGTGGAAAGCTGAATTTGCTTTGGCTGAGTCTGACTGTTGTTGGGTTCAGACTGGCTCCCGTCTGCTGACTGCTCTGACTGGGTAAGAGAGGTACAGAATTCTTCCAATTTGGGCAGTGTGGAAGAATCTGAAGAACCATTTATGTCTAGTTGCTGCAGAATGGGAAAAATGGGGCAAAAACATGAAAAGTGTTAGTATAAGAATAATTAAGCCCTATTTCCTTACTTATAAGCAAAATACAAATATTTCCATATTATAATAAATAAATAAAACTACTCACTTTCAAGAACCTAGATACTCTCAGCCGGGCGCGGTGGCTCACGCCTGTAATCCTAGCACTTTGGGAGGCCGAGGCGGGCGGATCACGAGGTCAGGAGATCGAGACCATCCTGGCCAACATGGTGAAACCCCGTCTCTACTAAAAACACAAAAAAAATTAGCTGGGCGTGGTGGCAGGCGCCTGTAGTCCCAGCTACTCAGGAAGCTGAGGCAGGAGAATGGCGTGAACCTGGGAGGCGCAGGTTGCAGTGAGCCGAGGTTGCGCCACCGCACTCCAGCCTGGGCGACAGAGCGAGACTCCATCACAAAAAAAAAAAAAAAAAAAGAACCTAGATACTCTCTAGAAAAAGCAAGTCCTTCTCTATCCTAATGAACATAAATTCAATTCAAGAAACATTTATGGAACACATCCCATAAGCAAACAGGGCACTGAGTGCTACCATACACAGGCTGGGAAAGAGGGGCAGGGCACGAGAGAAGTGATGTTCACTGAGCACCCCGTGTCGGGCACAGTGCTAGGTTATCTGCATGTGTTTCTTCATTTGAACATCAGAACAGGTGTCCTAGGTAGGTGATACTACGTCTTCTTTCACTTAGCATAATGCTTTTACAGAGTGGTTAAGTTATCCAATGTCCATCAGTAAATGGCAGGGTGCAGATTTGAACTTAAGCCAGTCTATGTTCTCTGTGCTCTACCACACCACCTCCCAGTCAGACAGGATCCCTGTCCCTAAGGGGCACTCAGTCCTCAGTCAGGGAAACTGTGTGTGTGCAGCTAGCCATGAAAGGAGGCAAGAGCTGCATGCTCCTCAGAAGGGACAAAAAGGCCAGGGTTTGAGAGAAAAAGATGAACTTCCAAACTGAGATTGAACTTGAGCTTAAATGAAGGGAGTGCCAAATTTTAACCATTATGAATTAGACCCCATTTCCTACCATATAGTCATTGCTGAAGTAAGTGTACTCTATGGTCATTTAATAGCATTGATCTTTGGTGATGTCAACTGGCATTAACATGAGTAAAGAGGACCCCATCAGACCAAGCTGTAACAAGCTGAACTAAGTGGTTTATCGTCTGGGATCTGCCTAGAGCAAACTGAAACAATAATTGTACAAACAGATGTAGGCTTGTTTTTCTGGCTCATATGCATCACACATTTAATATCAGCAAATGTTCCTTCTGTGGCAAAAATCTATAGCTGCTCACTTTCAAAGATGGCTGGCATGAATGTGGCTTATATAATTATATAATATATAAATGCCTGTGTGTATAACCTTTCTTGGTTGCAAAAAAGAAATTCTAAAACTCCAGATAGCTATACTGGGCCATACAAGATGTTATTTCAGGAAACCAAAGACCTGGACTCAAATTTTTGCATAGTTTATGCAATTCACATGTATACTTGAACTACCTTTTAAGTTTATCTTCACTTAAAATGAGGCTGAGAATGAGTGAATTCTTTCAATAAGCTGCAATAATAAGTAAATCAATATTAATATCATAAATTTTTTAAGCTGGGGAGATTACTAGTTCAAATCAGTCTTCACAGGTGGACAAGCTCAGGGCACAAAAGGTAACTTGTTTAAACTTGCTAGTCAGTGGTAAAGACTAGGCCCTAGATTATAGCACTCACAGACCAGTGCTTTTTACATTATGCCCTACTGCCTATGTTTAGCTGTTTAATAGATAATATACAGAAACATTTTTAAAAAGCTATATCTTCTTTCTTGACAAATATGATTTAAGAAAGATGCACTGTTGACACATATTTAAATGCATCCTGATAGCTTTCACTCTGAATTTCACTTTAAATTTGTATCACATCTGAAAGCAAGTATGTGTAGTAAATTTAAGCAATTAGTTGAAAATAAGTCTTCCCCTTCTAACAGTAACCTAGAGCCTTACTACTCAAAAGTGGTGTTCACTCATCAGCAGCATCAGCATTAGTTGGAAGCTTGCTAGACATGAAGAGCTTTGGTCCCTACCCCAGATATGCTGGATAAGAATCTGCATTTTAACAAGATTCCCAGGTGACCTGTATACACATTATAGTTTGAGAAGCACTGCTCTACCAGATTTATTCTTCTGTAGTTATAAATGACTGACTCCCTCACAGTTGTTTGGAAATACACCAAGATGGAACTACAGGTTAGTCTCAACAAACATGTTCATGATTTATGAAACATGAACAAATGCCCCAAATCACTTCACATCCACTAGAATGGCTATAATAAAAAAGACATGATTACAATTGTTGGCAAGAACAGCAAATGTTGACATGGACAAACTGGAGTACTCTTAAATTGTTGGTAGGAATGTAAAATGGCACCACTGCTCTGGAAAATATCCTGGTAGTTCCTCAAAATGTTAAACATAGGGTTGCCATATGCTTATCTAGTTACATACTAAGATAAATGAAAACATGGGAAGGAGTAAGAAAACGGCATAGGGCAGAACTCTGGGAGACACCACAGGGAGCAAGCCTACAAATTACGTCGGGAGGTAGGAGGAAAAAAGATCATGGCATCACAAAACCCAAAGGAAGATTATGTTTCAAGAAGGAACACAAGATTACTTTCAAATATTGCTGAGCAATCAGGTACTGTAAGGTTAAAACATGCCAACCTAATTTAGCAACATGGGAATAGATGGTGACTTGAAGGATAATCACTGTAGTATTGTTTAAAGTCACATGAAATCTTAAAAATAGATATTCATCAGAACTATTTAAATCAGTGTGGCATATCCATACTCTGCAGGAGTTTAAAGCAATGAGGTAGGTTTGTAAGTATTGAAATGGAAAGGTGCTGAACAGTATGTGTATCATGTTCTCATGTATGTGTTTAGTTTCTAGGAAGGATACACAAGAAACTGCTTATGATGGGAGTTGGATTAGAAGAGGCAAGGATATCTTATTTCCGTAACTTTCAGAACTACTTGAATTTTAAAATCCTGCATATGTAGTACTTTCATAATTTTCAAAAGCAAAACATGTTTGTCTACATAGGGGATGAAAAACAAGTGTGGTAGCTAGAGAGGACTTTGGGATTAAAAAAATTTGGAATGTTTAAATTTTGTTTAGACGGAAGGTACACTAACATGTTTAAATGCTTATGAGAACACTCCAGTAGAAAGAGGCTGAAGATACAGACAGCAGGAGAGGACTGTATCCTAAGCATACTTCCAGTCCCAAGCCTTTTGAATAAGGGATATTCAACCTGCATGGTAAGTACAGGTTGCTTTAGAATAGGAATAGAAAAAGGGGTAGAAAAAGAAAACTTTCTTAAGAAATATACCTTAAGGAGTTCATTATGATACAGTAAAGATTTTACCTTTGTAACTTCTCTTCGTGGGGTATAAATTAATAGTATAAAACTACATGACAGAAAAAGTTTGAGGACTCAGATTTCCTGACTTCAAAACTTATTAAATAGCTAGAGTAATCAAGACAATGTGACGCTGGTATAGGAACAGACACATAGAGAATAGGATTAAGAATCCAGAAATAAACCCTATCTTTATGTCAGCTGATTTTCAATAAGGATGCCAAGACAATTCATGGGGAAAGAATCATCGTTTCAACAACTAGTGCTGGTACAGCTGAATGTCCACATGCAAAAGAATAAAGATGGACTCTATCTCACACCATAACAAATTAACTCAAAATGGATCAAAGGCCTAAATGTAAGAGCTAAAATTATAAAATGCTTAGGTGAAAACACAAGTGTAAATCTTTGTAACTTTTGGTCAGACAATGGCTTATTAGGGGAGACCAAGAGCTCAAGCAACCAAATAAAAAAATCGATTGGATTTTATTAAAAACAAACTTTTGTGCTGCAATGGACACCATTAAGTGAAAAAGAAAAACAGAAGAGTAGAAAATTTGAAAATAATATATCTCATAAGGGACTTGTAATATGATATTTTCTTATATCTGAATAACAAAAGACAACCTACTTTTAAAATGGGCAAAGGATCTGAATATCTTGTCAGAGAAGATAAATCACCAATAAGCACATGAAAAGACACCCAACATCATTAGCCATCAGGGATATGGAAAGAAAACCCTTCATATCCACTAGCATGGCCATAATCAAAAGAACAGGCAATAAGTGTTGGTGAAGATATGGAGAACTGGAACCCTCATACACTGCTGGGGGGTACATAAAATGTTGCAGCCACTTTGAATGACAGTATGCCAATTCCACAAAATGTTAAAAGCAGAATTACCATACGATCCAGAAACTCCACTCCTAGTTATATATCTAAGAAAAACTAAAACATGTTCACAGAAAACCTTGTACTTGAACATTCTTAGCAGCATAATAGCCAAAATGTGAAAGCAGCCCAAATTCCCACCAACTGATGAATGGATAAATAAGATGTGGTATATCATAGAAGGGAATATTATTCAGCCATAGAAAGGAATAAAGTACTGGTTCATACTACAACAAGGATGAATTTTGAAGACATTATTAATGCTAGGTGAAAGAAGACAATCACAGAAAACCACATACTGTGTGCCATTTAACAGACAAATCTGTAGAGACAGAAAGCAGATTAGTAAGTAGCTGCCTAAGGCTGTGAGAGGACAGGGAAGGAGTATGACTGCTAATGGTCATGGGTGGTTTTTTTTGAGAGCGTGATGAAAATATTCTAAAATAGACTGTAGTGATAGCTGCACAGCTGTGTATCCTAAAAACATTGAATTGTGCATTTTAAATAGTGAATTATAATGGTATATCAATTATATTCCAATAAAGCTGTATTTAAAAAAAAAGACAAGAGAAACAAAATATAAAAGCCTACTTTATCCTGAAACTAAATTCATGCATTAAGTAAGCTACATTTCTGGAAGAGACCATTCTATGAAATACAGAATGACTTTATCATTCTCATACAAAAGTAACCACAGTCTGAAGGAAATGTGTCACTTAGAAGGTTCATCTTCCCTAGATCTGCTTTTGAACAAGTCTTCTAGACTTAAGCTCTTTATTTTCAATGTAACACACCAAAGTAAAGAGGCCTGGCAGCCAAATTTCGTGATTCACAGACATTGTCCTGCTGCTTTCAGGATGCTCGTAATATATTCAGGAAACCTGAAACAATTAGATTCTATGCCAGGATTACTGCTTTCTGCCAAAGCAATGTGAATGAAGAAACCAGTCTAGACTATGCGACAAATATAGAGCTTAAAATTATGACTAAGTTACAGGAAAATCCCAATTTTCTGTATCTCTAAGAGAGGTTTAATCATTTTTAAAATTCTAGGCTCAGGATTCTCTTCTGAAGCAATAAGTAATTATGTTTTCATTTTAAAATCAACATATATTTTATGTATATGTATTCTACAACTGCTGAGAGAGGTCATTAACCACAAGTATTCTGGGGTGCAAATCCACTCATAACTCTAGTACAAAGCCCAGAAAGTCAAATTTATCATCAACAGTAACAGCTACAGCAAGCTGTTAAGAGACAGGCAATATCAAAATATGTAAATTGAGACAATTTTGCTTTCTAAAAATGAAAGGACTTCCTTATGCAAACCTGTCCCAATAACCTGCATTAGACATTTACCTTTTGAGTCCTGTTTGTGCCAGTATTTTTTTCCTGAGCACCCAGTACTTCTGGCTTATGAACTTCTACTTTCGTTCCATTTACAAGGCCTGAAGGCTGCCAAGAATCATCCCATGTATCTTTAGGGGTAGAAAAACACCAGTCCTATAATGAAAAAATGGCAACAACAGACTGAGATAAAGTGCAACATGACCCAAAAAGAGGATAACTTGGGCAAGATAAATGCAAGAAAGCAATACATATTTTTAAAAAAGGTATTTATTAACTTTCTATATCAGTTTGACTTTCCTCCTTGCTTTATTGGTCCATACCCAGTATCTTGAACTCTGAACACATGGATCTCAAAAATAAATACAACTCTGTTTGTAGTCTTTCCTTTAATATCTTTTTCATGGCTAGATGATTTTTTTCATGATCACCTAGTACTTAAATAGCACAAACATGAAGGAGCAACATAATTTCAGATACTTATTCTTATAGCCAGTGGAAAATAAATTTCAAATATATATAGTTAGGCCTAATATTAGCAAATATGCTGACTCCAGAAATCCAGGGGTTATATTACAAGGCTAAAGCAACAACAGTAGAATTAGAGAAAATGGTTTCTTTCATTTATTTATAGATCCTAAGGGCCTTGACTAGGGGCCAATGATAAAACAAAAATCACAATGATTAAAAGGGCAGATATGCAAAAATTGGCCTATGGTTTATTGTCCCATGATGAATCCTCTGTCCCACTACATGTCACTGCCATTTTTTAAAATCATGTATTCTTTGAATTATGGCCTGATAAATACTTTTGAATTCCAGAATATATAGCTTTCTTGGACCTAGACAATTAAATTTAAATTTCCTTTTCTCAGTACTGATTTGCTTTCTTTTCCTATTTTTTTTTAGATAGGGTCTTACTCTGTCACCCAAGCTGGTGGAATGTAGTGGCATGATCTTGGCTCACTGCAACCTCCAGCTCCCAGGCTCAAGCACTGATCCTCCTACCTCAACCTTCCAAGTAGCTGGGAGAGCAAGTGCACACCACCACACCTGGCTATTTTTAGTAGAGACAGGGTCTCACCATGTTGCCCAGGCTGGTCATGAACTCCTGAGCTCAACTGATCCACCCACCTTGGCCTCCCAAACTGCTAGGATTACAGGCTTGAGCCGCAGTGCCCGGCCTGATTTGCTTTCTATTTTTCCAAGGATCTAACCTTCTGTGGCATTTCTTTACATGATGAATACTGATTCTTTCCACCAAGGCTTGCAGTAAATAGATGGGAGGCAGCATCACCTCCTTTTCCCATCTTAGCCTGTAGAGGTAACCAGTTCTCATCCCAAATATCATCACCTATGGTCACTGACTCCAGGCATGGCATTCCAGTGGGGATCTCATCCTAAAATGTAACAGAAGACAAAGAAAAACTATCATTTATAGTTCCTATATGAGCACATAAAATTTAGGTTTTATAGTTTTTTCCTGACTCCAGGTAAAGATGACAGTTTGAATTCACAATTTATTAATTTCCCTTCTGAAATGCCACCAAAATAATAAAGAGATTTAGGATATAATCTTTATAGTCAAAGAGAACAGAAGAGGAGAAAGCACCATCTACTTTCTGGGTACAGGAAAGCAGACAAGTGACAACCGATTAAGCAGTCCTGAGAAAGTGGAATCCTGAGCTTGTAGTGAAAAAATTGAGAAGCAACCCAAATCTATACAATATATACCTCAAAAACTCAGAAATTTGTACTAAAAGGTTTTTGGAATTGAGGGGGTAAAATGGGAATGAAAACAAGCACACTGGCTGAAAGTCTGTGTAAGCAGGACTTAGATCTCCAGATACTCTCCCCTATTCCAAGAACTCAGGCAACTACATCTCTTCTATCTGTCAGAAGACCAGAAATATTCTGGAGGGTAAAACTGAGGATGGAGCAATCATAATAAAAAATTATTAAGGAATCAAATGAAAGTTTTTATAATGAATATTGAGATCCCTGGCTGTCTTTTCAATAGCAGAACAGAAATGAAAGAATGCATGAACTTGAAGACAGATCCCTAGAAATGATAAAATCTAAACAAAAGAGAAAAAAAGATTGGGGGGAAAAAAACAAAAAAAACAACCAAACAAAAAACTCAAAACAGAGCCTCAGGGACTGTGGAACAATACCAAAAGATATAACATTTGTGTCATCAGAGTCTCACAAGGAGAACAGAAAGAATATAATGCAGAAAAATAATTTGAAGAAATATGGCTGAAAACATCCAAAATTTGGTGAAAGACATAAATCTACAGATTCAAGAAGTTCACCAAAACCCAAACTGGATAAACCTAAAGAAATCCATGCCCAGACAGGTTCTACTCAAGTTGCTGAAAACTAAAGACAAAGAACTATCTTGAATGTAGCCAAAGAAAAATAACACATTACTTATAAAGGAAGAACAATTTCAATTACTGTGGATTTTGCATCAGAAACCATGAAGGGCAGAAAGGAGAAGAATGAAACTGTTAAAGTGCTAAAAGAGAAGAAATGGGAACCCAGGTTTCTATATACAGCCAAAATATCCTTCAAGAATGAAGTAATAAATATATTCTCAATAAAGAAAACAGAATTCATGGTCAGCATACCTACTCAAAAATAATTGTTAAAGGAAGTTCTTTGGACAGAAAGGAGATATCAGAAGGAAACTTGGAATATCAGAAAAAGAAAGACCAACAGAAATGATAAATATCTGGGTATATATAACAACTATTCTCTTGAACTTTTAAAGAATATTCTTGAAGATGGAAAGCAAAAACTAACATCATAAATTATATGCAGGTGTAATATATAAGACAAGGATGGCATAAAGGAAAAAGGAAGGGGTAAAAAGATCTAAATAGTAGGGTAAGACACTGACATTCCAAAGTGGTAAAATGCTGACTAAGTACATTGTAAAAGTCAAGAATGACAAGTGTAATTCCTAAAGCAACCACTAAAAACACTATACAAATAGATATAATAAAAACACAGTACTTTGGGAAGTCAAGGTGGGCGGATCATGAGGTCAGGAGATTGAGACCATCCTGGATAACACGGTGAAACCCCGTCTCTACTGAAAATAAAAAAAAATTAGCCAGGTGTGCTGGTGGGTGCCTGGAGTCCCAGCTACTCGGGAGGCTGAGGCAGGAGAATGGCGTGAACCTGAGAGGCAGAGCTTGCAGTGAGCCGAGATTGTGCCACTGCACTCCAGCCTGGGCAACAGAGCAAGACTCTGTCTCAAAAAAAAAAAAAAAAAAAAAAAAAACCATAGTAGATAAAATGGAATACTAAAAAATGTTCAAATAACCTAAGAGAAGGCAAGAAAGAGGAGGCAGATGAATGAAAATCAGGGGAACAAACAGAAAAATAAAATGGCAGATCTAAAATAAAAACATATATATAATCACATTAAACATAAATAGTCCAAACCATACTAATTAAAATTCAGATTGTCAGAGTGGATTAAAAAATAATCAAACAAGGCTGAGCACAGTGGCTCATGCCTGTAATCCCAGCACTTTGGGAGGCCAAGGTGGGCAGATCATCTGAGGTCGGGAGTTCAAGACCAGCCTGACCAACATGGAGAAATCCCATCTCTATTAAAAATACAAAATTAGCCGGGCATGGGGCGCACACCTGTAATCCCAGCTACTCAGGAGGCTGAGGCAGGAGAATTGCTTGAACCCAAGAGGTGGAGGTTGTGGTGAGCTGAGATCATGCCATTGCACTCCAGCCTGGGAAACAAGAGCAAAACTCCGTCTCAAAAAAATAAATTAAATAAATAAATAAATAATCAAACTATATGCTGTCTCAAGAAACTTACTTCAAATATAATGACACAGGTAGGTTAGAAGGATGGAAAAAAATATACCAGGCAAGCGCGCGCACACACACACACACACACACACACACACACACACACACACGAAAACTGGAATGGCTATACTGATATCAGTGCATTATGTACACTTCAGTGCAAAAAAAGTAATTGTGAATAAAGACATTTCATAATGATAAAAGGGTCAATTCACCAAGACATGTAAGAATCCTAAATGGATAACACCTAACAATAGAGCTTCAAAATGCACAACAGAAAAACTGACAGAATGAAAGGAGAAATAGACAAAATCCAAGATTACAGTTACAGACTTCAGTGTTCTTCTCAGTAATCAACAAAATCGGTAGATAGCAAGGATCAGAAGAACTGAACAATACCACTAATCAATTGGATCTGACATTTATAGAAACTCCACCAAACAACAGAATACATGTTTTTTTCAAAGACACATGGACATTTACCAAGCTAGACCACATCCTGTGTTGACAAAACAAACCTTAACAAATTTAAAGAACTGAAATCATACTGTGTTCTAAGACCATACTATACTGGAAAGACGTAACAGGAAGTTAACATGAAAATTTCCAAACACTTGGAAATTAAACAACACACTTCCAAATAATTCATGGGTGAAAGATAATATCTCAAAATAAACTATAAAATATTTGAACTGAATGAAAATGAAAATACAATATGTTCAAATTTGTGAAATGCAGCTAAAGTGATATGTAGAGACTCATAGCATCAATGCTTATATTAGAAAAGAAAGGTCTCAAATCAATAAAGTAAACTTCCATCTTAAAGAAATAGAAAAAGAAAGCAAAAATAAACCCAAAGAAAATAAAAGAAAGAAATCAACGAACTTGAAAACAGAAAGACAAGAGATAAAACCAGTGACACCAAAAGCTTATTCTCTAGGAATGGGAAGTTCAATAAAATGGATAAATCTCTAGTAAGACTAATGAAAAGGGGAGAAGACAAACTGCCAATATCAGAAATGTAATAGGAGATTATCATTGCAGACCCTGCAGATAACAAAAGGATAATAAGGGAATACTATAAACAATGTTATACATATAGTTGACAACTTAGATGAAGTGAACCAATTCCTCATTTGATAACTTAAATGAGTCACTTCCTCAAAAACCACAAAATACCAAGACTAAGATAAAATAGCTGATTTGAATAATCTTATATCTACTAAAGCAATTGATTTTATAATTTAAATTCTTCTGGAAAAAAGTCTCCAGGCCCAGATAGTTTTATAAGGTAATATCAAACATTTTAAAAATTAACTTCTCTCCCTGAAAAATAACCTGATTTTATGTAACCTTTTCCAGAAAATAGATGAGCGAATACTTCCAACTCATTTTATTAGGACAGTATCAACCTGTACAAAGTGTACATCAATAAACAAATAAAGAAAACGTGGTATATATACACAATGTAACAATATTCAACCTTTAAAAAGAAGGAAATCTTGTAATTTGTGACAAAATGGATGAACCAGGAGGACATTATGTTACATGAAAGAAGCCAGATACAGAAAGAGGAATAACACATGATCTCACTTACATGTGGAATCTAAAAAAGCAGAGTGAAATAGTAGTTACCAGAGGCTAGGAGGTGGAGGGATTGGGCAGATGTTGGTCAAAGGACACAAAATTTCAGTAGACAGGAGGAGTAAGTTCAAGAGATCTGCTATACATCTTGGTAACTACAGTTAATAGTGACATATTGTATACTTAAAAATTGCCAGGAGAGTAGATTTTAAGTGTTTTCACCACAAAAAAATAACAAATATGTGAGGTAATGCATATGCTAAATAGCTTGACTTATACATGCTACAGTGTATACATATATTGAAACATGTTGTACACCATATATGCAATTTTACTTAATTAAAAAAACTAAGAAAATAAAGATCCACACAAACAACAAAAATAAATAAAAAGGAAATACAATTCTACATAATCTTTCCCAGAAAACAGCAAAGCGGGCAATATATTCAGATTTATTTTATGAGGCCAGGATTATCCAGTATAAAAACCAAAGACAATACAAGAAAACTACAGACCAATATCTCATGAAAACAGATATCCATTTGCATGTACTAACGCAGACAACATTACTGATACAGAAAATCACAAAAGAAACCAACAAAACACCCCCTAGAATGGATAAGTGAAGTTAGGTAGTTCAAAAAAACACCAATTTCTATATACTAGCAATTAAAATACAAAAACTGGGGAAAACATTTATAATAGCTCTCAAAATAAGTGAAATACTTAGGTATAAAATTAACAGAACATGTACAGATCCTGTATACTGAAAATTATAACACTGTTGAAGAAATAAAAGAAAACCTAAATAAATGGGGAGATACACCATGTTCATGGACTAAAGCATCAACTTTCCTCAAAATTATCTATATATATAACACAACTCCAATCAAAATCTCAGGTATAGATAAGCTGATTCTAAAATTTACAAGGAAAGAAAAAGGAACCAAAATATTAAAAACAATTTTGAAAAAGTATAAAATAGGAGGAATCATACTACCTGATTTTTTCTTTTTCTTGAGACAGAGTTTTGCTCTTGTCGTCCAGGCTGGAGTGCAATGGTGTGATCCCAGCTCACTGCAACCTCCCTCTGTCTTCCGGGTTCAAGCAATTCTCCTGTCTCAGTCTCCTAAGTAGCTGGGATTACAGGTGCCCACCACCACACTCGGCTAGTTTTTGTATTGTTTAGTAGAGACAGGGTTTTGCCATGTTGGCCAGGCTGGTCCTGAACTCCAGACCTCAGGTAATCCACCCACCTTGGCCTCCCAAAGT
Source organism: Homo sapiens (assembly GCF_000001405.40). Lineage (NCBI taxonomy): Eukaryota > Metazoa > Chordata > Mammalia > Primates > Hominidae > Homo > Homo sapiens. The sequence continues at coordinate 179,656,804 of NC_000001.11, read as the reverse complement.
GCTAGGATTATAGGCATGAGCCACTGCGCCCAGCCCATACTACCTGATTTTAAGAGGTACTATGTAAGTCTACAGTAATCAAGACAATGTGGTAGTGATGAAGAGACAAACATATAGGTCACTGGAGAAGAATATAGAGTCTAGAAATAGACTTACAGAAATATGGACAATTGATTTTTGATAAGGCTTCAAAGACAATTCAATGGAGATAGGATAGTCTTGTCAACAAAGGATGCTGGATCAGTTGGACATCCACATGTAACAAAATGAAACCTAACCTAAATTTCATGCCTTATACTAAAATTAACTCAAGATGTCTTGATACTGGAAACACTGTCCATAATAGAAAACAAGTTGATACGTTAGGTTTTTTCAAAATTAAAAACTTCTGTATGAAAGACACTATCAAGAGAATGAAAAGACAAGCTACAAGTGAGAAAATATTTTTGAAAATCACATTATTTGACAAAGAACTAGTATCCTGAATATATAAAGAACTCTCAAAACTCAAGAGTAAGAAAACAACCCAATCAAAAAAATGGGAAAAAGACTTCAACAGAAATTTCACCAAGAATTGTGTATAGATGACAACTAAGCACATGAAAAGATGTTCAACATCATTAATCACTGGAATTTAAAATCATGCTGTGATACTACTACACACCTATTAAAATGGCTAAAGCAAAATTACTGACAATGTCAAGTGCTGACAAGAAAATGGAGCAACTGGAACTCATATATTATTGCTGGTGAAAATTCAAAATGGTACAGCCACTCTGGAAAAAAGTTTGACATACACTTATCACATGACCCAGCAATCTTACTCCTGGGTATTTACCGTAGATAAATGAAGCTTATGTTCACACAAAAACCTGTACATGAATATTTATAGCAGCTCTATTCATAAATACCCCAAACTAGAAACAACCCAAATGTCCTTCAATGGGTGAATGGGTATACAAACTGTGGTGTATTTATCCTATAAAATACTATTCAGCAATCGAAAAGAACATATTATTGATACATGCAAGAGCATGGATGAATCTCAAAGGTACAGAAATATACTGAATGAAAGAAGCCAGTCTCCAAAGGTTACATACTATATGATTCTACTTACATGACAGTCCTGAAAAGGTAAAACTAGAGTGACAGAAAACAGACCCCAGACCAGTTGCTAGGGGTTAGGGATGTGGGGAGACTGTGATTACAAAGCAGTAGCACAAGGGAGTTATTTTAGATGATGGAGCTGTTCTGCATCCCAATTGCAGTGTTGGTTACACAAATCTACACATTTATTAAAGTTGATAGAATAGTACACCAAAACAGTCAATTTTACTATGTGTTAATTTATAAAAGGAAAGAAATATTAACATGAAAAAAAGTTATGCAAGGGAAAAAAAGGTGTAACAGTGTACTATAATACTTGGCCAAGCCGTGAAGAGCATTTACATAGTCACAGTAATGTAAACATTGAATAGTGATCTGATGGAAAGTTTGATATACTATATCAGTAACATGGTAGGGGGAAGGGACAAAAAGGTTATGTTTGTGTGTGGTGGTGGTAAGGCGATGAAAGAGAACTAAGCCCTCATCTTTCACAGTGGGAAATCCACAGATACTTAAAACTGAAAAATCAGGAAATAACAAATAACAACATGAGGATGTTATTTAATGAAAGAAACAGAAGTAAATTCCAAAAGCAGCTAAAAGAGATAAACGTGGGTGCTCTGGGAAACAGGAAATATAGGGGAAGGAGTCATGGGGGATCTTAAGTTTTGTGTACATAAACATTTGATTAAAATAAAAATACATCCTCCAAAAAAGTTGTAAACATTTTTCCCAATGGGTTTTTCGTAATATAATTTCTCAATACTAGTTTCTAGCTACTGTATAATTCTTGAAGACCACCCCAAGTCACAGGATATTAACTAACACATCAAAGCCAGATACCTTTTTTTATGATCAAGGTTATATTGCTACAACTTTAGTCTTGGTTACTATGAACACATTTTTTTACTTATTTTACTTTATTTTTTTGAGACAGAGTCTCACTCTATCACCCAGGCTGGAGTACAGTGGCACGATCTCAGCTCACTGCCACCTCCACCTCCTGGGATCAGGCATTCTCAAGCCCCAGCCTCCTGAGTAGCTGGGATTACAGGCACATGCCACTATGGCTGGCTAATTTTTTTTGGTACATTTTGTAGAGACAAGGTATCATCATGTTGACCACGCTGGTCTTGAACTCCTGACCTCAAGTGATCCGCCCACCTCAGCCTCCCAAAGTGCTGGGATTACAGGTGTGAACCATTGCACTTGGCCTAAGAATTTGTAATACTAAAAGCAGTGGGGTTTAAACAGAGTTTATTCCAGTCCTCTTCACTTATGAATTCAGTGTATTATATTAATTACATATTCAAAGACTATCTTTCCTTCTCCTACCTCATTTTCTTCCTTCAGATCGTTTGGTTCTGGGTTGGACCACTTTGGATCTTCTTCAAAGCTCTTATTACAGGTTTTCAAAGACTCAAATTCAGAATCCTTTAATGGCTCCTTTGACTCAGATTTAAGATGACTTAAAGACTTTTCATCATTAATATCTTGCTAGTAGATATGAAAGAGAATTCCTTTATTTTAAATATTAATGCTGTTTCCAAAATCTACATGCCTATACATTTTGGGGGGAAGTTTTTGCTATGGTTCACACAAATGCTACATTATTTTATAGCTTTATCCATGATCCTAGGTCTTCCCATCCTGCTACCCTAGTTCCGGCCAATGAACATTTATTGAACCCTTATCATGAAATGTCTACAAGACAGCTCTGTGAATACAAAGATGAATGCAACAGATTCTGGCTCCAAAGGAACTAAAAAATGTTGTGGAAAGACCTAGAATCAGTCTTCCAAGTACAACCATCATAAAGATATGACAAAAATATGATTGATAGAAGAGGACATCTGAGAAGATGCAATGAAGAAGATAACACTTGAAAGATGAGTAGGAATTCACAAGGAACTGGGTGTAGAGGTGTAGGTGTGTGTGTAGCATATGGGAGTCTTAATATGTCAAAGTACAGACTAGGGTGGAATAGTAGAGTTTTAAGCCCTTTCTCTTTTGCAGAAAAGATGGTTCTTATTTCATTTCCAGAATAAAACTATGATTATTTGAAGACACCAACAGAGTGATAGGATATTCTAAAAATATTAAAGGTTGAATTCAATTTACTATTTAAGAATGAAGAAAAAGAATTCTCCTAGTCCAGTAATAATGACTAAGAAAAATTCAGGCTTTGGAAAGTGTTATGGGCATACAAGCTTCATTAATTTTAACATTAACTAGAAATCTAAAAATCTTTATATTGTTTTGAACATGCAGTAGGAAACATCGGTACATATTTTTCATAATAGGTAATCTCCCAGTAGTCAAAATGGCCTTTATCTTTTCTAATAATTAGTAAATGTCTACTTAAAAAATCATCTCTATAATTTTATTTTAAAAGTCAGATATACAAAACACACTAAACAAAATAATATTTTTACATTTTATTCAAAGAAAATAAAAAGACATTGTATCAATAAAACAAAACATTTTTGGCCCTCAAATTAAACACATCCTGTATTCTTAGCCCAGTATCTGTTGTCGTGAGGAATATAAGACTTGGAGGACATGGTTTATTTGTTCAAGAAATATTAAGTCCTCACTATATGCTTCACTTGCCTTTTACACATTGAGTATCCCTTATCCAAAATGCTTGGGACCAAAAGTGTTTCAGATTTTGGATAATTTTGGATTTTGAAACATTTGCATATACATGAGATATCCTGGGGATAAGACCCAAGTCTAACATGGAATTCATTTATGTTGCATATATACATTATATGCATAGCTTGAAGGTAATTTTATATAATATTTTAAATAATTTTGTGCATGAAACAAAGTTTGGACTGCATTTTGACTGCAACCTGTCATATGAGGTTAGGTGTGGAACTTTCCACTTGTGATATCATGTCAGGACTCAAAAATTTTGAGATTTTGGAGCATTTCAGGTTTTGGATTTGTGCATTAGAGATGTACAACCTGTCTTTATAATGTAGATATGAAAGTATAAACCTGGTAATTTGCTGTAAAGATTAAATTAGTTAACACATGTGAATGCTTTTAACAGTGCCTGCCATGTGGTACAAGTTCGATAAATAATGCTGTTGTTCTTATTACTGTGGGCTGGAAAAAATACATAATAACATTACAATATTATTATTACTGGGAAGGGAGGAGTTGCTGAAAGTTTACAGGGAAAGTAAGAAACGAGAATACCTGAAGAACCTGTGTACTGCAGAGGGAAGAAGAATAGCATTCAGAGGCAGTGTAGTGAAGTCACAACTGCACAAAGGCAGCAATGGAATTTACTATATGAGAGCAACTGTTCAGGAAGAGGCATGACTGAAGCAAACACTTAAGCCAGCAAATAAAGAGACAAATTGTTAAGATCACTGTGCAAAATTTCCAAACTTTCCAAAATTTGGAAAGCCTTGGTTTCTTCATCTAAAAAAATGAGGATTACAGTAATAAAAAGAATTATAATAGTATTTGCAAAAATCTCTTACCAAGATACGTAACTCACTCTCTTTTGACTGTGGACTTATCTTTCGGTCTTCATTAAAATAGTGCTGCTGGGAAGGATAACCCAGTTCTGTCAAGACAATGTCCTCTGGCCCTCCACTGGATGTCGTGTATAAAGCTAAAGGGTTGAGCTCACTGAAACCCTAAGATTAAAAAAAGAAAAGGGATGGTTTAATTTACATGACCAACAGAAAAAGGGCGAGAAAGCACTTAATAACTTTCAAATGCTATGGAAGTATATTATCTTCCAAATTTTATTTATTTATTTCGAGATGGAGTCTCGCTCTGTTGCCCAGGCTGGAGTGCAGTGGTCCAATCTCGGCTCACTGCAACCTCTGCCTCCCAGATTCGAGCAATTCTCCTGCCTCAGCCTCCTGAGTAGCTGGGACTACAGGCACGTGCCATCACGCCTGACTAATTTTTTGTATTTTTAGTGGAGACGAGGTTTCACTGTGTTAGCCAGGATGGTCTCGATCTCCTGACCTCGTGATCCACCCACCTTGGCCTCCCAAAGTACTGGGATTACAGGCGTGAGCCACCACGCCCAGCCTATCTTCCAAATTTTAACAGTTAAAAATGTGTCCATTATTGACAGTTTTTGCTAGTTACAAAAATTATCAACATACAGTGAAACAGATACTATCAATAATTGCAAAATAGGAGTGTTATTCTTCTCTAGGACAGTTTCAGATAACTTTTTATTTTATTATTATTATTTGAGACAGAGTCTTCGCCCTGTTGCCCAGGCTGGAGTGCAGTAGCACCATCTCGGCTCACTGCAACCTCCACCTCCCAGGTTCAAGCAATTCTCTGCCTCAGCCTCCCAAGTAGCTGGGATTACAGGTGACAGCCACCGTGCCTGGCCAGATAACTACTTTTTAAATTAATTATTTAAAATAGAAGTATTCACATTTCAAAGGACAATTAGTCAAATGCAGTTTTTCTGTGGTCATCTGAAAATTAAGAGTGCTCTGCATTAAAAAGCCAGGAATCTCGTGGATGTCTCTAATTGGTTAAAGAATAAACCAAATAAACTTCTTTATTAAATTATCTTATACCTTGACGTGGTGAAATTAAACAAAATATATTACAAAATACATCCAGACTGCTCCACCTTAGAAGAGATATTTTCTCGGCATACAATAGCATGGCCCTCTGTTCTCAAGACATGATGGAAATAGACATCTTCGTTTGAGGATGTGTCACACAAAAAAATGTTAAGGATTCCATCTACATATTCATCCACTACCCCCACTAATGGCTTCAAACCGCACAACTTCTGGAACTGCAAAATAGCTTTCGATGTCCAGTGTTCCTGAAATATGATCAAGATATTGGATTCAGGTGATAGATCTAAACATGAATTATAATAACCATATACAACAATGAATTCTGATGAACTAGAGATTTAAGTGGAAATAAAACCATAAAAGTACTAGAATAACACATAGGAGGATATATATGATTTGGGGATGAGAAAAGTCAGAATAAAGGAAAAATGATAAAAAATGTAATTACTGAAAAAATTTAAATAATTATGTGATGTGCAACTTCCATTTTCAGAAATTGTGAGTTAGATTATTAGACCAACCCTCCCACAGAAAACAACTAAAAATTCTAGGTAAAAGAATTATGAAATATATCCAAAAGGTATCAAAGAACTGACAAGCTTGAACAAATTATCAGGCCAAAATTGAAGGGAAAATGGGAACTACTTCTTTTGTCTTAAGGGTATCTGCTAATCCAGGCAATTTGAACTTTTTTTTTTTTTTTTTTTTTTTGAGACAGAGTCTTGCTCTGTTGCCCAGGCTGGAGTGCAATGGCGTGATCTCGGCTCACTGTGACCTCCACCTCTCAGGTTCAAGCGATTCTCCTGCCTCAGCCTCCTGAGTAGCTGGGATTACAGGTGCGTGCCACTACACCCAGCTGATTTCTGTATTTTTAGTAGAGACGGGGTTTCACCATGTTGGCCAGGCTGGTCTTGAGCTCCTGACTTCAGGTGATCCACCTGCCTTGGCCTCCCAAGGTTCTAGGATTACAGGCGTGAGCCACCAGATGGTCTAACAGGACAAACGAGACAGACATCAAAGCCAGGGTGCACCCATGGTGGAGAGTTTACAGGAGAACTTTCCTTCATTAAACTGAGTCCCTAAGGAGATACACTCTCAGGGTAAGGGAGGAAGAAAATAAATTATCCTTCACATAGATTTGCAGCTCAGTTTTCACATTACCAGGGTGGTCTACACATCCTCAAGTTGTTAATTTAAATTAATATGGTCCCAGACTGGTAATATTTCCAGATATCTGGCAGAAGCACATGTAAATCCTCTCTGGAGGTAGACAACCTCAGCCTTTATTATTCAACCATTCTTACAGTTAATTTTTCAAAGACAACGAGCAGTACATAGGCAAAGATAAAAAATATACAAAGAAACAATGAATCAAAAAAGAACAGAAACAATATAACAAATCCTCAATTTTAGATATTTTAATTTCTAGACAAATTATAAAACAACTAAACTTACTATGCTTAAAGCCACAAAACCCAAACAAAAACCAGTTTAGCAGAAATTAGCAATCTATAAAAATTGATCTAGCAGAACTAAGAAGTTTTAGAAGGTAAAAACATAATAACCCAAATTAAAAACCTCATAGGTTAATTCAGTAACAGATCAGATATAATTAAAGAGTAAATTGGTAAAGTGTGAGGTATTTTGAAAAAAATTTCCCAGAATGCAGCATGGAAAGACAGACAGATGTAAAATACGATAGAAAGGTTAAGAGAAATGGAAGAAAAACTGAGAAGTTTTAACACTTTTAATAATGGTCCCAGAAAAAAAGCAGCAGAGATAAGAAGAATACAAATATAAATATGGGAAATAGGCAATAATTGAAGAGATAATGGTTGGGAATTTGCAAGATTAAAAAAAAGTAACAAACACAAAAGAAGTCTGATGAACCATAAAGTAGCATAAATAATAAATTCACACATAAACACACCACACCAATACTGAAGAACAGGAGCGACTAATAGAAAATTTTAAAAACACCTAGAGACAGAAAGGACACTACCTTCAAAGGAACATCTATTAAACTGACAGCTGACTTCTCAGAAAACGATAAGGGAAACCAGAAGCCAGTAATGATATCTTCAATGTGCTAAAGATACTAACTGCTAACCTAGAATTCTATACTTAGTAAATCCATGTTTCTACAATAAGTGAAAAATAAATGATATTTTCAGATAAACACAACTTTGCTACCAGCTGACCCTCATTAAATAAAATCCTAAGGATACACAGTTCAAATGAAGGAAAATGGGTCCTGACGAAGGGTTTGACTGAAGAATGAAGAGCAGAGAAACTTGTAATCTAAATTGACATTATTTTTTTTATTGTTTTTTAGTATTTAATACTCTTTTAATCTTGGTCCACGTCTCATTTAGATAGATAAAATGACTTCCTGCATATTTAAGTTCAACAGTAGGAAGTTTGACTAAAAAACTCCAGAAGATTTTGATTTCTAAGTTTAAAATTTTTTTTTGTTTTTTTTTTCCTCAGGGTGGTTTGTTTCTTTTTTTTTTTATTATTATACTTTAAGTTTTAGGGTACATGTGCACAATGTGCAGGTTAGTTACATATGTATACATGTGCCATGCTGGTGCGCCGCATCCACTAACTCGTCATCTAGCATTAGGTATATCTCCCAATGCTATCCCTCCCCCCCCCCACCCCACAACAGTCCCCAGAGTGTGATGTTCCCCTTCCTGTGTCCATGTGTTCTCATTGTTCAATTCCCATCTATGAGTGAGAATATGCGGTGTTTGGTTTTCTGTTCTTGCGATAGTTTACTGAGAATGATGATTTCCAATTTCATCCATGTCCCTACAAAGGACATGAACTCATCATTTTTTATGGCTGCATAGTATTCCATGGTGTATATGTGCCACATTTTCTTAATCCAGTCTATCGTTGTTGGACATTTGGGTTGGTTCCAAGTCTTTGCTATTGTGAATAATGCCGCAATAAACATACGTGTGCATGTGTCTTTATAGCAGCATGATTTATAGTCCTTTGGGTATATACCCAGTAATGGGATGGCTGCGTCAAATGGTATTTCTAGTTCTAGATCCCTGAGGAATCGCCACACTGACTTCCACAATGGTTGAACTAGTTAACAGTCCCACCAACAGTGTAAAAGTGTACCTATTTCTCCACATCCTCTCCAGCACCTGTTGTTTCCTGACTTTTTAATGATTGCCATTCTAACTGGTGTGAGATGGTATCTCATTGTGGTTTTGATTTGCATTTCTCTGATGGCCAGTGATGATGAGCATTTTTTCATATGTTTTTTGGCTGCATAAATGTCTTCTTTTGAGAAGTGTCTGTTCATGTCCTTTGCCCACTTTTTGATGGGGTTGTTTGTTTTTTTCTTGTAAATTTGTTTGAGTTCATTGTAGATTCTGGATATTAGCCCTTTGTCAGATGAGTAGGTGGCGAAAATTTTCTCCCATTTTGTAGGTTGCCTGTTCACTCTGATGGTAGTTTCTTTTGCTGTGCAGAAGCTCTTTAATTAGATCCCATTTGTCAATTTTGGCTTTTGTTGCCATTGCTTTTGGTGTTTTAGACATGAAGTCCTTGCCCATGCCTATGTCCTGAATGGTAATGCCTAGGTTTTCTTGTAGGGTTTTTATGGTTTTAGGTCTAACGTTTAAGTCTTTAATCCACCTTGAATTGATTTTTGTTTAAGGTGTAAGGAAGGGATCCAGTTTCAGCTTTCTACATATGGCTAGCCAGTTTTCCCAGCACCATTTATTAAATAGGGAATCCTTTCCCCATTGCTTGTTTTTCTCAGGTTCGTCAAAGATCAGATAGTTGTAGATATGCGGCATTATTTCTGAGGGCTCTGTTCTGTTCCATTGATCTATATCTCTGTTTTGGTACCAGTACCATGCTGTTTTGGTTACTGTAGCCTTGTAGTATAGTTTGAAGTCAGGTAGTGTGATGCCTCCAGCTTTGTTCTTTTGGCTCAGGATTGACTTGGCGATGCGGGCTCTTTTTTGGTTCCATATGAACTTTAAAGTAGTTTTTTCCAATTCTGTGAAGAAAGTCATTGGTAGCTTGATGGAGATGGCATTGAATCTGTAAATTACCTTGGGCAGTATGGCCATTTTCATGATATTGATTCTTCCTACCCATGAGCATGGAATGTTCTTCCATTTGTTTGTATCCTCTTTTATTTCCTTGAGCAGTGGTTTGTAGTTCTCCTTGAAGAGGTCCTTCACATCCCTTGTAAGTTGGATTCCTAGGTATTTTATTCTCTTTGAAGCAATTGTGGATGGGAGTTCACTCATGATTTGGCTCTCTGTCTGTTGTTGGTGTATAAGAATGCTTGTGATTTTTGTACATTGATTTTGTATCCTGAGACTTTGCTGAAGTTGCTCATCAGCTTAAGGAGATTTTGGGCTGAGACAGTGGGGTTTTCTAGATATACTATCATGTCATCTGCAGACAGGGACGATTTGACTTCCTCTTTTCCTAATTGAATACCCTCTATTTCCTTCTCCTGCCTAATTGCCCTGGCCGGAACTTCCAACACTATGTTGAATAGGAGTGGTGAGACAGGGCATCCCTGTCTTGTGCCAGTTTTCAAAGGGAATGCTTCCAGTTTTTGCCCATTCAGTATGATATTGGCTGTGGGTTTGTCATAGATAGCTCTTATTATTTTGAGATACATCCCATCAATACCTAATTTATTGAGAGTTTTTAGCATGAAGGTTGTTGAATTTTGTCAAAGGCCTTTTCTGCATCTACTGAGATAATCATGTGGTTTTTGTAAATTGACATTATTTTATGCAATTTCTTGAGGGGTTAAAAATAACATTACACAACAAAAACAGGTTAGAAGAGGAGGGTAAAGGAGTTAAAGTGCTCTAATGTCCTTGCATTGTTATGCATGTTGTATTTCCTAGAGTAATCATTAAAATAATAGTGTATTTCTTAGTGAATTATTTTAAAGATCTCTTCAAAATAAGGCATGCATGGTGAGAAAAAGAATAGGTAGACCATATAGTATACACAAAATAAAGTGTAAGAGTTAAACCCAGATAATTCAATTATTACAATAAGTGTAATCAGCCTAAACATTCTGGGTGAAAGACAAAAGGTCTTAGCCTGGATTAAAAAAATACAACTATATAGTTCATAAAAGACATATCTAAATATAAAGATAGAGAAGGGTTCAAAGTAGAATGACAGTTTAAAAACACACCAGGATATTAAATAGAAAATGATAGTTATATTAACATCAGACAAAAGAAGTTTTTTTTTGCATTAGTAGAAATAAAGAGGTTAACTTCATAATGATAAAACATTCAGTCTGCCAGGAAGATATAACAATTTTGGTATTGTATATGTACCTAATAATATAGCCTCAATTGTATACAAAATAAAAACTGACTGAACTATAGGAAGAAATACACAAAAGAATAATCATAGACAAAAGCCACACTTCTTTCAATAATTACAGAAAAGCAATACAGAAAAATCAGAACGAATAAGAGTTTCACACAATAAAGTTGACCTTATGGACATATATAAAATATTACACACAAGAACTGCAGAATATACACTTTTTAAGAAGACACCACCATTTACAAAAAGTGACACTATACTGGACCATCTATCAGCCTCTGCATATTTAAAGGGCTGACGGATACTATCTAGAGGATGATCTCTGACCACAGTGTATTTAAACTAGAAATCAACTACAAAAGGACAAATTAGGAAAATGTTTATGGCCGGGCGCGGTGGCTCACGCCTGTAATCCCAGCACTTTGGGAGGCCGAGGCGGGCGGATCACGAGGTCAGGAGATCGAGACCATCCCGGCTAAAACGGTGAAACCCCGTCTCTACTAAAAATACAAAAAATTAGCCGGGCGTAGTGGCGGGCGCCTGTAGTCCCAGCTACTTGGGAGGCTGAGGCAGGAGAATGGCGTGAACCCGGGAGGCGGAGCTTGCAGTGAGCCGAGATCCCGCCACTGCACTCCAGCCTGGGCGACAGAGCGAGACTCCGTCTCAAAAAAAAAAAAAAAAAAAAAAAAAAAGAAAAATGTTTATAAACTGAGAAACTTCTAAATAATCCATGAATCAAACAAGAAAGCAAAATATAAATTACAAAATATTTTTTAACTGAACAATAATAAAACTACTACACAGTTAAACTTATGAGATCCACCTAAAGGTTAGAAATAACCTAAGCTTGCACATCAAGAAGTTAGGGAAAGAACAGCAAAATAAACCCAAAGAAAGTAGAATTAAGGAAATAGTAAAAATAAGACAGAAATAAACAAAATAGAAAAAAAATGTTTATAATAGAAACAAGAAAGCCAAACTTGGTTCTTTGAAAAAACTATTCAAAATGGCAAATACCTGTCTCTTTAGATCCTTAAAAAAGATACAAATACATATTTGGAATGTAAAAGGACATATCACTACAGATGTCAACATCAAAAGGACAAAAAAAATTATGGGCAATTTACGCCAAAAACAAAATTTTAAATGACATCAAAAATGTCAAGAAGGAATAAAAAGTGAAGATTCTACTATAAATACTACATTTTAATTTTTTGTTGGGGTGGTAAAAGTTGAAACAAAATATTAAGATTAAAAAATTAGTCAAAATTTACAAAATGAGTATTACATATAAACAAGTATATATTAGGTTAAAAATTAAACTTTTGAATAATTTCATGATTTGTAGCCTTTATACTCCTGTAGTTATTACAGCTTAAACTGCACTAAGACTTTGGGATAAATATATATTACATCAACATATGCTATAAACTCCAACATACAGTATTACCAATTTAGTTTTGAAAGTTCTATGTCTTTTAAAGGAATTCAGAGAATAAAATTAAAAATAATAGTCTTTCATATTTGCCCACATATTAACCATTTTCCATAATCATCATTCTTTCCTGTAGATCTGCATTACCATTTGGTTTCACTTCAGAACTGGAAGAACTTCCTTCAGTATTTGTTGTTCAAGATTGCCAGTGACAAGCTCAGTTTTTACATTTTGAAAATGTCTCCGTTTCTTCATTTTGATAGATATTTTCACTAGATATAGAATTCCAGCTTGACTTCTTTTTCTCTTTCAGACTTCAATGTTGTTCCTTTCAATGGGCAGTTAGTTATTATTTATATTATTGTTTCCTGTATTTTCCCCCTTCTTGCTGCTTTCAGGATTTTCTCCTTTTGCTTTAGATTTCAGCAGTTTGATTATCATGTGCCTAGGTATGGTTTTCTTTGTATTTATTCTGCTTGGAGTTTGTTGATATTCTTGACTCTGAATATTGACCTCTTTCACCACACTGTGGAAATTTTTGGCCTTCCTTTTTTCCATCCTATTCTCTCTCTCAACTCTCTTTCTGGGACTCCAATTACATACCTGTTGGGGTACCCGATATTGAGCCATAGACTTCCTTAAGTCTCTGTCCATTTTCACTTTAATTATTTTTTATGCTCTTCTTCACATTGGATAATTCTTTTGATCTGTTTTTAAAGTTCATAGACTCCTCCACTGTCTCCAAATCTGCTATTAAGCCTATGCTGAAACTTTTCATTTATTTCACTTTACGACTCTAGAATTTCCATTTATTTTAAATAGTTTCTTTCTGCAGAAATTCCTTCTCTGTTCCTTATGATGAGTAAATCTCTCAGTCCTTGAACATATTCACAATAGCTGCTTTAAAGTCTTTGTCTGCTAACTCCAATGTCTGGGACATCTCAATGTCAGTTTCTACCAACTACGTTTTTCCTTGAGTATATGTCACATTTTCCTGTTTTTTTTTCTCCCATGTCTAGTGATTTTTAGTTGAATAGTAAACATTATCAATGTTTTAGAGCTTCTGGATTCTGTTATGCTCTTCTCAAGAGTGATTTGTTTTAACTGGCAGTTAAAACTGTCTGGATCCAAACTCTAAACTGTCTCTTCTGCAGTCTGTAGCAACAGAAATCTCTGTTCAGTTACCTCAAATGCCAACTGTTGATTTTTTCACTAGGGCTACTGAGTTCCCCAACACTTAAGAAAGTTCAGTAGTCACCCAAGGATTTGGGCAGATCATATATAATGATTTGGGAACTCATCCATTCTGTGGTTCCCTACCTTCAAGTATTTCCACCCTAACTTCTAGCTGTTCTGCCATTTCCAAACAATGTCTTATAATTCTTTAGGACAGCAAGACTGCAGATTCTCAGAAAAGAAGCTTGAAAAGTCCCATTGCCATTTAACTTTTGCTTTTTTGCCTGCTTCTGATTTTGCTAATGGGCATAATAGTCTGTTGCTATTATGCTATTACCAAATGTGTTATTTTTGCAATCAGAAAAAAAGACACAGAAATAAAGTGAGAGATTCATTTAGTTAAAAACCTAGTTATTGAGCATTTACCAGGCACAAAGCCATTACTCTGGGCACTGGAGATTCAGTGGTGAACAAGATAATTTCCCTGATTTCAGGGGCTCACACTGTCATGCACAAACAAACAAGACAATATCAGATAGTGATAAAGCATTATGAAGATAAAACAAGGTGACAATGAATGACTGAAGGGTGCATTTTTAATTGTCAGGTCAAAGAAGTCCTTTTTGAGGAAATAACATTTGGACTTAAATTTGAATGACAAGAAGGACAATCGTGAGATTACTGTGAATAAGCTATTCCAGTTATTAGAATGTGCAAAAGCCCTAAGGCCAGAAGTAGTTTAGAAAGGAAGAAAGGAGGGCTGGGCATGGTGGCTCATACCTGTAATCCCAGCACTTTGGGAGGCCGAGGTGGGCGGATCACTTGAGGCCAAGAGATAGAGACCAGCCTGGCCAACATGGTGAAACCCCACCTCTACAAAAATAAAAAAATTAGCCGGGCATGGTGGCACATGCCTATAATCCCAGCTACTCAGGAGGCTGAGGCAGGAGAATTGCTTGAACCAGGGAGGTGGAGGTTGGAGTGAGCCGAGATTGCACCACTGCACTCCAGCCTGGGCAATGAAGGAAGACTCCGTCTCCAAAAAAAAAAAGAAAAGAAAAAAAGAAAGTAAGAAGGGAAAAGAAAAAGAAGAGAACAAAAAATGGAAGCTATCTGGCTGATATGAAAGTAATGAACACTGGCTACAACTGAGTCACAAATTTAGTCCTGTGCTTCCTGATGGCAAAATAGTAAAAAGAAACTTATCGGAAATAAAATGCCCCCAAGAAAACAACCTTGAATACAGGCTTCCACCAAAAAACATATTTTGCGTACATTGTTTCTAACAGTCAAAAATCAGAATCAGTTTGAATGTCAAACAATAAAGAAACGGTTAAGCAGGCGATGATGCACATTTACCTAACAGATTACACTATGAATCCATTAAAATTGAGAACTTAATAACATATAAAAGTACTTATGCTATAATGCTAAGCAAAAGAGCAGAATACAAAATATTACGATTACTATTTTAAGTAATGCTGAAAACCACACCAAAAAACCCTCGCTCCCAACATCCAATAAAATAAACTGGAAGAAACATACACCAAATTTCTAAACTGTGTATGTTTGAGTGGTGGAATTATAGGTAATTTTTTTTCTTTTTCTTTCTTCTTTTTTTTTTCTGAGACGGAGTTTCGCTCTTTGTTGCCCTGGCTGGAGTGCAGCGGCGCAATCTCAGCTCACTGCAACCTCCGCCTCCCGGGTTCAAGCAATTATCCTGTCTCAGCCTCCTGAGTAGCTAAGATTACAGGCGCCCACCACCACGCCTGGCTATTTTTTGTATTTTTAGTAGATATGGGGTTTCACCATGTTGGCCAGGCTGGTCTTGAATTCCTGACCTCAGGTGATCCGCCCGCCTTGGCTTCCCAAAGTGCTGGGATTACAGGCGTTAGTTTTTCTTTCTTCTTTACAAAATTTTTCAGATAAAAAATATTTTTAAAATAATCCATTTATATGTGAGCAACTGATAAGTTATTTAGATTAAGCAGACAAATATGGCATAATAAATGTGTAGGTATGAGCTAGTAAGAGTTCTGAAGGAAAAATAAAAAGTTAGGTACATAAAATAATTATAATTATATAAATGCACCTACATACATGAAAATGCCTCCTGCTCCATTCCACCTCAAAGCTCTGCCACAATGTTGCTAGAGAATTATCTTGAAAACATGTTATCTGTCAGTGGCAGTTTCCTATTTACATCCTTTAATTGCTCCCCAGCCTCTAAAGGACGACAATGTTCAGTCTTCTAAACGTGGGTCTTCACATTAGGCTCCTATTTCTTTGACATTTTCTACCATGCACCCGCTGTAGCTCATCCTATATTCTGTAGCCAAACAGAACTACTTAAAATTTCTCCCCTTTGAGATGTTTCATGCTACCCTCCCTTTGCTTGGAATGCCTTTCTTTTTTCATCATCTTCCTAATCTTCCTTCAAAGTGCCACTCAAATGCCTCCCTGATTACCCTGGGCAGAAACAAGCAATCTTCCTTTTGCACCTCTACCATTCATTCTTGAAACCTCTCCTATAGCAAATTTTATATGGCATAACAATTTTTGTCTACATGTCTATTTTCCATACTCTATACACTGACTTCTTTGAAGGCTGGTTCTACGTTTTATCTTCATATCCTGAGCATGTGAAACTGTTATTGGCACATAATAGGCACTCAAGTGTTTGCTGATTAAATGGGAGACAAGCAAACATACCTCTACTGGTCTCACCCAAGCCAAAGAACAAGGGATAGCCTGAGCTGGAAGCTTTGTGTAGCAGCACCTGCAATAGATAATCAAATATGTAAGTTCAATCTTCCTGCTATATATAAATGCACCTCTTAGCATGACCCAAAAAATCACTTTCTTAATAAGAGACTAAAACGTAATCTCATCGTCCATTCAAAATTCAGTGTCATGTAAAAGATAACACAAGAGTTACAATCCATCTGTGAAATGAAATGACCCAGTTGTCAAATATGCACTAAGAAGAAGGAAGGAAGGATTGGAGGGAGGAAGGCAAGAGAAAAGAGAGATCCCAACCCCACAGAGCTTCAACACTGTGATTCAAAATTTAATTCATCCATTGTTCTAATTCAATTCAACTCACTTGAGGAACCTCAGGGAGGACTTCTGAACAATTCCAATATTTCCAAAGTCTGGGTAGAACACTTCAACTTCCTGTTTCTCAAGGACTCGATGGATAATGACCCGATACCACCACTTATCCTCAGAAATCCTTACACAACAGAGATGTCCCGGCTGAATAAAACATTCTGGCATGACATATCGATCAGAAACCAGCTGATTAGAATAACAGCGCCTGTGGAATTCCATAATACAGAGAAATCCATAGGGGAAGAAAAAATTAAAGATAATTTTTATCAATGTATCAAGCCAGAAAGTCTTGGCAAAAAGCAAAGAAAAGAAAATTGACTTTGTCAAATTGTTAATGCTCATTAATACCAATTAATTGTTTTCTCTTATCTGAATCCCATCTCTTCATCAACAAACTTCTTCAAAGAGAAACACACACTCATTTTCTGATCTCACATTCTCTGCTGGATAGAATGTACCCCATCTTCATTCCCCAGTACTGCCTAGGATAAATTAGTTTTAAGACATCAGTGACCTGATAGCTCCCAAATCCAGCAGCCTCTCTCCTCAGCCTTCAATACACATTATCTTGCTGCAGCGTTACCCTATCCTGTTTCAAACCCTTTCCTAGTTTCTCAAACACAATTCTCTACTTCTTTGTCAATAGTTATTTTTTTTATTGGCTCTGTATTGCCTTAAATGTTGAGATTCACTTATCTTTAGGAAGTATAACATAATATAAGCTTAGGAACCAATAACCTGGGTCCAAATCCTGACTCCATCATTTACCAGCTCTGTGACAATCTTTCTGCGCTTCAGTTTCCTTGTTTAGGATGGGGATGATAAAAATAAAACATTTATTAAAACATCTGAAAGTTTAGGACAGTGTACACATATACTAAGCACTCAAATATTAGCTATTGTTCTTGCTATATACTGTCTCACCCATTTTCATGTCTTATACCACACTACTGATCAATTGTTAATTCTCAATCTATCTCTAGAAGACCCTGCATCCTTTCTGCACTTCAAAACTCGAATATTTCCAACTATATGGAAGACATGCCAGTTGTTCCTCAATGCCCATTCTCCTCTTTCCCTTTTCTCTAGCAACAGAGTCCCCCAAATTTTAACTGGGTAAATGGTCATTCAGGTTTCCCAAGCTCTCCTGCATCTAGGTGTGGCTATGTGAATACTAAATTTTGGCCAGTGGGATACAAGAAAAAGTGTACATAGTTAAAATGAATATATTTAATGTGTATTTTACCCACAGTTTTAAGAGTGAAAATTCTGGGTTGTGTCTTTCAATAGAACAGGTATATCTCCCATCCCCCACTTCTTTTTCCCCTTCCCAGTAGCTGGCAGGATGACTGGGTGGTGGTAGTGGTCAGCCACACCCAAGACCACGTGAACAGGGACAACACACTATTCTGGAGCAGCAAGATTCTATAACTGTGTCCCCCTCCCACCACGGAACTATCATATCAGAATGTATTGTGTATATTTGGACTATTCTGGGAAGAAGAAATAAACTTTTATCTTCTTTAAGCTACTATGATAAAGTTATATCTAACAGTGGCTAAACCTAATCCTAACTCATACCATCTAGTCAACATTGCCAGTGACTCTCATGGTCAACTTAGAGACACTACAGGTGAACTTCTACTAATAAGTTTTCACCCCAGCTCAAACCTGCCCAGTCTCTAAAGCAAACAGTTTTCATCATCTCCTTCTCTTTCTTATTCTTCTCAACACCCTTCTTGTCACCTGGCAATTTTCATTTTCCCAATTTATCTCTTCCTTTCTAGTCTCACTCTCATCAAGACTAGTCCACTAATAGATCTTCATCCCTTCACTCCAATGGCTTTCTTAAAACCATCAGTGCTTCCCCAGAATAAGAGAAAACATCTTCCCATGGTATTCAGAATCTAGCTTTTTCTTAGTCTTCCAGCATCACATCAGTCACTCTCTCCCCCTTCCTGACTCCTGCAACCTCACCTGGTGCTAACGTCACTTCCTTATTGTTGTTCCCAGCGCACGCCACTTACTCCTTTGTTAATGTTGGCCTTGGTTCCAGTGACTGGACCTGATTATACCCACTCATAACCTCCTTGACTCGCAAATTCTTGTCTTTGAGGCCTAGCTCAATTATCTCTTTTGTGAAGCTTTCCTCAACCTTGCCCAGGCAGAACGACTCCCTTTTATAATATCCCATGTATCTCCTATCTTCTTAAGCTAATCACAGTATTCGCAAAGGCAAAGGACCATGTCTTACTTATCCTTGTAGCACAAGTGCCTCAACATTCTGACACGAAGCACACAGTAGTTACAGTATTTTTTTTTTTTCCCCCAGACAGGGCCTTACTCTGTTGCCCAGGCTGGAGTGCAGTAGCACAATCATGACTCACTGCAGCTTCAACCTCCTCGGGAGCTGGGACTACAGGCATGCACCATCATGCCCAGCTAATTTTTAATTCTTTTGTAGATACAGGGTCTCACTATGTTGCCCAGATGAATCTTGAACTTCTGGGCTCAAGCGATCCTCCCACCTTGGCTTCCCAAAGTGCTAAGTTTACAGGCATGAACCACACTGTACCCAGTCTATAGTATTAATAATAATAGCAGCTAACATTTGGGCTATGCTCCAAGTACTTTAATTTTTAGAACTCTGTGAAGTAGGTACTATCATTATCTCATTTTGGAGATAATACAACTAGGCCCAGAGAAGTAAAGTAACTTCAAGGTCAGAGAGCCAGTGAGTGTGCTTTTAAAACACGTACAAATGTCCCATGGGCATACTGGAATGGAATATATATTTTTACCAAGTGATTATGTGACTTACATTATGCCAGGTGTCCTGGAGTAGAAGCATACATACTATTGTCAAATTAAAAACATGGAATGTTTTTTGAGATACAAAATAAAATGAAATAAATTATTCTTCTATGACAACAATTTATAAATCAGACATTGTTGTTCATGAATAAATCTAAAGTGGTTGAAAATGTCCATATTTTACATGGTGTTTGCTAACAAAGGACAATTTTTAGTAGAGAAAAGAGATAATATAAGTTAGTAGTTCTCAAAGTATAGTCCACAAACATGATTTTTACCTGGAAGACGAACTAGCCATTTCTTTCATATCAGTTTTGCTTGAAAGAACCACTAGCAAGCTGACTTGGGTATTTGACATTTTTCAAAAATGAAGCAAGCTTGTCACTTCAAGGAAAACAACTCACAGTACATGTTGTCAATGACAAAAATCAAACTTTCGAGTAAAAGGATTTTGGAAATGTTGCATTCACCACTGTGAGCTTGACAGCTTCCCAATACTAAATACTTTTCTGAGATCAGTGATGATATTAATGTGATATTTTTATACTGCATAATGAAATGTGTCAACATTTGGAAGATCTGCATAATTCAGCAAACTAGTTATTTTCCAAATGACCAACACATGATGTTATAAAGTTGTATGATCCATTCAGGGATAGTTTGAATCCATGCTTAGAAGCAGCTTTGTGCTTGCTTTAATATTCTGCTATTGCCATCTTGAAATTAGTAATTTTTAAACAGGGAGCACTGCATTTTAATTTTGCACCAGGGCCAGCAATTACACTGCCAGTCTTAGATCCATTCAAATTGTAGAGGCAGACCAGTGGATTTTAACATAATAGACTATAAAAAGTTCAAATTCCAAATAACATTTGAGAAACTACCATTTCTCAAGTTTTAGCATACTATCAAAAAAGAATATTCACAATTTTCTGAAAAAGCTGTTAAAATACTTTTTCCCAGACTACACATTGGTATGAGGCCAGATGTCTTCAGATACTTCAACCAAAACAACATATCTCAACAGATTAAATGCAGAAGCAAATATGAAAAATCAACTTTCTTCTATTAAGCCAGATATTAAAGAGATCTACAAAAGGATAAAACAATGCCACCCTTCTAAATTTTTAAACAAAAAGTTATTTTCATAAAAATGTTACTTATATTAACACGAGAATTATTTTAATATTAAAATTTTACAGTTTTAATTTCTATACAATAAATACTGATAAAAAAAAGCTCTCTTGGGTCTTTAATTTTTAAGAGTCCTGAAACCGAAATGTTTGAGAACTGTTGATTTAAGAGACATGTGAAAAACACATTGAAAACAACAGACTCCTACCGCATTTCAATCATCATGTCTTCGAGTAACTCTGACGAATCCCTGCTATAGATCCGGATGTAGAATTGACTAGGAGAGATGATATACTCCACAAAGACCCCTATGAGGGAACTGGTGTCTAATGGTGGGAGTCTGCATAATTTCTTGTTCGGCACAGCGTCTGGCGGGATGTCATGATTTGCCATTGCCAAGTTGAGCTCTGATTTGTTTGTTTCTACTTGCTATAAGTTAGAAAAAAAAAATTAAAAATCTCTTGGTGACATTTCAAACCCCATGGCATGTTTCTCAAAGCACATTTCATGAATCACCTTTATCAGAATCACTTGGGAAATTATAAAAATACAGATTCTTGAACTCTAGCCCAGACTTACTGATTCAGAATGCCTGGGAATGGGGCCCACAATTATGCATTTAAATAAATTCCCTGGGTGATTCTTACCTATGTTAAAATATGAAAACTACTACCTTATGACATTAGGTATAGAGTTTAAAAGCGTTACACAATTGCTCTATACAAAATTGAAAATATGATACTTCAAACATCCAGGCTGAACCAAGGTGGATTCTTATCCTACTCATATCAGCAGTCAAAGGTAACTTTAGTAGGTTAAATTTCAGACTAGTCTTCCAATCAAAAGCAGGATTTCTCAAATACTCTCATTCTGAAACATACTGTTTTCCTCTAGGCCTTCCTTCTATTTTCCTCCAGAAAATACAGCAAGCTCTCCAAACAAAACTTTTTCCTTCCATGAAAGAAGCCAGGTAGAAAGGGTAGAAGGGAAAAAGAGCAAGCAATGATTCCTTAATAACAACAAAATAAGTAATGGGAGACAAGAACACAAAAAGGGTGAACTGTGTGTGGAGATGCAAGAAAAGAAAAAAAATAAAAGCACCCTATAATTGAGGATGAGTGTAGAGGCAATTTGCAGCAGCGTTGAGGCACACAGCCAAAACGAAGCCTCTCAAGTTTTCCCTCTAAAGCCCCTGTGGGTTTTCAAGACATCATGAGAGATCTGTCAACTCTCAAAACCATTTGAAAACTTTAAAATGAGCCTTGAGGAAAAGCTAGTTATATAAAAGACTGAAAACCAGAAAGAATGCTATATGACATAACTTCAATACAAAGATGATTTCTTCTAATAAATGATATATCCAGAAATAAGACTTTTCTAAAAAGAATTTTGGTTTAAAGAAACACACATTCATTTACTTTCCATAATGCTGAATCTCCAGTGCACAGTCTTTAAACCTCACTCACCAGCTGTAAAGGCTTTACCACCAGATTAGGCTTCTTGCAAATCTTCTGTTGTGGCTCTTTTTGTTTTTTTGAAGGGCAATTCCATACAGTCTCTTTGACAGCAGCAGTAGACAATGAATTTCTAGGTGGACTGGAGACACAAGCTTTGGCTTCTATTTTCTTATCTGACTGAACTAAACACAAATTTCCGACTGATGAAACAACTCCATCTCAAATGGCCAATAGAGCAGCCTATGCATATTTGTTAAAATAGCTATACAACCATTACTAAGCACCTTCAACACACCAGGTGCTAGAAAGACAATGATAAATGAGAGATACAAACCTGTCCTTGCAGACCTTTCAGTGTGGCAAAATATAAGGGAAGTTCTAGGTGGGAACAAATCTTAAATTATTTGTGCTAGGGGGAGGGAGGCTTGTGATCTGATAAGGTTTCTTTTTTTTGTTTTTTTGTTTTTTGAGATGAAGTCTTGCTCTATTGCCCAGACTGGAGTGCAGTGGTGCGATCTCGGCTCACTGCAAGTTCCGCCTCCTGGGTTCACACCATTCTCCTGCCTCAGCCTCCCGAGTAGCTGGGACTACAGGCACCCGCCACCATGCCGGGCTAATTTCTTGTATTTTTAGTAGAGACAGGGTTTCACTGTGTTAGCCAGGATGGTCTCTATCTCCTGACCTCGTGATCTGCCCGCCTCGGCCTCCCAAAGTGCTGGGATTACAGGTGTGAGCCACCGCGCCCAGCCAAGGTTTCTTAAACTTTAGTTAAAGACTTAATTTTTTTCAGCATCTTGATTTCAATTTACTTCTTGTTCAAATTAAACAGGGAATATTCTTTGTTGCTTAACGTAGACTGTATGTAACTACTTAATATTCCATAATACGATTCCTTAATTCTTAGGAAATTTTCAAGTTAATCATGTATTTTGTTCAAATTTACATGTGTATGATAACTACAAGAGGTTGGCACATTAAAACAGACTCCAGGCTGGGTTCAGTGGCTCACACCTGTAATCCCAGCACTTTGGGAGGCCGAGGCGGGTGGATCACAAGGTCAGGAGTTCAAGACCAGCCTGGCCAATATGATGAAACCCCATCTCTACTAAAAATACAAAAATTAGCCAGGCATGGTGGCAGGCGCCTGTAGTCCCAGCTACTTGGGAGGCCGAGGCAGGAGAATCACTTGAACCTGGGAGGCGGAGGTTGCAGTGAGCCAAGATCACACCATTGCACTCCAGCCTGGGTGACAGAGCGAGACTCCATCTCAAAAAAAAAAAAGATTCCAGACAGACCTACAAGCATGGTGGCTCCTAAAAAATGAAGTCATAAGTACACAAAGATGTAGGTACAAGAATATTTGTCACTGTATTTTTTTGTGATGGTGAAAAAATGGGAACAATCCTAATGTCCATCAGTAGGAGACTGGTTAAGTACATTATTATTATATATAACTTCAAATGATGAAATGAGCTTGTTTGTACTAATATGAAAAAACACCCATAGTATATGAAGTGTAAGAAATGAGGATTTGCATAATACAGATGTCCACAGTGGTTTGACTTTCTTATGGTATGAAAGTGATACACATTCATTAGAAACCATACTTCAAGTACCCATACAACACTGTTTTTCACTTTCAGTATAGTATTCAATAAATTGCAGGTGATGTTCAACACTTTAGTATAAAATAGGCTTTGTATTAGATGATTTTGCCCAACTGTAGGCTAATGTAAGTGTTCTGAGCATGTCTAAGGTAGGCTAGGCCAAGGTATGATGTTCAGTAGGCTAGGTATATTAAATGTATTGTCTACTTATGATGGGTTTATTGGGATAGAACCCCATCATAAGTTGAGGAAAATTTGTATTTATATACTACTGTTTTGTGTAGGAAAAATTATACAGGTGGTAATTAGCTATACCATATAGAAGAGGTCCAAAAATAAACACACTAAAACTATTAATGCTAGTTACCTCTGTATTGTTGGAATTGTTTAAACAAGCATGTGCAGCTTTTGTGATTAAAAAAAAAGATCTATCTATGTCTTACATATTCATTGGAAAAAGTCTTGGAGGCTATATAAACATTCTAACAGTATTATTTTGGGGGGGTGGATAAAATAATAGAAAATGTTCTCTCTCTACTCATCTGTGCTGTTTATATATATTCAGAATGAACATGAGTTACTTTAATAATCAGAAAAATCAATAAAGGTAGTTACATTTTGAAAAAAAAAAAACAAAACCTGTCCATCATAACCACTCATTCAAGCTTATAAAAATACAAGTACCATACTGCAATCTAGTTTTGCGAGGTGTTGCCATTGGAGAAACTAGGTAAAAGGTACATGGTATCATAGTGTATTATTTCTTACAACTCCATGTGAATCTAAAATTATCTTAATAAAAACTTCAAAAGAAAAAGAAGGTCACGGCCGGGAGTGGTGTCTCACGCCTGTAATCCCAGCACTTTGGGAGGCTGAGGCGGGTGGATCACGAGGTCAGGAGATTGAGACCATCCTGGGTAACATGGTGAAACCCCATCTCTACTAAAAATACAAAAAATTAGCTGGGCGTGGTGGCAGGTGCCTGTAATCCCAGCTACTCAGGAGGCTGAGGCAGGAGAATGGCATGAACCCGCGAGGCGGAGGTTGCAGTGAGCCAAGATCACGCCACTGCACTCCAGCCTGGGGGACAGCGTAAGAATCTATCTCAAAAAAAAAAAAGAAAAGAAAAAGAAGGTCCCTCACCACCACCCACCCCACAAAAAAAAAAAAAAAAAAAAAATCAAGTGCCCTAAATGCAATGTGGTATTATCCTGGAGTGGATACACAAACAGAAAAAAGACATTCTTGGAAAAACTGGTAAAATCAGAATAAAGCCTGGAGTTTAGTTACTAGCAATGTACTAATGTTAATTTCTTAGTTTTGATAAATGTATCATGGTAAATAAGGCATTAATATTGGAAGAAACTGGGTGAAAGGTTTTTGGGAACTCTGTACTACCTTTATGATTTTTCTGTAACACTAACATTATCCTAAAATTAAAAGTTTATTTTAAAAAATACAAGTGCTGGGTCCCAACGCACACCCATTTATTCTGCATCTCCATATATTTCTAAAAAGCTTTTGATGCACGGCCTGAGTTAAGAACCACTGCACTATCAGACCACCATTTTAGGAACTTTATTTCCTTCAGAATTATCAAAAATCTAGACAATGAAGAAAGCAAGAAAAATTTTTATTTTGAGACAGAGTCTCGCTCTGTCACCCAGGCTGGAGTGCAGTGGCTTGATCTCGGCTCCCGGCAAGCTCCGCCTCCCGGGTTCATGCCATTCTCCTGCCTCAGCCTCCTGAGTAGCTGGGACTACAGGCGCCCACCACCACGCCTGGCTAGTTTTTTTGTATTTTTAGTAGAGACGGGGTTTCACTGTG
Organism: Homo sapiens; assembly: GCF_000001405.40. Lineage (NCBI taxonomy): Eukaryota > Metazoa > Chordata > Mammalia > Primates > Hominidae > Homo > Homo sapiens. The sequence continues at coordinate 179,631,204 of NC_000001.11, read as the reverse complement.
TTAGCCAGGATGGTCTCAATCGCCTGACCTCGTGATCCGCCCACCTCGGCCTCCCAAAGTGCTGGGATTATAGGCATGAGCCACTGCACCCGGCCCAAGAAAGCAAAATTTTAAAATTCAGATTATTTTTATTAACAATACAGATTAACCTTATTACAACAAATACCACCAGAAAGGAGGTCATTTTATAAAACATTTCATGGCTAGGCATTATTTCATGTTTTCTCTTTGTCCTCATAAGGACAATAAAAATGAGGTTTGCATCATACTGTGGTTCCACTCACCAGGTGGTAGAGGCTTCTTATCCGCATCAAACACTAGTAAGTCTTGGTGTCCTTTCCTGAACTCAACATGGAGAATGTCACTAAGAGCTCCAACAAGTTCTGTCACATTTAAGAAGCCTAATTTTTTTGGTGATAGTTGCTCTTTAAAAATTACCTGTCACAAGAAAATAGAAATTACATGAAACAGCATTAGATAACAGATATATAACATATATAGTTGTCCTTGGACAACCAAACTAAATCTTAAAGGGTCAATGAACTCAAGTATTACAGAGTAAAGGCTCACTTCCATACCAGCATAAAACAAACCAAGTGACCAATAATCCCTTACTATAAAACTTCTGGGTCAATGTCAAGTTCCTTTTAAAGCATGTGGTAAACTAAAGTAAAAGTTAGGGTGGGCACTTTTCACTTCTCATTTTTAACAATGTCTGAATATAAAGCAAAAGTGTTTAAAAAAACAAGAGGAGAATGCACAAATTACAACAGTCGTAATAAAACTATTGGTATTTCTCTATTTTCCAATAAAGATAATATTCGATATCACTTCCGACATGTACAGAAATTGTTCAAAAATATTTCCTTAAATTTTGTTTATTATTTCACCTTAGAAGTTGGAATAAAGGCCAGGCACGGTGGCTCACGCCTGTAATCCCAGCACTTTGGGAGGCCGAGGCAGGTGGATCACGACATCAGGAGATCGAAACCATCCTGGCTAACACGGTGAAACCCCATCTCTACTAACAATACAAAAAATTAGCCAGGCGTGGTGATGGGCACCTGTAGTCCCAGCTACTCGTGAGGCTGAGGCCGGAGAATGGCATGAACCCGGAGAATGGCATGAACCCAGGAGGTGGAGCTTGCAGTGAGCCAAGATCGCACCACTGCATTCCAGCCTGGGTGACAGAGCAAGACTCCGTCTCAAAAAAAAAAAAAAAAAGTTGGAATAAATGAGCAGCTATCTATCGGTGTATTTCCCATAGCATACAGTTTGATTTTCTTGCCTTAGAAAAGAAGAAAAGTCATACCAAATGAAGACAGAAGACAATATATATGGGATAGACACATAAAATACATTCCTTAAACAGAAAACATTTCATATGTCTTAAAAGGACCGTCTATCATGTTATTTATTCCATAGTCAAAAGCATCACCAACATTGTTTTAGTTTCACTCATTTATATTAACTGTATCTCACATAAATTCTTAAAACATTGAAAAAAAACTACTCCAAAGGGTTAAAAGTGAAATGTTCTCCCAAAGCTGCCTTCAGTCTTCATATTTTGCATCTATTGTAGGTATTATTCTAAGACAGACAATAAATATGTTGCATTTATTGTATGTATTATCCTAAGATGATAAATTTGCTTATTTCTGAGCCTAAAAAACAAAACCTGCTACATCTAAAGAGACTTTTTTGTTGTTGAGTGACTTCTATCTTCATTCTTTGCATGCATTTTATACTGAAAAACTCAATTAGTGTATTTTTCCCTTCTTAATCTATCGTGCAAATTATCTTTTTAATACTAATGTTAATGCTTTCAGTGGAAGACCTTCTAATATGTATTCTCATCTTGGCTCTTCAGGTAGTCTCCCATTTGAATTTTAATACATTATTCTCAATCCTTTTGGTTTTTAAAGTGAATAAGCTTCAGTTTCCTCAATTTATGTTGTGAATTTATTTTTGAGTTTTATATTGGGTTGTTATCTGCTAAATTGGTCATGAAAATGTAAGCTGCCATCTTCCAGCTTTCTCCTCCGCACCAAGAGAAACAAGCAGATGAGAAATAGTGCTCATCTGGATTTCTCAATCACTTTGACTTGACAGCTCTTATTCAGAAATGACATTTTCCTTTAGAATTTATCTGTATTTTGGTAAACTGTGATGATGCTGAGTGATCTGATTATTAAAAGGCAGGATGTGAGTTTAATCAGGAACTATTTTAAAAATAAACACTTCAGTTAAATTGGCAAAAACAACAACAACAACAACAACAACAAATTCCTCAGTCACCTAGCAATCACTTCCCTGGAAGTAACCATTATTGCCAGTTCCTTGTTAAAATGTTCCAGAAATTATCAAAACTCAAATATGATTCAACATAATAGATTACATATACTAGGTACATCTTGCTTTTTTCAATTATTATCTCAGTACACAAAACACAGTTGAGTTTTGCTAGCTGATCCTGAGACTCAGTTTCTTTTAAAAGGTTAGTCAATTTACTAATATGTCAGATATATTTTATCCTAATTCCTTTGTTATGCTTTCTGCTTTATTGGCTCCCAACTATGAACAATGAAGAAACTGATGGGCTGGGAAAAGTGGCTCATGTCTGTTATCCCAGCACTTTGGGAGGCTGAGGCAGGAGGGACTGCTTGAGGCCAGGAGTTAGAGACCAGCCTGGGCAATATAATGAGACTCTGCCTCTACAACTTAAAAAAAAAAAAAAACTTAGCTGGACATGGTAGCATGTGCCTGTAATCCCAGCTACTTGGGAGGCTGAGGCTGCAGTGAGCTATGATTGTACCACTGCACTCCAGCTTGGGGAACAGCAAGACCCCGTCTTAAAAAAAAAAAAAAAAAAAAAAAAAAGAAAAGAAAAGAAAAGAAATAAATAAATTGATATATTTCTACTCCCACCCTCCTTACTTTCCTTCCACCTTCAACGAAATTTTAATTATCCTTTTCTTAGAGTTTAGATTTATGCCTTAAAATATGTGTATATATCCTGTTTACATGATTTTGTTTTCTCAAAGTCTGACAATCTTGCAGTACAAACACTTTATTTCCTGCAAATTAGCATAATGAATATCCCCACAGGCTTGATCAGATTTATGTTTGATCTCTTTGACAATACTATAAGTTATGCTATGTTCTAAAGAGGGGCACGTAATATCTGGTTGTCTCTTTTTTGGTGTTGTTAAGAGCCATTATTAGTCAATTCCTAGATCCATTACTTTGAGGGTTTTAACAGCAGCATTCTGTCAATTCCTTTTCATTATTTAGTTGGAACACTCTATAGATGTATGCTTTCCCTCCTGCTCTTTGCTTATCCAGCTGTATCAATTCATTTAGGAATGCCAAGATAAGTGATTGGCTCTCTTTATTTACCATTTTTAAAGAAAGTGAACTAGTTCCATCATCCTCTATGTTGAGTCATCAGTTTTTTTAGTATCGTATAAACTCACAGAATTAAATATATTTGATAGGCTTCAAAATATTGCAATTATTATCCTTATTGTAGCCTGAAATAATTCTTCAAGTGAATTCCTAAGCTCTAATGTGAACCTAGTTTTTAATAGCTTCCTTGCTGGTCTGGTACGACAAGATGTTCCAAACTCAATTTATATAACTAGGATATCCTTGTATACACAATTTGAATTATCTAATTATTCATTTGCTTTACATCAAATTATACAACAATGGTCTCAGAATACTACCACCAATATAATCAAAACAAAATAATTTTGCATATGTTCACCCTTTCTTCTTCCACTATTTTGTGTAACTGTACTTTGTCTACATTAGCAGAGTACATTGCCACGAAACACTATATTCTCTCCCCCCAACCCTCATTTGATCTTAGTTGTATAAATGGTATTCACTTTCAGTCCTTTTATCAATGTCTCTCTAGTGTGATTTTGGTTTTCTGATGTTCATTCTCCAGTAGATTCCTCAGGAAGGGCTCATGGGAACAAGAGTTCTTGAATTCTTGCATGGTGGTAATAGCTTGTCTGGCTCTCTGCAATTGAAAGTCAGTTTTGCTAGCTAAAGAATCTTTGGCTCATGTTTTGAGTATATAAGTCACTCCCTTTTCATCTAGCTTAAAACATTGCTGTGAAAATGTCTAATAATTTAACTTTTGTTTCCTTTATAAGTCACTTGCTGTTTTTCTTTAAATGCCCAGAAAAATTTTTTTCTTTTAAGTCCAGAAATTTGATATTGGTCATTCTGAGTTGATATTGTCAGATATGCAGTGTGCTCTTCAAAACACATAGCCTCAAATCTTCCATTTCAGTAAGGTTTACTTGAATTCTAGTTTTCAGGCTTCATTCTGTTTCCTTCTTTGGCTTTATTATTCATGTTGGCTCTTCTTTGCCTGTTTAATACCTGTCATTTTCTCTTGAATCATCTTTATCTTTCCTTTTTTTCCTAAGATTTTCTTATGTAAAATTTCAAACACAGAAAAAGTTGAAAGAATTGGATACTGAACTCTACCACTATAGAGTTGCTATGTCATCTGTGTATCCAACCATCTACCAACCCATCTTATCTTTTATATACATTTCAAAGTGACCTGTACACATCAGTAGCCTTTACCCCAAAATAGGCCAGCACGTACAGCATTAACTAGAAATCAGTATCTGTTCACTTTTAGGTAAAATTTACACGCAGTGAAATGCACACAACTTAAGTTTACCAGTCAGTTAGCCCTGATAAATGCAGAACTGTGTAACCCAAACCCCTACTCAAGATACAGAACACTTCCATTACCTCAGCAAGTTCTCCCTTTCCCAGTCACCCCTAGAGACAAACTTTTTTTCCACCATAGATTATCTTTGGCTATTGTATTATTTAATATAAAAGACATTCTACAGTATGCTGCTGTATGAGACTTACTTCCACAGCAACTATTTTTCAGATTCATCCACACTGGTTCATGTATCAGCTGTTTACTTCTTTTTTTTCTTTTTATTATTATTATTATACTTTAAGTTTTAGGGTACATGTGCACATTGTGCAGGTTAGTTACATATGTATACATGTGCCATGCTGGTGCGCTGCACCCACTAACTCGTCATCTAGCATTAGGTATATCTCCCAATGCTATCCCTCCCCCCTGCCCCACCCCACAACAGGCCCCAGAGTGTGATGTTCCCCTTCCTGTGTCCATGTGTTCTCATTGTTCAATTCCCACCTATGAGTGAGAATATGCGGTGTTTGGTTTTTTGTTCTTGCGATGGTTTACTGAGAATGATGATTTCCAATTTCATCCATGTCCCTACAAAGGACATGAACTCATCATTTTTTATGGCTGCATAGTATTCCATGGTGTATATGTGCCACATTTTCTTAATCCAGTCTATCATTGTTGGACATATGTGGAATAGTATTTTGTTGTACAAACGTACCACAATCTCTTCATTAATTCCCTTATTGATGAATAGTAGGCTTATTTCCAGTTTTGGGAGGCTATAATGTATAAAGCTGTTATGAATACTATCATATAAGTCTTTGAGGACACAGAGTTTGAATAAATATCTGGGAGTATAATTCTGGGTCAAAGGATAAATACACACTTACAAGAAATTGTAAGAACATTTTCCACAGTAGTTGTACCATTTTATACTTGCACCAAAAATGTGAGTTTATCATATGTTTATCAGTCACTCATATCTGCATTTGTGAAGTTGGGCCATTTACAAAAAGAATTGTTTGGCTTTCTATTATGGAGCTATAGACTCGTCTTTATGTATTCTGAATATAAGTCCTTTGTTAGATGTATGATTGTAAATATTTCTTCCCAGTCTGTGGTCTGCCTATTCAATTTTAAATGGGGTCTCCTAAATAGAAGCTAATTTTGATGAAGTCTCATTATCAGTTTTCTTTTAACTGATTACTGCTTCTGTGTCCTAAGAAAGCTTTGCCTGTCCAGGTCATTAATATATTTTAATTCACCTGGAAGTTTTAGACCTTTAATTTTTTCATTTAGGTCTATGATACATCTTGAAATAATTTTTGTACATGGTGTCGGGTTGGGGTTGGGATTCTTTTTTTTTTTTTTTGTATTCAGTTGTATCTTGCATTCAGTTGTTCCAGCATCATTTGTTGAAAATATTTTTTCAAACTCCTGGCTTTAAGTAATCTTTCCATATCAGCCTGCCAAAGTGCTGAGGTTACAGGCATGAGCCACCATGCCCAGAGCTGAAAATACTGTCTTATCCCTTTTGAATTCCTTTGGCACCTCTCTCAAAAATCACTTCAGTGTATATGGGTGGATCTCCTATGCATGCACTGTAAGGCCAAATTCATGGATTTGTTAGTATCTACGAATAGCCCGCAAGAATTATGATGGGGACTATATTGAATCCATACATTAATGTTATCATGTTCATATAATGTTATCAATAATGAGTCTTCTCACCCATGAGTATCTTACACCTCTCCATTTATTAGTCTTCAACTTCTCAACAATGTTTATTAGTTTTCGGTGTACATGATTTATGTTTCTTTTGTTAAACTTATTTCCAAGTAATTTGACGATATAATAAACAGAATTTAATTTCATTCTCCAATAGTTTGCTACTTACATATGAAAATACATTGATTTCCGTATACTAACCTTGTATTTTGACCTAATAAGTTAGTTCTAGTAGCTTTTTCATGGATTCCTTAGTATATTCTATATGAACAATCATGTTTTCTACAAATAAAGTTTTACGTTTTTTCTTTTAGGTTTTCATGCCTTTTATTTCCTTATTACATTGGTTAGAACTTGCAATACAATGTTGAATAGAAGCAGTATGACTGGATATACTTACCTTGTTCCAGATTTTAAGGGGGAATTGTTCAGTGTTTCACCATTGAGTATGACAAGTATATTAATAGGTTTTCACAAATGCACTTTATCCAAATGAGGAATTTCTTTTCTATTCCTAGTTTTCTGAGAGTTTTAATTGTGGATGGGTATTAAATTTTGGTAATTCTTTTTCTGCATCTACCAAAATAATCACATGGCTTTTCTTCCTTGTTATTCTATTAAAATGGTGAATTGCCTTAATTCCTTTTGAAATGTTACTCCAACCTTGCATTCTTAGGATAAACCCCTCTTGTTCAGGGATTGCTGAATTCAATTTACTACTGTTTTGTAATAGACTTTTGTGTCCACGTTACGAGAAACATGTTCTAATTGGTTTTTTGTAATGTCTATGTCAAGCTTTAGTAGCAGGACAATGTATTTATAGAATGAGTTGGGGAGGCCAGGTGTGGTGGCTCATGCCTGTAATCTCAGCACTTTGGGAGGCTGAGATAGAAGGACTGCTTTAGGGCAGGAGTTAAATACCTGCCTGGGTAACATGGTGAGACCCTGTCTCTAAAAAAAAATTTTTTTTTTAATTGGCTGGGCATGGCACCACATGTCTGTAGTCCCAGCTACTCAGGAGGCTGAGGCAGGAGGATTACTTGAGCCCAGGAGTTCAAGGCTGCAGTAACCCAAGATCATGCCACTGTACTCCAGCCTGGGTGACAGTGAGACTCTCTCTTAAAAGGAAAAAAAAAAAAAAAAAAAAAAGAATGAGTTGGAGAATATTCTCTGCTATTTTAAGAAACAATCTGTATATGACTAATATAATTTCTTCCTTAAATGTTTTAACAGAATTCACCAGCAAAACCAATATACATCCTTTTCAGTCCTACTGTACCACTTCAAATAAAATATAAGAATCTTGCAACCCTATAGTTCCAGGTACTGCCCCTCCACTCATTATGCAGTAGTTTTCATATGCATTACATTTTCATGTTATAAACCCAATTATTTAATGCTGTAATTTTTGCTTTAAACAGTCATATATTTTAACTGATCAAAAAAGGCAGTCTTTCACATATGCCCAGATATTTACTACATCCTTTATTCAATCCTTCCTAAAGATTAAAGTTCCAATCTGGCATTATTTCCTTCAGCCTGAAGAACATTATTTAGCATTCTTATAGTACCAGTCTGCTTCCAATTCTGATTACCTGAAAATGTCTATCTCATCATCTTCATTCTTGATATTATCACTGGATATAAAATATTGGGTTAACAGTACTTTTCTTTTGAGTACATTAAAGATGTCATTCCATTGTCTTCTAGCATTGCTTCAAGAGGTCAGCCATCATTTGTATCACTGTTCTCCTGTATGAAGTGTGTTATTTTTAGTCTGGCTGCTTTCAGAATTTTCTACTTATATTTGGTTTTCTGCATTTTTACTATGATGTGCCTATGTGAGGTTTTCTCTGTATTACTTGTTTGGGGTTTTCTGGGCTTCTTAGATTTATAAACTTCTTTCACAAGATTTGGGAAATTTGGGCCATTATTTTTTCAAATATATTTCTGCTGTGCTTTCTTAGGCTCCAATTATATTAATAGATACATTAGGCCATTTGGTTTTATTCCACAGGTCTCAGGTCACTCAAGTTCTATTTTGTTTCTCTGTTCTTCAAATTGGATAATTTCTATTGATCTGTCTTGAAGTTTACTAAAGCTTTCTTCTGCCATTTCCAATTTGTTGTTAGTGAATTTTTTACTTCAGATATTTTAAGTTATGAAAATAACTTGGTTTTTATAGTTTCTTTTTCTGCACTGAAATATCTTATCTCCTCATTTACTCTGAATACTTATTCCTTTATATCCTTTAATGTGGTTGTAAGAGTTACTTTAAAACCTTTTTTGCTAACTTCAATATCTGCATCATCTCAGAATTTCCATTGATCACCTTTTCTTTGTCAAGGGGTCACATTTTCTTGTTTCTTACTGTGTCTAGTAATTTTGGTTTGTGTTCCAGGCATCATGATAGATGTATTGTAGAGAATCTGGAATCTTTTATGCTCTTTTGGAGATTATTGTTTGATTCATTTTAAATTTGGCTGAACATAAACCCAAAATCTGCCACCCTTTGATGGGCAACAGCTGAAATATCTTCAGTTCTTTTAGCCTTAAAAGAACAGAGGCTGCTCTATGTCTGCCCCAAGCATGTGCAGTTAAAGGTCAGGCAGAGATCTGAGCAGAGCTTATGTGCCAGGCACTGTTCTAAGTGCCTTATTTTTAAGTCATTTAAACTTCACAAAACTCTATAAAGTAGGTATTATCTTGACCTAACATACTGTCTATAAGATAGCACACAGAATTATATATCTTAACAATTATGCTATACTATCTCACAATATCTATGTTTTTACCTATAAATATACTATAGTTTTCATGGCACAGTAGTTAAGAGTTAGGATTCTGAAGCCAGACTGCCCAGGTTAAAATCTTGGCTCCATCTATTACTGGATGTTGATGCTTAGGCAAGTTACTTCTCTGTGCCTCTATTTGTTGTGAAAACAAAATGAACATATGCCAATATGAAAGATGCTCTGGATAGAGCCTGGCACACAGTTAACATATGTATAGGACTTATCTTTTTAAAAACTGGATATATGGCATTATCTGAATTATTCTGAAACTTGATTTTTTTCACTCAACATTATGGTTTTAAAAATGATCCACGTTGCAGAGCAGATTTATTTTATACTACTACATACAATTCCATTGTATAAATGTCAATCTCTATCCATTATCCTACTGATGTCCATTTGTTTCTCATTTGTTCCTGTGTTGTGCTGTGTACTTCTTTACAGGTCTTCATGCGTACATGTGCAAGAGTTTCTCTAGAGTGCAAATGTAAAAGTGGAACTACTGGATCCCTGAGGGTGCATACCTTCAACTTTACTTGATAATGCCAAAATGCTCCCTAAGAGCATTTTGTCCCACAAGCAGTGTATGAAGTATTCTGCTTCTCTGCATTCCCACTGACACTTGGTATAACACTGTCAAACATTAATGGGATAATCTTTATTATAATAATATTATAACAATAAGTGGTAAAAATATCCTTCCTATGCATAATCAAGTATTTGTTAAAGATCATATTCTCAAGTCTTATAATATACTAAAATGCAAAACAAAATGTTTCCGTTTTAGAGCATAGACCTGGAGAATCCAAGGAGTAGCCACAAAATTCCATCTATCACAAGAAATATAAGCCATAAAAAATTAGGGTTGGGGAAAAGCAAAACACTTACCTCATACTCTCCAAGCAGTTTAGAAATAAACAAACCCTCTGGGAACTTAGATACAACCTAACAAATAGAAAGTGAAATACAATATAGACACACTGAAATGCTGAGTGACACAATATTAAAATAATATAAACAAATAACAACAAAGGCAAAAGTAACATTATTAAATGAATTTTAGTCATATTAAATTGTTTTTTTTTGAAAATGAGTTTCCAGTTTTAAAAAACATTAGAACAAAAAGAGACTGTGATTTCCAACATTTCCAGAGTTGAGAAATGATTATTACATGCTACTGCAATACCACAACTCTCCAGAAATTCCTGCACTTCTTTAAGCTCAGCTAACACATTTAGCTTCAGCTCACATAAAACATCCTATAGCACAGTTTCAAGCATTTTAATTGTTAGAAAAGAAATGCAATAAACATTAGAAAAAACTTTGGAAAATACAGTTAAGCAAAAATAAAAGATCTGTTAAGAGCATTATTGTCCATACGTACATCAAAATATCTATTTAATATTAAAACAAGGTCAATATTTCTATAGCCAGCTTTTAAATATCATACCAAAGACATCTTTCCATGTCAGTAAAAACATAAACATTTTCACTGGCTACAGATTTTTCAAAATATTAAAGACACCTAAATGTATTTGATCTTCTATTTTGTTTCTTATTTTTCATCCCAAATATTGTAATGATTATCCTCATGCTTGAGTTCTGCATACTAGTTCAATGATTTTTAGAATAATTTCCTAAAGGTAGACTTACTCTATCCCAATAAAGTACAAAAATCTTTGTTTTCTAAATTTTTCCAGATATATTTTATACAAAATTCTAATCAAGCTTCAGAAAAATCTAAAGTAAAAATTATTTCAAAATCCTGTGACCCAGAGACAGCCATTGCTACATTTAGAGAAACACCCTTTCAGAAACTCCTTTATGTGTGCACATGTTATTCATGGTTTTATATCAAAGAACAATTCTGAACACACTATTCTATAAAACCTGTTTTTAAAGTACAACAATAAGTCAAGGAGAAACTTCCATGTAAACTGAGAGAGACATATATAAACTTTCTCATAAGCTACATGACATCCCTAGTTTGGAGAATATCCAATATTGATACATAACCAATCCTTTAAAATTAATGCCTAATTTTTCTCCAATTTTTGGTACCACAAAAAAATCATATTCACTCTTGTAATCCCAGCCTTTGGGAGGCTGAAGTGGGGGAATGCCTAAGGCCAGGAGTTCAAGACAGGCCTGGGCAACAGAGCAAGACCCTGTCTCTACAAATTTTTTTTAATTAGCTGGGTGTGGTGGCATGCACCTCTAGTCCCAGCTACTCGGGAGGCTGATGTGAGAGGATTGCTTGAGCCCAGAGTTGATGGTTGCAGTGAGCTATGATTGCACCACGGCATTCCAGCCTGGGTGACAGAGCAAGACCTTGTCTCTTAAAAAAAAAAAAAGTCATATTGAATGTCCTTTAACAAGTAATTATTGGACACTTGCTCAAGTGTCTAAACAAAAAAACAGGGCCTGAATGCATCAAGGTTTTTGCATCTCTCCTAGTAAAATCATGACAGTTGAAATGGAATAATATAAGGCAGTACAAGCTGTAATAGCACCTTGATTACTCAAAGCAGGATTAACAGCTCCCACAAAAAATTTAAGTGTACATAACTCTTTGGCTCAATACATAACACCAAAGAGTTTTCACTTGTTAGTAAGGTAAAACAAATAAGACTAATGACATAAACAGGCAATTCACATAAAAAATATATGTGACTAATAAGCACATGAAAAGATGCTTAATGTAAAAATCAAAAGATAAACTAAAACAACGTGATGGGATAGTAACACCTGTCAGTGGGAGTATAAATCTGTTCAAGCATTTTAGAGGGCAATTTAGTAATATTTATAATCAAAACATAAGATGCCTCTGACTAGCAATTCCACTTCTAGAAAAATGTCCATGGACATTAACTGGAGAACTTTTTCCACAGTCAAAGATAAAAACACCAAAACTTTAATCAATCATGGATCTCTACATGAAACAGGGTACATCAATGTAATGGGATAACACACATTGGAACAATATTTAATGTACATTTATAAAATTGGTATTTGGAAAGATCTTGAACTGTTTGTCAACAGTGATCTATTGGGATGAGGGGAAGAAGGAAAGGAAGAGAGAACTTATGGAAGAACTTATTTACTAAATAGTTTTATGTTAAAAATTTTTAGGAGTACGTATTTTGTTTCTTTTTCTTAGTCTAAAAGAATTGTTGCTTAGTTTGCAGTATATTAAAGATTAGATGTAAATTAATACTTGCAGACAAACTCAACCACAAATGATATATAAATTTATAAATCAATTATTATTGTCTCCCAGAAACAGAAATTACTTACAAATTTTATCTTATGTTTTAGTTCTGAACTGATAGTTCCTCCAGGTCCAATCTGTGCAATAACTGATTTGAATGTGTTCTCCAGCTATGAAAAAAGAAAAAAAAAGTCAAGTCACAGTCCCCCTGACCAAAGAAAGTCAAAGGTAGATCTAAGCAATATGTAAAGAAAAAATCTATAAAAGGAGACATATTGCAATTAAATAGACAAAATACTGTTCTTAAGAGGAACTGTAGCATTTCATACCATACAAAATACACTTAGAGTAGATAGAATCATTATGAAACTAAATGCTGAGGAATTTTCTAGGCTAACAAACATTCTCTAACAATTATTCTAGAGTCTATTACTCAATCCCATACTCTTACCCAGAAAGAATTTTTGTTACTAATTTTCTCCTATTTATAAAAGTACTCCATGTTTATTGAAAACATACTTAATGAATGCCTAATGCAGGGAAGAGATGGGATGGTGGAACGTCCCTGGACGGTGGGACAACTGGCCCTAAAGGACAGGAAGGAAAAGTTTTTCTGTTGTAATAGAAGCAAAGAGAGTGGGGGAAAAGGTAAGGGTACAAAGAAAGGCTCTGTGAATGTGGAGTCAGAAGGTACAGAGAGTTAAAATCTGATAGCTCCTGCATTCTCTGAGTTCAGAAGCAAGGCCCACTCCTGAAAGTAAAAGGAAAGAGGAGGGAGGTCAGACATTTGAGAAAGTAGAAAAGGTGGGAAAATAAAGTTAAGGAAATATTGGATGATAATCTAAACTTAGCAGGTAGGAAGTCAGGACAGGAGGAATCTGAGTTAAGACAGTAGAGTCTGAGGATTTTAGTAGAGAGAAGTCAATGGCATACAGAGGCCCCACTAAAATAAAATGATCATGCATGGGAATAATTGAGAAGTAAGCTGGAAGGACAGGAGGATGTGATCAGAAAGTAGCAGGGAGAACATCCATTTAGCCAAGGTCCAGTGAACAGCCACAGCAGGAGAACTAAAGCAGAGTGAAAGATTGTAGAGTTTTGTTCAATCGACATTAAAGTAGATAACTGAATGTAAAAAAAAAAAGTTAAGTCACAAAGATATAAAGAAAAATACCAATTACCTAAAATCCTACCACCCAGACACAATCACTATTAATACTTTTTCCTTCTAAACTGTTTCTTTTGGTCTTTCTTCTCTTACTTGGCCTGACATTACTTACAAACTGTGTAACCTTTTAGGTCTCAGTTTCTTCACCTGAAAAATGAAGATAATCTCCATCTCTCACAAGGCTGACAAGAAAACTAAATGTGATGAGGCACGAAGAGTGCATAACATAATGCCTGGCACATGGTGTGAGCATGACCCTTGCCTGCTCCTCTGGCAAGCAGCGCTTACATGGCAGGATTCTCCCTCTGGAACTGACTACTCTTCTTTTCATCCAATACCATTGGCACAGCATTCAGCAGAAGCCCCTCCAAGTTTTGGCAAGTACATGGCTCCCTATCAAGTTTATGAGGGTTTTCCCCTATTTTCACATTTTCTTGGGCATTTCCATGGGTCTGGGAAGGAGAGGATTAGATACCTATGATTATATCGTTAGCTTTAACAAAAGGTACCTAGCCCTTAGTCTTAGATTCTTTACATTTCTTCTGTAGTTGCCATGAGATAATTTCCTAAAGCTCTCCCAGTGAACAGTAAGATAATCTTTCTAAATATAACTGATCTTTCCATCCGAAGGTTCCTCCCATTTGCAGATTCAATAACAATAATGTATTAAATTATCACTGTGCTAGGTGTTTCAGGGACAAAAAAAGATTACCTTTGATGGTGTAATTCCTCTCAGGGCACTTAAAATTAAGTAGGGAAGTGAGATCAACGCATAAACATCTATAACCTAAGGCTGTAAGTGCCAGAAGGCTTCCTTTTATAAGGATCTTGCAGGATGGAGAGAATTCTGCAGACAGACATGGTAGAGAGAACATTGAAGGTAGAAGGAACTTCATAAAGAAAATTGAATAAAATAGTTTGCCTAAGGCATTAGGGAAATAGTGAAAGAAAAACTAGAAAGGTGGATTAATGTCCTATTACAGAATACCTTAAATGCCAAGCTAAGGAGTTTTTCTTGGTTATACAAGCAAAAACAGAGATACTGATACTAGAGATTTTTAGCAAGGGAGACAGATTATCAGAACTGTAATCTGGCAACAGAAAATTAGATTGGATGGGTGGACAACCAGTTAGGAAACCACTGCAACTCTCTAGGCAAGAGTTTTAACTGGGGTGCTGGGAGAGAATAGAAAAAGAAGGGATATGACAAAGGTGGAATCCAGAGAAATTAGGAAAGACAATGGAGAGGAAGGAATCACTGATTCTACAGGGATGAATGATGAGACCAGAGAAACAGCCTCAAGGACCTCAAGTTCTATGTAGGAAACAAAAGTACCGTGGAACAAAGAGGTAGGCTTTTGTTGTTTTTTAATCAATTATAAAAGCTTGGAAAACTGGGAGGTAAATGGCAGGATGGTGATTACAGACTTGATGTGTCTCTCTGGATCATGGCTTATGACAAAGGTCAGCAAATTATGGCCTCTTTTTGTGCTTCCCATAAGCTAAGAATGGTTATATTTTTAAATGGCTGTGGGAAAAGGTATTATTTGTGACATGTGAAAATTATATGAAATTCAAATTTCAGTGTCCATAGTTTTATTAGAACACAGCCATATTCACTCATTCATATATTGCCTATGGCTGCCCTAGTGCTATAAGGACAATGTTTAGTAAAAGCAGAGAATATTTAGCCTGCAAAGCCTCAAATATTTACTATGTAATCTGTTAGAGAACATATTTGCCAATCTCAGGTTTAAGATAGCAAAATGATGAGCTTTTAGCTAGGAATAGAATGCTTCTGAAAAAAGTTAAAAAAAAAAAAAAGTTTACCTCAAGCAAAATGTCTAAATTAAGGTGACTTTAAACTGAATGCAGTGGAGATTTTTTAAAGCCCAGGAAAAGTTAGGGATATCTATAATTATAGAGGGCAGAAGTTATAATGTGGAATGGAAAAGTAAGATTGGGAGGTAATCAGTGATTTCAACAACGCTTTTAGTGTCAGATGCTATACATCAAACATGAAGAATGGGGAATAAACCAAGCGAATGAGATAGAACTAGAAAATGAAGATGGAAAGTGATAAAATATGCTATATTCAGATAGGAGCTTATAGGACCTCAGAAGAGAAAGAGCTTTCAATCAAAAAGATATACTCTTCAGAAAAATGAATCAAAACATGAATAGGCAATAAAATAGAAGACTAAGTAGCAAATTAAAGCATAAAGTTCAACCTCAAATACATACACGTTAACAGAGACAGTTATTTGCCCATCAAATTATAAAATTTTAAAAATACCCACTTACTCATTCAACAAATAGGTATTGAGATCATACTATGTGCTGTACACCGTATTAAGTGCTGGATATACAGAGGTAAATAAGCTAGATATGGTCCCTGTCCTCATGGAACTTGCAGAGATAGACCTGAATCGATCATATATATATGTAATTACAATTATTATAATGAAAAAACCCAGAGTCCACATGATCTTACTTATATGGGAAGTGCATAAAAGTCAAACTTGTAGACACAGAGTAAAATCGTGGTTACCAGACACTGAGGGGTGGGAGGATTGAGAAGACATTGGCCAAAGGACACAAACTTTCAGTTAGGAGGAGTAAGTTCAAAAGATCTATTGTGTATCATGTTGACTACACTTAACAATATATTGTGTATTTGAAAATTAAGAGTAAATTTTAAGTGTTCTCATCACAAAAAATGACAAGTATGTGAGGTAATACATGTCAAACAGCTTGATTTAGCCATTCCACAATGTATACATACATCGAAACATCAAGTTGTGCACCATATATAAAATTTTTACTCATCAATTAAAAATATTTTTAAACCCCCCCTCCCCCGAGTGTCACAAAAGGATAATACACCTGAAGGTATCAGAAAGGAAATGCAGGTGGGTGGGGAGGGATCTCTGAAGGAAACTCCATTTGTACTGAGTACCAGCAAAGGTACAAGGAAAGGAGCACACACACAATCTATGTGAGTGTCAACTGAAACAATTCTTATGGATGACAACCTAGCCACATACAAGATAAGCCATAAAAGTAAACATTCCTTTCAATCAATGATGGCTCTTCTAGAAATTTATCCTGTGGAGTAACAGAGATGTGTGCATACTTGAGCAAGATTTTCATCATAAGGTTATTTTTAATAGCAAAAACTGAAAATAGAGCAAATGCCCAACTTAGGCTACAAGTCAAATTATGGCACATTCATATCATCATTTAAAATTATGGCACATTCACACCATCATTTAAAATCATGGCACATTGATACCATCATTTAAAATTATGTTGCATTAGAATATTTAGTAATGTGGCACATTCGCAATGCATAAGAGGAAAAAAAGCAGGTCACAAACTAAGAACCAGAATGATTTTAATTTTTTAAGTCAAATTTTCATGTGATAAGAGTACACAGGTGATCTTTATTTTCTTTTGTGCTTTTCTGTATTTCAAGTTTTCTGTAATCAATCTATATTACTTTTGTAATAAAAAAATTTAAAAACAGACACCTGGATAATTTAGAAACATTATCTAATGATGAAAGCACTTTGGAAAGAGGATGCACATGGCTAAAAGCAGAAAGAAACAGAAGTCACATCTCAGATGAATATACTTCAGACCTTTTGGCCATATGGGAAAACATTAATACATTTCTTACAAAGATCACAAAACTGGCACAGAAACATACAGCACCAATGCTTTCAGCTGCTTAAATATTTGTTAGGTATATGCTATAGTATAGATGTATCCCTCTCTACTCCCCACTCCCCAAATCCCTAAGTTGAAATCCTAACCCCCAAGGTGATAGTATTAGGAGGTGGAGCCTTTGGGAGCTGATTAGATCATGAGGGAAAGGCCCCCATGAATGGGATTAGTGCCCCTATTAGAGAGGCCTTGGCGAGATCCCTTGCCCCTTTTGCATTGTGGGGACACAATGAAAGACCTCTATCTATGAATGAGGAAGAAGGATCTCACTGGACACCTTATATGCCAGAGCCATGATCTTTGACTTCAAGATGTTGAAAAATCCATGCTTCCAAGAATGTTGAAAAATAAATATTTGTTGTTTACAAGCCACCCAGTTTGCGGTAGCTTGTTATAGCAGCCAGAACTAAGACCCTATAAATAGGATTATGTAGGGTCTGACTTATTTGACTAAAGCCAGGCAGTATGGAATTTGATTTGCCATACTAAATACTTCATCTGAACTTGTGGGAAAACAGCTACAGAAAAGCTACTCTAAGTTGGCCAGAGAATATAACCCCCAGAGAACTGCATTAATTAACCCACTGAATAGCTCCTTCTGATAATTGTTAATATATCCAATTATTTATGAAGGATACTCTTGAACTACAGTTGAGTCAGGTTATCAGGTGAAATAAAATGTTTCACCTCTTATATGCAATGCCAAGCAAAGCATCTAATTCATGTAAAAACTATCAATTGTTTAGGTGCAAATTAAAAGTTAGGTGCAAACTAAGACCACCCTGATTTCATTTAGATGAGAAGATATTTATTTATAAGTCCAAGTTTATCTACCTTAATCTCATGGTGAATGTTACAATAAGGTCTTGAATCTGTAAGACAGAGGGGGCAGGGAATAGGTAGAATGGGGTACTCTTTTTTTTTTTTTTTTTTTTTGAGACAAAGTCTCACTCTGTCACCCAGGCTGCAGTGCAATGGCACAGTCTCGGCTCACTGCAACCTCTGCCTCCTGGGTTCAAGAGATTCTCCTACCTCAGCCTCCTGAGTAGCTGGGACTACAGGCATGTGCCACCACACCCCAGCTAATTCTTGTATTTTTAGTAGACATGGGGTTTCACCATGTTGCCCAGGCTGGTCTTGAACTCCTGACCTCAAATGATCCACCCACCTCCGCCTCCCAAAGTGCTAGGATTACAGGCATGAGCCACTGCACCTGGCAGGATGATGTACTCTTAAATGGTATTAAGACTAGAGATCCTAGAAATGCCAGATCTCTGTTCCTTGACAAATTGCTACTCTTAAAGGTAAATACCTATTAATAGAAAGCAACGTAATCTGTGGTCTAGAACTACACACAATGCAGAAAATTCTGATGACCTGGGCTGGACACAGCATCTGAGGCTTCACCCACTAGAAAATATAGCTAAATTCATATGCTATTCACCCATTAAAATGTTCATTTCTCCTCTAAATTCCCTCTCAAGAAGTCAAAATAAAGAAAATTGAACGCCTTTCAAAAGAGGCTTTAAACTGTTCTAACACATTGCTTTGTGAAATAAAGCAATGGGCAGGGGTGGGATACAAAAGGCCAAGCCAGCCTGTTTCTCTTGCAAGAGGAAAGTGAAGACATTCTGATCCTCATTTTACAAAGGAAAAACTTTTTTTTCTTCATTTTAATAATATTTTCTTGTGACAAAAATGATGCATGTTCACTTTGGAAGAACAAAAGATACAGATGATCAAAAAGAAAAAAGTTTACACTTTAATTTTGTAATATATTTTTCTATGCACATAAAAACACAAACTTGTAGAGTTTTGAGGGAACACCTAACAAACTAATAGATCTACAGTTTTGAAGAAATGGAAAGTTGCACTTTTTGTAAATAGGATTATGTGAGGTCTGATAATTTTGTAGTGTTTGTCCTACCATAAATTAAAATACATAGTTTGGGAATTAGAACCCACACCCCCTCTCAGAACAAGATTTAAATTGTTCTGGTGGCAAAAACTTCAACTGGAAGTGAAATGTGGTTATTAGGCTGCATCTATGAGGAATTATTAGAGCTGCAAAACTCAGGATGAAACTCAAAGAAAAGATAGAAGAAAGTGTATCTGCATCTCTCTCACTCCTCAACTTGGAGCCATGCCATGAGCAAATGTCCTCAACTCTGCATTCGTTATTGCCTGGCTCTCACAGTTAAAAGGCAGAGTCTTCCTGCTAAATTCTATAGAGTGGGAAGTTTCTGAAAAAAGAAATATACATTATAATTAATTTTTTTTGGAACTTTTAGTCAGCACAATAAATTTAGAAAATGGAAATAAGAACTTTAAATACTGAAAAGGGCACAGCAAATCTACTGTTCATAAATGGTAGGGTAGTCTACTTGGAAAACCTATGGGAAAACTATTGAAACAACCAAGTTTGCTAAGGTAGTTTCAAAATAATATTTAATAGTCAATTTCTTTCTTTCTGAACCATGAACACTTAGAGTTCCAGTCTTAATGGCAAAAACAGTATCACAACTAGCCAGGCATGATGGCTCATACCTATAATCCCAGCACTTTGGGAGGCCGAGGCAGACATTCAAGGTCAGGAATTCGAGACCAACCTGGCCAACATGATGAAACCCCATCTCTACCAAAAAATACCAAAATTAGCCAAGTATGGTGGCAACCCCTGTAATTCCAGCTACTTGGATGGCTGAGGCAGCAGAATAGCTTGAACCCAGGAGGTTGCAGTGAGCTGAGATCACACCACTGCATTCCAGTCTGGGTGACAGAGCAAGGCTCCATCAAAAAAAAAAAAAGTATCACAACATACAATATCTAAGAATACAATTTCGAGAAATGTGCCAAACTCTAATAAAGAAAACTAAATATCTGCAATGAAAGGCATAAGATTAATACTTGAATAAATAGACAACTACAACATGTCAATGAATGAATACACTTAATGAAATGCATGAAGTCTCTTCAAAAATTTTAAACTTAATTCTAAGAAATCTCATTGAAATTTTGGAACTTACAAAAACAATTCTAAACTTTCAGGAAAAAAATAGAAAAAAAGTCTGAAAGGAGACTAACCAGGGGAGACCCGTCTTAAAAAACATTAAAATGAATTTAAAAGTAACTTAAAAGTAATAAAAATGGCTGACTAAAAAAAATCAACTTTGTCAGTAACCAAAAATGGATGTGAAACAATCAGACTCTATGTTTAGCTTTTTGATGAGAAAAAATTTTTGTACTTAACCATCTTTCAAGGATTGACATTTGAGTTAATAACCACACAGAATCCTAAGAGTTATATAATTAGAAAGTATGGAAAAAAAAGACACTACCACACTCTGAGTTGAAACATATATTGATACTTTTCTGGAGGTCAATTTAACAAAAGCCATTTTAAAAAATGAAGACTTTCTTTGATGAAAAGAATGAGAAATAACTGAACAATTCATGATAATCTTTCTGAATTTCAAAGAAAAAGAATTTGACAAGCATGCAGTTAGCCAGCTTACCTACAAAGGAAGAAAAACAGGCTGGTTTCAGGCTTCTTTGGCACAGGAAATGTCAAAAGAAATCAAAATAATCTAAAAATAGGAAAATTACTAAGAAAGCAACATAAATGAACACTCTTTCTTGGTAGTAAGACTATAACTCTTTTTAGGCTGAGTTTTCTGTATTAAGAATTACTTTCACCATTTAAAATAAAAGTTATGGCTCCCACTCTCCTGCCATAAATAACTAGAAAATTGGGAAAATGTATGAAACAACAATTTAGAGCTGTTGAATAACAATGCAGAACTGAGAGGTGAGCCTTGAACCCACCCCTCCTACACCCTGCCCACCTTACAGTCTGGAGAGCTTTCAGGATATGGTGTAGGAAGAAGTAACAGAAACAGCCTGGCAGTCTAGATGAATTGAGGAGACAGATTCTGAGATGATGAGGATGCTAAAATTTGCAGGATTGAATATGGAAAAGGAGGAGTGACACAGAAATAGCTCTAGAGATCTGCAGAGGAACTCCCTTAAGTTTCTAGATGAGTACTGATTTGCGCAAGTGGAGAGAAGTTCTTTGAGGCTGGAGAAACAAACAAGAAGCAACAGGCTGAACAATACTCCAAACTCACACAGGGCTAGGAACAGTAGGAGTACTTCGTAATACATTGAGTCAATCCTTAGAAAGGTAATGCTTCAGTGGTGGGGCTAAATTAGCCCTAGATTGAAGGCTGTTCTGGACCTGCAGGTCTTGGTCTGCTCAGGCTGCCATAACAAAATACCATAGACTGGGTGGCTTAAATGACAGAATTTTTCTTACAGTTCTGGAGGCTGGGAAGTCCAAGATTAAGGCATAGGTTGAACATCACAAATCCAAAAATCTGAAATTTGAAATGCTCCCAAATCCCAATCTTTCAATGCCAACACGATGCCACAAGTGGAAAATCCCATACCTGACTTTATGTGATGAGTCACAGTCAAAACACAGTCAAGACTTTGTTTCATGCACAAAATTATCTAAAATATTGTATAAAATTGCCTTCAGCTTATGTGTATAAGGTATATATGAAACATATATGAATTTCATATTTAGACTGGGATCCCATCTCCAAGATATCTCATTATGTACATGCAAATATTCAGATAAGGGATACTCAACCAAGCATTTCAGATAAGGGATATTTGACCTGTACTACCCAATTTGGTTCCTGGTGAGCACTCTCTTTGATGGCCACCTTCTTGCTGTGTACTTATATGGCCTTTTCTCAGGGTGTTCCCGTGGAGAGAGCAAACTCTCTAGTGTCTCTTCTTATAAGCTATTCATCCCATCATAAGGACCCCACCTTCATAACCTAATCTAACTTTAATTACTTCCTAAAGACCCCATCTCCTAATATCATCATATTGGAGGCTGGGGCTTAAATATATAAATATAGGGAGAACATAATTAAGTCTATAATACCCACTCTAATACAGCTTAAAAGAAAAACTCAAAATGATCAAATTGAGTCAAAGTAATTTATATGTAAAGCCCAACAATGAAATATTCACAATGGTCTAGCATCCAGTCAGAAGTTACCAGCCATGTGAAGTGGTAGAATATGATCATGTTAGGGAAAAAAATCAATAGGAAAAAAAAAACAGAAATGGCACAGATAATAAAACTAGACAAGCCCTCTAAAACAGTTATTACAAACCTTATACATATGCTTATGTCCATAAAGAAATTATTAACATAATGAATAGAAGAAATGAGTATATTAAAAAGACCCACGTGGAATACCTGAAGATTAAAAATGCAACATCTGAATGAAAAATAATCTGGATGGAATTAGGTTACATTCTGGAGAAAAGATTAACCAGTTTGAAGACAGCAATTGAAACTATATAAAATGAAGCACACAGTGGGGAAAAAAGAGAATTGTAATGAAAGAGTGTCAGTGACCTGCAAGAAAATAACAAGCAGTCTAAAATAGATGTGATTGTACTCCAAAAGAGGAGAGAAAAATATTTGAAGACAAAATTTCTAGATTTCATGAAAATTATAAACCCACATACAAGAAGCTCAATGATATAAGAAGCTCAATGAATCTCATGCAGAAAAAAAATAAAGAAAAGTACAACAAGGGATACTACAATCAAACTGTGGAAAACCAAACAAAGAGAAAATCCTGAAAGCATCAGAGGGAAAAAACACATTATGTACAGAACAAAGATAAGAATTATTACAGACATTGTCAGAAACTACGAAGACAAAAAAATGGAATAACATCTCTGAAGCACTAAAAGGGGGCAAAAACTATCACACCAGATAGAATTCTATACCTGGAAAAATAATATTTCAAAATGAAAATGACAAATAGACTTTTTCAGATGAATAAAAGCTAAGAATATACACCACTAGCAGATTTATCTTACAGGATATGTTAAAATTTTCCAAGCAGAAAGAAAATTATACTGGAGAGAAATTTAAACAGAAAGAATTGGAGAGCATCAGAAATAAGTGTAAGTAAACAAGTTTTTTTCATTTTTAATCTCTTAAAATTTGACTTTTATGTTTTTAATATTTTAGTATTAAAATAAATATTTCTATTTACCTTAAACATTTTCTAAGCAAAAATAACAATGTATTAAGAGGTATATAAAATGAGAACTAAAATGTATCACAATAAGAGCACAAAGGATGGAAGAGGGGAAATGTAAATTTACTGTCCCGAGGTTCTTACATTTTATATGAAATGTTATAATATTATATGCAGGTCAATTGTGATAAGTTAAAAATATAGGTTGAAAACCCTAAGGCATCCACTAAAAATATAAAACAGAAAAATATAGATAATAAAAAAGATAAAGTGGAATCCTAAAAAAAACACTTAACCAGGTACAAGGCAAAGAGTGTTCCCTCCCACTGCTTTGCAACATCTTGCTGGAGTCCTAGCAAATGCAGTAAGTCAAGAAAAGGAAATGAAACAAACAGACTGGGAAGGAAGAAATAAAACTGTCCTTTATTCACAGATCACATCATCTATGTAGAAAATAGGACAGAATTTTTTAAAAACTCCTGGAACTAATTAGCAATTATAGCAAGGTTGCAGGATGCAAGGTTAATGTACAAAAGTCAATCATTTTCCTATATTCCAGTAATAAGTGAAATTTGAAATTTAAAAAATACTATTTACATTAGCACTCCCCCAAATATAATACTTAAGTATAAATCTAAAAAAATATGTACAAGATCTGTATGAGGAATACTACAAAACTCTGATGAAAGATATCAAAGAAGAAATAAACGGATAATTATTCCATGTTCATGGATAGAAAAACTCAATATTGTCCAGATGTTAGCTCTTCCCAACTTGATTTATAGATTCTATTCAATCCCAAACAAAATCTCAGCAAGTAATTTTGTGAATATCAACAAACTGATTCTGAAGTTTATATAGGAGGCAAAAGATCCAGAATAGCCAACAAAATATTGAAGAATAAAGCCAGAGGATTGACACTACCCAACTTCAAGACTTATTGAAAAAGCTACAGTAACCAAATAGTGTGGTACTGGTGAAAGAACAAATAGACCAGTGGAACAGACTAGAGAACCTAGACATAGACTCACATAAATACAGTGAACTGATCTTTGATAAAGGAGCAAAAGCAACCAATGAATCAAACATAGTCTTTTCACAAATGGTACTAGAATTGAACATCCACTTGCAAAAAAACCCACAAAAACGACCCCACACACACATATCTAGACCTTACACCCTTCACAAACATTAACTTAAAATGGATCATAGACCTAAATGTGAAATTCAAAACTATAAAACTCTTTGAAGATAACATAAGATAACACTAGCTGACTTTGGATAAGGCGATGAGTTTCTAGAAACAACACCAAAGGCACAATACATGAAAGAAATAATTGATTGCCTGGTCTTAAGATTAAAAACTACTTCTCTGTAAGACAAGTCAAAAGATTGAGAAATAAGCCACAGAATAGAAGAAAATATTTGCAAGACACATCTGATAAAAGACTATTATTAAAAACAAAACAAAACAAAGAACTCTTAAAACTCAGCAATAAGAAACAATCCAATTTTTAAAAAATGGGCAAAATACCTGAACAGACCTCTCACTAAAGAAGATATACCAGATGGCAAGTAAGCATATGAAAAGATGTTCAATATCATGTCATGAGGGGATTTCAAATTAAAACAGCAATAAAATATCACTATACAGTATTAGAATGGCCAAAATCTAAAACACTAGCAACACCAAATGCTGACCAGCAATGGGGAACAACAGAAACATTCACTCATCACTGGTGAGAATGCAAAATGGTACCACCACTTTGGAAGGCAGTTTAGCAGTTTCCTATAAAAACAAACATATCTTTATCTGACAATTTAGCAACTGTACTCCTTAGTATTTACCCAAATGAATTGAAAACTGCTATCCACACAAAAAACCCACACACGTTTATAGCAACTTTATGAGGAAACAAGCAAGACGTCCTTCAGTACAAGTGGATAAACTGTGGTACCAGACAATGGAATATTACTCAGTGCCAAGAAGAAATGCATTATAAAGCCATGAAAAGACATAAAGGAACCTTAAATGCATATTACTAAGTGAAAGAACCCAATCTGAAAGGCTACATGCTGTAGAAGTCCAACTATATGACTCTCTGGAAAAAGCAAAACTATAGTGACAGTAAAAAGATCAGTGGTTACCATGGGATTAAGAGACGAGACAGATGAACAGGCGCAAGCACAGAGGACTTTTAGGGGAGTGCAACTATTCAGTATGACACTACAATAGTGGATATATGTCATTACATATTTGTCAAAACCTGCAGAATGTACAACACCAAGAGCAAACCCTCCTACCCCCCACCTCCTCCTGAACAGGTGCTGGTATTCACGGCTGAGAGACCTCATTGTTGCAAGATGAATGCAACAAATAGCAGGATTAATGCAATAGTACCTCACATCTCAAAACTAACATCGAATGCAAATGGCCTAAATGCTCCACTTAAAAGATACAGAACTGCAGAATGGATAAGAATTCCACAACCAACTATCTGCTGCCTTCAGGAGACTCACCTAACACATAAGGACTCACATAACTTAAAGTAAAGGGGTGGAAAAGGCATTTCATGCAAATGGACACCAAAAGCAAGCAAGGGTAAGTATTCTTATATCAGACAAAACAAACTTTAAAGCAACAGCAGTTAAAAGAGACAAAGAGGGACATTATATAATGGTAAAGGGCCTTGTCCAACAGGAAAATATCACAATCCTAAACATATATGCACCTAACACTGGAGCTCCCAAATTTATAAAACAATTACTAATAGACCTAAGAAATGAGATAGACAGCAACACAATAATAGTGGAGGACCTCAATACTCCACTGACAGCAGTAGACAGGTCATCAAGACAGAAAGTTAAAGACACAATGGATTTAAACTATACCTAGGAACAAATGGACTTAACAGATATATACAGAACATTTCATCCAACAACTGCAGAATACACATTTTATTTAACAGGGCATGGAACTTTCTCCAAGATAGACCATATAATAGGCCATAAAACGAGCCTCAATACATTTAAGAAAATTGAAATTATATCAAGCACTTTTTCAGACAACAGAGGAATAAAACTGGAAATCAACTCCAAAAGGAACCTTAAAAACCATGCAAATACATGGAAAATTACCTGCTCCTGAATGATCATTGGGTCAAAAATGAAATCAAGATGGAAATTAAAAAATTCTTCAAACTCAATGACAATAATGACACGGTCTATCAAAAACTCTGGGATACAGCAAAGGTGGTGCTAAGAGGAAACTTCATAGCCCTAAACGCCTACATCAAAAAGGCTGAAAGAGCACAAACTGACATTCTAAGGTCATACCTCAAGGAACTAGAGAAACAAAAACAAACCAAACCCAAACCCAGCAGAAGAAAGGAAATAACCAAGATCAGAGCAGAACTAAATGAAATTAACAACAACAAAAAAATACAAAAGATACATGAAGCAAAAAGCTGGTTCTTTGAAAAGATAAATAAAATTAATAGACCATTAGAAAAATAAACCAAGAAGAGAAGAGAGAAAATCCAAATAACCTCATCAAGAAATGAAACAGGAGATATTATAACTGACACCACTGAGATACAAAAGATTATTCAAGGCTACTACAAACACCTTTATGCACATAAACTAGAAAACCTAGAAGACATGGATAAATTCCTGGAAAAATACAACCTGCCTAGCTTAAGTCAGGAAGAATTGGATACCCTGAACAGCCAATAATAAACAGTGAAATTGAAATGGTAATTTAAAAATTACCAACAAAAAAAAGTCCAGGAGAAGACAGATTCACAGCAGAATTCTAATAGACATTCAAAGAAGAATTGGTACCAATCCTTTTGACACTATTCCACAAGCTAGAGAAAGAGGGAAGCCTCCCTAATTCATTCTATAAAACCAGCATCACCCTAATACCAAAATCATGAAAGGACATAACAAAAAAAGAAAACTACAGATCGATATCCCTGATAAACATAGATGCTAAAATCCTTAACAAAAATACTAGCTAACCAAATGCAACAACATATCAAAAAGATAATCCACCATGATCAAGTGAGTTTCATACCAGGGAGGCAGGGATGGTTTAACATATGCAAGTCAATAAATGTGATACACCACATAAACAGAATTAAAAACAAAAATCACATGATCAACTCAATAGATGCAGAAAAAGCATTCAACAAAATCCAGCATTGCTTTATGATTAAAACTCTCAGCAAAATCGGTACACAAGGGACATAGCTCAATGTAATAAAAGCCATCTATGACAAACCCACAGCCAACATAATACTGGATGGGTAAAGTTGAAAGCATTCCCTCTGAGAGCTGGAAGATGACAAAGATGCCCACTCTCACCACTCCTCTTCAACATAGTACTGAAAGTCCTAGCCAGAGCAATCAGACAAGAAAAATAAATAAAGGACATCCAAATCAGTAAAGAGAAAGTCAAATTGTCATTGTTTGCTGACAATATGATCATTTACCTTGAAAACCCTAAAGACTCCTCCAGAAAGATCCTAGAGCTGATAAAAGAGTTAAGCAAAGTTTCCAGATACAAGATTAATGTACACAAATCAGTAGCCCTTCTATACACCAAAAGTGACCAAGCGGAGAGTCAAATCAAGAACTCAACCCCTTCACAATAGCTGCAAAAATAACAAAATACTTAGGAATATACCTAACCGAGGAGGCAAAAGACCTCTACAAGGAAAACTACAAAACACTGCTGAAAGAAATTATAGATGAAACAAACAAATGGAAACACATCCCATGCTCATGGATGGATAGAATCAATATTGTGAAAATGACCATACTGCCAAAAGCAACCTACAAATTCAACGGAATCCCCATCATAATATCACTATCATTCTTCACAGAATTAGAAAAAACAATTCTAAAATTCATATGGAACCAAAAAAGAGCCCGCATAGCCAAAGCAAGACTAAGCAAAAAGAACAAATCTGGAAGCATAACACTACCTTATTTCAAACTATACTATAAGGCTATAGTCAACAAAAAAGCATGCTACTGGTATAAAAATAAGCACATAGACCAATGGAACAGAATAGAGAACCCAGAAATAAACCCAAATACTTACAGCCAACTGATCTTTGACAAAACAAACAAAAATATAAAGTGGGGAAAGGACACCCTTTTAAACAAATGGTGCTGGGATAATTGGCTAGCCGCATGTAGGAGAATGAAACTGGATCCTCATCTCTCACCTTACACAAAAATCAACTCAAGATGGATTAAGGACTTAAACCTAAGACCTGAAACTATAAAAATTCTAGAAGATAACATTGGAAAAACCCTTCTAGACATTGGCTTAGGCAAGGATTTCATGACCAAAAACCCATCAGTAAGAAAAAAAACAAGCAATCCCATCAAGAAGTGGGCTAAGGACATGAATTGACAATTCTCAAAAGAAGATATACAAATGGCCAACAAACATATGAAGAAATGCTCAACATCACTAATGATCAGGGAAATGCAAATCAAAACCACAATGAGATACTACCTTACTCCTGCAAGAATGGCCATCATCAAAAAATCAAAAAACAGATGTTGGCATGAATGCGGTTAACAGGGAACACTTCTATGCTGCTGGTGGGAATGTAAACTAGTATAGCTGCTAAGGAAAACACTGTGGAGATTCCTTAAAGAACTAAAAGTAGGCCAGGTACGGTGGCTTATGCCTGTAATCCCAGCACTTTGGGAGGCCGAGGTGGGTGGACTGCCTGAGCTCAGGAGTTCACAACCAGCCTGGACAACATGGTGAAACCCCATATCTACTAAAATACAAAAAATTACCTGGGCGTGATGGCGTGTGCCTGTAGTCCCAGCTACTCGGGAGGCTGAGACAGGAGAACTGCTTGAACCCAGGAGATGGAGGCTGCAGTGAGCCAAGATTGTGCCACTGCACTCCAGCCTGGGCGACAGAGCAAGACTCCATCTCAAAAGGAACTGAAAGTAGAACTACCAGTTGATCCAGCAATCCCACTACTGGGTATCTACCCAGAGGAATCATTATACGAAAAAGATACTTGCAGATGCACATTTATAGCAGCACAAATTGCAATTGCAAAATCATGGAACCAACCCAAATGCCCATCAATCAACAAGTGAATAAAGAAACTATGGTATCTATATACAATGGAATACTACTCAGCCATAAAAAAGGAATGAATCAGTGGCATTTGCTGTGACCTTGATGAGACTGGAGACTATTATTCTGAGTGAAGTAACTCAGGAATGGAAAACTAAACATCATGTTTTCACTGATATGTGGGAACTAAGCTATGAGGACGCCTAGGCATAAGAATGATACAAAGACTTTGGGGACATGAGGGGAAGGGTAGGAAGGGGGTGAGGGATAAAAGACTACAAATAGGGTGCAGTGTATACTGCTTGGGTGATGGGGGCACCAAAATATCACAAATTACCACTAAAGAATTTACTCATGTAACCAAATACCACCTGTACCTCAACCACCTGTGGAAAATAATAAAACAAACAAACAAAAACCCAAAAAACAAAATAGCCAAACCATAAACCAACTGAACTAAAAGGTAAAATAGACAAATCTATAATTATGTTTGAAAATTTCAATACTCCTCCCTCAGTAGTTCATTAAAAAAGTTAAAAAGAAATCAATGACATAACTGACTTAATTGACATTTATAGAATATTATACTCAAATATAGCAAAATACATATTCTTTTGAAGTGAATTATGAAACATTTACCTAGATAAACATATTCTGAGCCATATGAGTCTCAATAAATATATAAGGAATGAAATCTATGTTGTTGGACCACAATGAAATTCGAACAGAAACATCTCTGAAAAAAATCCCCAAATATTTGGATATTAAACAACACACTTCTAAATAATCCATGATACAAAGAAAAAACCAAAAGGGAGATTAGTAAATTTTGACCTGAAAATGAGTTTTCCTATCAAATTTGAATTTCATATCAAAGTTTGGGAGATGTAGCTATAGCAATACTTAGAAGAAATTTATAACCTTAAATGTTTACATTAAAAAGGGAGCAAAATCAATGACCAAACTTCTACCTTAAGAGCAAAGAGGAAATTAACCCAAAGTAAACAGAAGTTACAAAACAATGAGAACAGAAATCAATGAAATAAAAAGTGGAAAAATAAAAAAAATTATCAAAACTAAAAACTTGTTCTTTGAAAAATACAGCCATGCATCTTTTAACAATGGGGATACATTCTGAGAAATGCATTATTAGGTGATTTCATTGTTGTACAAACATAGAATGTACGTAACACAGACCTAGATGGTATAACCTTACTACACACCTAGGATATATGGTACAGCTTATTGCTCCTAGGCTACAAACCTGTACAGCATGTTACTGTACTGAATACTATAGGTAACTGTAACACAGTAGCATTTGTGTATCTAAACACAAGAGGTACAGTAAAAATACAGTATAAAAGATAAAATGGCACATCTGTATAAAGTACTTACCATAAATGGAGCTTGCAGGGTTGTACGTTGCTCTGGGTGAGTGGGTGGTGAATGTGTAGGCCTAGGACATTATTGTACACTACTGTAGACTTTATAAACATCATACACTTAGGCTATACTAAATTTATCTTGTCATGTGGTAAGGTGTTCAGGGACAATAATATGCATGGAGCTGTCATCACCTATGATAACAATGCCTTCCTTCTGGAATACTTCCTGAAGGAAATGCCTGAAGCTGTTTTACAATTAATTTTTTTAGTAAGGAGTGCACTCTAAAATAATGGTACAAAGTACAGTAAAAACACAAACCCATAACATGGTTGTTGATTGTCATTATCAACTATTATGTATTGTACATAATTGTGCTATATATATGACTGTCACCACAAATGTAAGTGTTGCATTGCACTATGTTGTTACAACAGCTACATCACCACCAGGTGGCAGGAATTTTCCAGTTCTGTTATAATTTTGTGGAACTACTGTTGCACATGCAGTCTTGTTGACACAAGTGTCATTATGTGGTGCATGACTGTGTATAAGTGAATAAATCTTTAGTGAGACTGATATGTGTATGAGAGAGATAGAGACAGATAAAGAGCAAGCATCACAGACCCTAAAGACCTTAAAATGTTACTGGGAGAACATTATGAACAACTTTATTTCAATAAATTTGACAACCTAGATGAAATGGACAGCACCTCGAAAGACAAGGTACCAAGGCTCATTTAAAAAAAAAAAAAGAAAGCATAAAATACAAAATAGCCCTATATCTGTTAAAGAAACTGAATTTGTTGTTTAAAACCTTTCTGCAAAGAAAGCTCCAATTTGGTTCACTGATAAATCCTATGAAATATTTAAGAAAAACAAATACCAATGCTACACAAACTCTTTCAGAATAAAGAGGTGGAAAAAAACTTCCCAACTCCTTTCACAAGAGGCCTGTATTAAAATGATTCCAAAACCAGATAAAAGCATTACAAGAAAACTACAGAATATATCTTATAAACATAAATGCAAAACCCTTAAAATATTAGCAAACTGAAGGTAGCAACATATAAAAAGGATACTATATGATGACCAAGCAGGATTCATCCAGAAATATAAGGTTGGCTGAATATAAAACCAAGAAAAGAAATTTTTAAAAAACAAAAGTCCTATAATAATTTCAATGTATGGAGAAAGAACATGACAAAATTCAACATACATTCAGGAAAAAAATTCTGAGAAACTAGGAATAGGAGGGAATTTTCTCAACCTGATAAAAGGCATCTAAAAAGCTACAGTTAATATCATAATTATGAAAGACTGAATATTTTCCCCATATAGTTAGGAACAAGTCAAGATTTTCCACTCTCACATTTATATAATATTATATAATACTAGAGAGCCTACACTGTGTGGTAAGGGTTGGAGGAAAGGCAGATAGATTGAAAAGGAGGAAGTAAAACTGTCTTTACTCTCAGATGGCATGACGGTCTATGCAGAAAATCCAAACTCTACAAAATAGCTGCTAGAATGATTTGAATTACAGAACTGAGTTTATCAAGTACCATGACTCAAGGTCACAGGATACAAGGTCAACATACCCAAAAAAAAAAAAACCAATTGATTTTCTATTAGCAATGATTAGAAATTTTAAATACCATTTATAATAGCTAAAAAATATGAAAGGTGTAAAGGATAAGTTTAACAAAATATGCGCAAGCTTTATGCATTGAAAACTATAAAACATTGCTGAGAGAATGTAAAGACCTAAATAAATGAAGATATACCATGCTTTTGAATCAGCAGACTTGATACTGTTAAGATGTCATTTTCCCCCCAAACATATCTATAGATCCAATGTGATTCTAATGAAGATCACAATCTTATTTATTTCTGGCAGAAACTGACAAGTTGATTTGTATCAAATTAAATGTATCTGCAAATGCAAACCTAGAATATCCAAAGCACTTTTGAAAAATAACAAAGTTGCAAGACTTAACTACAGTCATGGGCTGCATTATGACTTATGGTCAACAATAGACCACCTGTATGATGGTGGTCCCACAAGATTATAATACTGTATTTTTTCTGTACCTTTTCTATGTTTAGATACACAAATACCCCGTTGTGTTACAACTGCCTACAGCATTCAGTCCAATAACATGCTATAATGGTTTGTAGCCTATGAGCAATAGGCTATACCATATAGCCTAGGTGTGTAGTAGGCTATATACCACCTAGGTTTATGTAACTGCATTCTATGATGATCATACAATGATAAAATCACCTAACAACACACTTCTCAGATCATATCCCTGTCATTGACACAGGACTATATATGACAAAGATATTATAAAGCTACAGGAATAAAGATAGTACAGTATTGGCAAAAACAGAAATGTAGATAAATGGACCTGAACAGAGTCTCAAAATAGAACTACACATGTGTGAGGTGAATGGAGGTGCCAAATTAATAAGGAATAACTGTCTATATGCAGAAAACTTTGATCCATGCCTGGTACCTTAGGCAAATCTGGCTTGAAATGGATAATATACCTAAATATAAGAACTGAAAACATAAAACTTCAAGAAAAACGTAGGAGAAAAACTTGTAACTTCGATTAAAATCCATTAGATAGGCAAGAATAAAAGAAAAATATGGGCCAGGCGTGGTGGCTCACATCTGCAATCCCAGCACTTTGGGAAGCTGAGGCAGGCAGATCCTGAGGTCAGGAGTTCAAGACCGGCCTGACCAACATGGTGAAACCCTGTCTCTAATAAAAATACAAAAATTAGCCAGGTGTGGTGGCTGACGCCTGTAATCCCAGCTACTCAGGAGGCTGAGGCAGGAGAATCACTTGAGCCCGGGAGACGGAAGTTGCAGTGAGCCGAGATCGCACCATTGCACTCCAGCCTGGGTGACAAGGTGAGACTCCCTATCAAAAAAAAAAAAAAAAAGAAAAAAAGAAAAGAAAGAAAAATATGAATAAATTAGACTGTATCAAAATTAAAGACTTTTCCACAACAGACAGGATTAAGGAAATGAAGAAGCAAACATCGGCCAGGAGAAAATATTTACAAAACACGCCTCTGATAAGGACTTACATCTAGAATATGTAAATTTTTCCAATTCAATACAATGACAACACAGTTTTATAAAATGGGCAAAATATTTGAATAGACACTTCAAAAAGGAAATACAAATGGCAAACACGCATGTGAAAAGATGCTCAACATTATCATTAGATTATTATGATCCAACTTAAAACCATGAGATAGCACTACACACCCACTCAAATGGCTAATATTTTTAAAACTGACAATCCCAAATGTTAACAAAGATGTGTAACAACTACAACTCTCATACATATCTAATGGGAAAGGAAAGTCATACAGCCACTTTGGAAAACAATGGTAATTTCTTATCAACATACACTTACTATATGATGCAGTAATCCAACCCCCAGGTATTTACACAAGAGAAATGAACTATGGCCATACAAGATGTATGCAAATAATGACAGTGGCTTTATAAGTAAAGGACCAAAGAGGAAATAACCCAAATGTCATCTAATGGGGAAGGTATAACAAATTTACGTGTATCTGTATAATGGACTAACACTAAACAAGAAAAAGGAACAAATTACTGATATATACATCTTGGATAAACCTCAGAAGTATTCTACTAAGTTAAAGAAGCCAAACACAAAAGATTAGATATTGTTTGATTCCATTTATATGAAATTCCTGGAAAGCCAAAATCATAGAAAGCAGTGGTTGTCTGTGGCTGCAGTTGGGGAAAGAAACTACAAAGTGGCATGAAGGAGCTTTTTTGGGGATGATGGAAATGTTCTGTTTTTTATTTTGATGGTGATTGTATAATTATATATTAATCAAAACTCGAACTGTGCACTTAAAATGAGTAAATTTTACTACATGTAAATTATGTTACTAAAGCTAATTTTAGTAGAAATCAGGCATTTTCATGTTTTGAACTTAATTTCCACGTGCTCATTCTGAGCTCTAACTTAAGTTGTTAACATGATGATTTAGTCAGGCATTTATTGGTTATATTCTAATAGTTTTTATTCAAAGTCCTTCAGCATTACAGTCACAGAAAAATACCAGGATTATTATGCTCAGGGACAGCCATTCAGAAGATATTTGTGAGGTAAATTGCAAATATGCTTCTGTAACTTTGGTGAGGAACTGGAACTAGAGATACAGATTTGGGAGTTGGGAGTCATTTGCAGAAAATAGTGGAAACTGTGGAGTTGATAAAATTGTACTCTTCTTTCACTCCACTTCTCACTTCTTACTAATCTACAGAACCATAGGAAATGCTTAGTCAAATTTGAAATAAGTGAATGACTTCAGTTTTTAAAAGGTCAACTTTTCCATCAGATCAAAGTGTTAACACCACTGAATTTAAAAACATCGTATATTTATATCTCCAAATTCTTATCTCTCACCTGGTTTAATTTTTCAGTGTGATTCAGTCTTGAAGTCTCCACTACATTTAACTTGGAAGTCTTTTCCATGCTCATTATTTGCTTCGGTGGTTCCATGTTTGAAGTGGGTTGTGAAAAGCATGGCTTTGCTACCGGAAAGCCTGTGGAGTATGACCCTTGTTTCATTCTAAATGGCTGGGTAAAAATTTTACCTTTTGTGAGTAATAGAAGAAGAAAGAAAAATTGTCACTAGCAACTTCTATTTCATTTTCCGGTGGCTACATACAGAGGCTACTGTGAGCTAACTGCCTTCAACTTAGAAGCAAAAATTAAGAAAAGAAAGCTGACATTTTTACATCAAGCCAAAACTTACATATAGTGTAAGTTATTAGTCATCCATAGAGGAAGACAGAGATCATTAAGTGTTACCAAAAGCTTGGGGCTATCTAAAAGTCCACTTAAGGTCACCTGAATCTAATTATAGAGAGGTGGGATTCAATATGTAAAAAGCTGTATCCCATTTAGGAGACAAAAAAGTCTCCAAGGAGCCTGCTTAGCACTATGCTTTTCAAACTGGATAACCACTAGTAGTAGTACCACAGTTCTGGGAGGATGAAAAGCTACAGAATAAAATATAAAATATAAATTCTTCAAGATTTGTAGGAAGGGGGAATACCACTGGAGAGGTGTATTCTGT
Organism: Homo sapiens; assembly: GCF_000001405.40. Lineage (NCBI taxonomy): Eukaryota > Metazoa > Chordata > Mammalia > Primates > Hominidae > Homo > Homo sapiens. The sequence continues at coordinate 179,595,142 of NC_000001.11, read as the reverse complement.
TGCATGACATGAAAGATACATCACCAGACTTCACCACAGCCTAGCTCTTCCTTTACCCTAAGGTCAAGTTCACCAAAAAAAAACAAAAACAAAAAACAAAAAAACAACAGTTGACTTCAAGATATCCTGATGACAGAAGTAGGAACCATGGATGGAGAACATGAACAAAATCACTGGAAAGGAATATTCACCCCCCACTATTCAATAAATTGGTAAAGTGCTTTCTACAACTCAATCTCTTGCAAGTGTAATAGTATGAGTTAGTCTTCCCAAGTTTTAGGACTTCAAGAATACTGATAAAGTTGAGGGCTAGACTTGAAACACTTAGTGGCCTCCAGAGCCTTCCCTATCCAAGTATATCCTCATATCCTCAAACTACATCACCTACCACAGTGTAAATATTGGTTTATAAACTTGTGACACATCCTCTTGGTTCACCTATGTTAATCTAAATGCAGAAGTTGGAGAAAAAGAAAATCACTGAAATAAGCATAGAATTCTCCCAAGTAGGCTCCGCCTATGCTCAGTGTGTAAACTGTACATTGTCAAGGGAGATACTACCCAGATGGTCACACTGGTCTCTTGAGCCTTTAATAGACACAGCATTTGGGCAGAAATTCACTGGATGGGCAGCAATAAGAGCTGGGTATCTAACTCTAGCTGTACCACTTTTCCAGCCATGTGACTTTAGAAAAGCCATTTAATTTTCCTTAGCTTTGATCTCCCTATCTATAAGACACAGTTACTTACCCTACCTAGTATGGTAATGAGAATGCAAGGTAAAATGCTATACAGATAAGGTGGTTATTATTACACCACAAAAGTTACCAAAGTGTCTCCTAGGATAAGCCCCAGTGATGGCAAAGATTAGAAGGGTTAAGGCTAATAATTTAAGTATTTTAACTTTTCATTTTCCATATAGCTTATTTATATGAACACATTCATGTAAAGTTCATTTACAGTGTTCTAGAGAGAGCTGATCTTGTAGTTTTTAAAATAATAATAGCTACCACTTATTATCAGCTTACTAAATGCCAGAGATTTTACAGAACTCACCTCATGTAAGGTCCTCAACACAACCCTGAGAGGGAAATACTGTTATTTCTATTTTAAAGATGAGGAAAACTAAGGCTTAAGTAGATTGAACAGTTCGCCTGAGACCACTCAGCTGGCAAGTAGTAGAGCCAGGCTTCAACTCTAACGAACTCATAGACCTTAGTGATTACACACCCCTCTATGTGCCATGACTGCTCCAACATTTGCTCACATGCGTACCTGCTGGACATCCTCTCGGCTTTTCCTCTGTTACACTCTTCTTTAGCATCAACAAAGAACCTGCTCTGGTCTGCTCTACAGAAATGACATCTGAAGCCGCATTAAGCACTTCAAACATAGAGAGAAATCCATATTGCATGTATTGGAATGATCGTCCAAATCTTTTGGCAAATGCCTTTTCAAAATCAGAAAGAAGAACAGGAGATAACGCCAACAGGTCCTTCAACTCACTCTTCACAACAGCTGGAAGAATAGGGGCAACCCTTCCTCGGTAAGGTACTCGCCGATGAGATCTCGGTCCAGAATAAATACTAGGTCTTCCCTTATGCATTGAGTTTCGAAGCTTATGGCTGCTCCTCTGTTTTGCAACTAAGCTTGCTATTCCTTTGGTAGATTCATCTGGAATGGCTGAGACGTGAAAAATAGAAATCATATTTAGGAGGAAAACTTACTCCCTTCTTTATCCTTAGTATCTGTGTTTATACAGTTTTTAACTCTCCAAGGAGCTGTTTATCCAGGCAGCACGATAAACAGTAACTCTTGGTTCCTCGATTTCTTGCATTTTGGGCAACAGCTTGCTAGCTCTCCTGCCAGCTGAAGAAAAGTTAACTCAATGTATTATCATTACAACTAATTGACCCCTGACAGATTTTTTGAAACTCTTGGGATGAACTGCAAACTTCCCTACAATAGTTTTTTCTTGTGCTTCACGAAATTTAAAACATGTTTTTATAATTAAGAAGTCCTTTTTTTGTTTCTCTCGACTTAAGGTGCAAGAACCTGAAATCATATGTAAAAATGTAGCTTTTGTGAGTGCACGATTGTTTGGGGGAATGGTTTGTTAATTTTGCAGAGGTTCCAATTTTGCCCACAACCTCAAAAGCACCTATGAGTCTCCCTCCCCCACCAAATTAAAATCCACTGGCTGGGATGCATAATAACTGCAGAACTAGAATAATTATTTACTAAGCAATTGTTTTTATTACAAAGTTTATAGACCTTCAAAAATCTTAAACCTACCTTTCAGTATTACAGTACCACCTGCACCGGGGCAGACACGAACAACATCAGGCATGTCCAATACCAGCTCCATAGTGGACCGATACCCAAGGATTCGGAGTGGTAGATGGTTGCCAACCATCAAAAGGTACTCCTTCTCCAACTCCTGTGGGCTCAAACCATCTTTGGTGGAAATGAGAAGTGACCTTATTTCCTTCCGCAGACATTCCTGTATACGCTCTTGTTCAGACATTGTGCCCTACAGGACTGAAGACAGAAACGCAGCTGAGGAAAAGGGGGCAAACCCACGAAAAAAGATTTAAAAAAAAACCAATAGTGGGATACAAATAACTGAGACTCCAGTTTTAAGGGTAATAAGGCAGAAGTAGTAGTATGAGGGTGCCCTGCGGCTTGCGCGTGGCCGGGCGATTCAAGCCCTGAATCTCCACCTGCGTTGATTAAGCTACAGGTGTCAAGAACTCTGCCCCTGGCCATGCGGAGGCGTTAACTGGGGTTCCTGTCGGGTGTTGGACTCCAACGCAAACTTCCCATCCGAAGCCTTCAGGGGCTCCTCGGGAACCAGGACTAGGAACTAAGGCCAACGCAATGCCGCCTCCGCCCTGCAGGGCGAGGGCCCCACGAAAAAAGGCGCTCCCGCCGCACACCTCTGGCACCCCAAGCCGAGGGGGCGCTCCCCGCTCCCTCTTACCTGAAGGTACCACCAATCTTCGCCCGCCCCCTACCTGGTCTAGGGTTGGGGTCCCTGCCCCACCCCCAACGTCTCTCGGTGACCCTCACGGGAGCGGGGCGTGGCCCTTCCACCTGCCCTGGCGGCTCTCTGCAACCTGAGGTGGAAAGGAAGGCAGGAGGCGCCAGGTGAGGCGCCCTTCTCGGCCCGGCACCGCCCTGCTGCCAGTCACCCGTCTTGCCCCCACCGCGCCCTGACGCCAGCGCTGCTGGTGCGGGCCGAGTAGAGATTAGGGGGCCCTCTCCGAATCGGCGCAGGAAGGTAGCTGCGACGGCGGCCCCGCGCGCCTGCGCACCAGCGCCCCCTGACCAGCAGGCCTCTCCCGGGGCGCCGCGTTCCAGCCCCGAGGGCACGTGGCAGGTGGGACGGTTGGGCAGGATTAGCCGCTCCGGGGTCAGGTGTGAGGTCCGCCCCAGTCTCAGGAGCCGCTGGGCCCGGCTGCAGAGGCTGGCCGCCTTCCAGGATCCCAGGCGCCTACGTCCTCCGACGCGGTGGGAAGACGCGAGGTGGGGCTGCAGCCCTTGAACCAATCCAACCACCTCCAGAGCTAGGGCCGGGCCTGACGCAGGGAGGGGAAGCGGGCCGCGTGGGCCTCAGAATCACCTGTGGGGCTATGTAAGAGGCGAAAAGGATGCACAGGTCTGATAAGCAGAGATTCTCATTCAATAGGTCTGGGTTTATTTGAGGAAAATCACAGACAGAAAATTCTGATTCTTGGCTGAGAATCCCTGCAGAGCTAAAGGCAACTCTGGCTCCCTGATGAAGGAATGGGTGGGGCTAGGAGACCTTTTTAAATGAGCGGACAACATTCTAGGTGCCACTAGAGATTTATTTGGATGTATAGTTGGTTTGGTAGAATGAGCCAGATTTATAAAGTCCTTGAAAACCAGAAAACAGTAGTTTAAGAGATATAGAATAGGGAGGGGCATTGTATAATATAAAGACTTGTACCTTAAAATGTACAGTCTAATTAAAGAAACAAGACAAACCAAAATAACCAAAGAATTTGAATCAACAAAGAGGCTTAAGCACACACAATGACCTTATCTTCCTTCTTTTTTTTTTCTTATAAAATGTAAGGTTTAATATATGACAGCAAGGAGCACCCCGGAGGCTGCCAGCGCATGTGACTTCGTGTTTCTGTGCTACATGAGACTAGTGTCCTCATCTTCCATCGTGACAACCCTTCTCTCTCCCCCAACCCTCTCCCCCGCCCACAGTGCCAACAGGCTCTGGGCAAAGCTGCCCCGTTTTCTTTTAACCTAAGGGATGCCATGGTTTGGCTGACTATGTTTGACTACCACCACTGAAGGCAGCTGATGTCTCAAGCAGCTGGATACTGTGGCGATGGGAATCAGACGAGGTACTAGCATGGAGGGCGGGGGTGCAGGGTCAAGGTCGTCTGGGTTCTCAGGAGCCAGTCTGTGCCACAGAACCATCGGCAGCTGCCTTCGTAAGGCACCTCGGTCTGGCATTCGGAAAACCACCCTGTCTTGCCAGAGCCCCTTGGTCTTGGTTAGCAAAAACTGTATCTGATCTAAATCATGCTTTCAATCAGAAGAAATCACATTCCTTCTTTTCCCTTTCTAATATATTCCAATGTGTCTATTTTTTCTCAATTTTAACAAGCAAATTGTACCACCATCTTATTCTGAGATGCTCCTTTTTAAAAGCTGTAGATCACATTAATGGAAGTGTTTACTGCTGGGAATATTTTCCATGTACAATGATTTGTAACCCTCTTATCTCAACTAGTTGCACATTATTAGTTCACATCCAGTTCAATTTATAAATTAAGAAAGGTGCCTTTTGTCTGTACAAAAATCAATGCATATTTATGAACTTCTTTTATTCAAATATATTTTCACACATCTTATCTAAATACATAAAATGCAGAAGTCCGTGTGAGTTTGGCAGTGTGGCCCAGGAGGGCCTGAGACTAACACATCCACCTTGGCAAAAGGACAGACAATGTCTCTTATGGTTGGAAAAAATAGCCTTTTGTGTGTTTATTTGGTTTACAAAATATACTCAAAATGCTATTATTAGCTGAATTTGTGATTTCCTTTTGAATTTCTGAGTTATTCTTATTTATTTTTCCCATTTTGTTTTTGCACCAAGGAGACCGCAGTCAAAAAGAAAGTTACTCAGCAACTGATTTCCTCTCTTTGGACTGAAAAATTAAACAGATACTAAATTATGACAGTGAATTTAGAAAGGAGGGCTCCAAGGGCTTGAAAGAACATATCTGGGATGATATGATGCTTCTAAGAGTACTGCAATCACATTGTGGCGATCACCGGAGCATGCCGCATAACTACCTCCTTGGCTAATCTGCTGTCTTCTTGGTGATGACTAATCCTCTTCTATTAAACAGCAGTAATGCTGGAAGAACTCAACTGTACAAGTGTAATGAAGCCAGTATTCTCCCTGGACAGATTAGCTACAACTGACTTGACACATACCATCATAAGGGCTTCAAACCTGACAAACTCTGTGCTTGCTTCTGATTTATGCCATCAAGCTCCTCAGAGAAGGGATGGAATCCAAGTGTTCCGCTTGGTAGTACTGATGTGCTTAACTGCCAGTTAAGGAAAGTTGCCCCTCCCCCTCACATCCCCGCCCCTTGTGCCACCAGAACAAGGGTCCTGCGCCGTGTGCTATCATCAAAGAGCCGAGGCCTGTCGCTCTCTCCTGCTTGTGGTTTAGGGAAATTTGAGCAAAGGAACTGCTTCTACAGTCTCCCAGCTGCCTCTTCACCCCTTGAGGATGTCCAGGTTTTGTGATTTTGTGTGGGGTGGGAGTGGGTGGGTGGGAGGGAGGCGACCACCAGGAAGAGTGAGGGGATGTGATGGGACTCACGTGCTGCGACTTCCAAGTGAGTATGCTGCGAGGCTGCCGCGTCCCAGGTGTGGCTGGCGGGCAGGCAGGCACGGCTGTTCCTCAGATGATGGTGGGCACCCTCCTGCTGCTGCTTTTCTGGTTATTGTTTCTCCTGGACAGGTTAGGGGTGGCCATGAGCACTCAGTGCTCGTTGGGCAGCCATACTCCAGGGCACATTGATGCATTCCTGCCTCGAGGCCTGCCAGGTGTAGGCCAGCACTGTGTTCCCATGGGCATCTTGGGCCATGACGTCCACCCGGTACCAGATCAGGAGCTGCACCAGGACCACACTTCCCTTGTGGCAGGCCAGATGCAGTGCAGTGCGGCCATCTCTGTCTCCCTCCCCAAAGGTTTCTTTCACCTTGTCCCAGGAGCTGTGCACCAGCAGCAGGATGGCCATCTGCCGGTCTTCGTCTGCGGTGGCCCGAAGCGGGTGCTGGCCCAGGGACAGCTCCGTGCAGGGTAGCGGGGCCAGGAAGAGCTTCTGCTCGTAGTTGGCATGGATCCATTGTTCCTTCTCTTTCCTTGTGGAGTCTACTAAGGGTTTCATCCGCCCCTGGCTGCTCTCTTCCCAGACGCTGTTGAATATCTCGTTCCCAATGGATGACATCATCTTGATAAGCTCAACTGGCCAGTCATCCAGGTCCAGAGATCAGACTCGGGAAAGGTGGGTGCCAAGATTCCAATGGATTCCTAAGCACTTGATGCACGTGAGCACTCCCAAGTTCAAACTGGCCCAGTTAGGATTCTGGGTCTCGCAGTTCACACAGTGGGAGTTCCGTGCATGTGTCAGATTGACTGCAGGGCCATGGCCTCACTCTGGTTCATCAGCTGGGACTTGTTCTTGCTGCTCTTGCACGACTGCAGGCTGGCCAGGATGGCCAGGATCTGGCTCTCGATGGCTTGGACCCAGGTGTCCTGCTCCTCATTCGTCGTGGCTTCAAAGTGCCACGTTTGGCCAGTGAGGGACACAATGATAAAGTTTTCTTGTTCTTCAGCAGTGTCAGACAGGCCATCAGCTTTGAAGTTGCTGGTGGCTTTCTGCCTATAGTGCTTCTTTCTGTTGGTGTGAGGGGAGGTGGGCTGGTGGTGCTGGAGTTACTGCGACTGGAGCATACAGAGTCACCCACCCCTTGTCACTGCTAATGGCCGAGTTTGCAATGACTGTAGCCTGACTCCACTGGTTGGCTCTGGAGACTGAGTAGGAGTGCTGGTGCATGCCATCTGGTTGGCTGTTGAAGGAGACCAGGCTGATGCCACCTGCCAACTGAGACCCAGATGCACTAGTGACATTTCCTGAATTGGGTGAGATGTGTAAACTCCTCATGTGCTTGGATAGGCCATTGGTTTTAGTCCTGGAGATGGGCACGCAGGCCGACGTGGCTTGGGGTAGCCTCTTCCCTGGGACTTTCATAGTGGTTCTCAGAAGGTCAGTCTCCTTACCATGGACATTCTGCATGTAATCATGTAAACTTGGATCATAGGTCCGCACACCATTGTCACACAGGGTGACATATTTCTTTTACCACTCTTTATTCAACGATTTGCCACTCTGCTTCAACAGCATGCCCTGTATAATTGGCATGGCTTGGCTGCTCCCAATGCCGTATGCATGACTCTCTAGGCCTTTCTACTCTTTGGGTTGCTCCCTTTCTGAGAGGTGAACAGGTTTGACCCCACTTGAACTGCTTGTGAACTGCTTGTGAATGGGTGTGGGCGTGTTGGCAGTGGGAGGAACATCCATCTGAAGTTCCTTCTGGCTGGTGCTGGGAGTCGATGGAACAGAGGAGGAATAGTTGCTTAAACTCCTACCTCCATTACTTGTCTAGTTGATGTGCATGGCGGACACCTGTGCAGAACAGACGGTGGAATGGCTTGGAGAACTGGGCAGCAACTTGCAGGGTCCTATGGGCAGCTGCTGCTTCTTCCTTGTGGCAACAATCTTCTGGGCAACCTCCTGGAAGTCCCTTTCCACGTTCAGCCCATACATAGCACACGTCTCATAGTACGTGCACCGCTTCAGGTCGTTGGAGCACTTCCTTACCCTGGCATCATCAATGACCCTCAGGTTAGTGGAACTTATGGCATCCTGGGTTCCCACCAGAACCAGAGGAATCTCGCTCATGTTCCGATAGTTGGCCATTCCACTGTAGTAAACAGTCTGGAAACTTATTTCATCCTCCAAGCTGAAAACAAATATAACTGCATCCACCGACATGGCAAACTGCGCCTCCAGGGGGTCCCCTTCATATTTAATCAGCAGCAGATAGCTCTGTCCATCAACAACAATCTCTTTCTTGAACCTGCCACCACTTTGAGCTCCGGGACAGATCGACTCAGCGTCCATTCCTAGCTGTTCACAAAGACATCTTCGATGGCAATGACGTGCTCCCGGATCTGGTTCTGAAGCACCGGCTCCTCCACGCGCTCCAGCAGCTGGTAGATGGGAGTAGACGTTGGGGTGGACCAACTCGAAGTGCTGGATCTCGGCCGGGATGGCAGCCAAGTTGGCCAGCTGCTGCTGGTAGTTCATGGTGCAGGCACCAGGCCGGGAGCTGCCTGCCCCCGCCGCCCCCGCCCCCGCCTCAGAAGCCTGGCCTCCCGCGGCGGGTGGAGGAGGCTCGAGAAAGGCGCGGGTGGAGTAGGCGCGGGGCTGGCCCGCGGTCTCAATTCATGGCAGGGACAAGCGGCTGGCGAGCCAGCAGCCAGCGAGCGGGCCGGCGTCTCAAGTCAACACGCCACCCCGGGGAAGCGCGCCCCCACCTGGAGCGCGCCCCTACCTGCAGCGCCCCACGGCGGGCGTGACGGGCCCAGGAGGAGGCTCGCTAGAGCGCCTTCCTGCGAGGCAGCCTCTTTCCAGCCCTAGGCCCCGCTCTGCCGAGCAGACATTAAAAGCCCTGGCAGCCGCTGAGCGCTGAGCTCCGAGCTCCGAGCTCCGAGCGCCAGGGCCGGGGGCGAGGGCCGATTCCCGGGCAGTGTGGCTGCGCGGCTCCGGGCGCCCGGCCGCGGCCTTCTTTCTTAAAACTGATGACATAATGCTTTTTTTTTTTTTTTTTTTTTTAAGCCAAGGGAACAAAATGTTCCATCAATGAGCCAGGAATATTGAGGAATCCCTGAAAGATTGAAAATAAGACTTATGGGCTGGTTTATAGCAGAATGGGCAGGGCTGAATAGCAAATTAACAAAAAGGAAAAGAAAATGGATCTAAACATTGCAACATTTGAATGACAAAAGCTGTATAAACAAAAACCAGCAAGAATGATGGTGAGGGTTGGGGAGTTAAAAAGAAGAAAATGTCCCAAATTTGCACCAAAACACATCTTATTAAAAGGGCCCACTTAGAGTTCTTAAAATAATTAATGAAAAAATATCCTGTTGTAGGTAAACTCTAGGAGAAAGAGAATCAAGAGATTTTTATATGGAAATGTTATCTATAAAATAATGGAAATTAGTTTGCCCTTGAATTTCTCAGTGGCAATATCTTCAGGGCTAACTCTGGAATCCTTTAGGCTAACCAACAGTAAAGTGAGAGGAAAATAAAAACGTTCTCAGACATGAAAGTATTCAGAAAGTTTACCATCTCATTGAATGACTTGAAAATGACTCCTGCAAAATGAACAACGAATTACAAAAAAGATTTCCCAGATTCTCATCCCCAACAGATGAGGCAACAGACATTGAGTACATACTATGTGCGCTCTACACAGATTATCTCATTTTCTTCCCAATAACTCTGAAAAAGGTACAATTATGATGCCCATTTTAAAGTGAAGAAACTGATATACAGATGTGAACCAGAATATATGAAAGAATGATAGGCAATAAAACATAAAATATATTATTGAATCAAAAAGTTATTGGTGCATAATATAAAAAAGAGAGGGTTTTTACAAAGATATTCTGGAGCTAAATCCCAGATCGATAACTGCAAAGCAAGTGTCAGAGGCTGTGTGAAGTTGCTTCATTAGAAAGACTCCACTGGGGAACAGTAGCTACCCTTAGAGTCCCCACTTGACTGGATTTGCAGTAACCAAGACCTATCAGTCATCTGTGGCAGCTGATCTGTGAAGTGAATGGGAATGAGGTGGGAACCATCACAGTAGCATCTTTCTCTCCTTTGATGGTAACACTTATCTCTGCAATTCTCCAGGAATGTAGCATTGCTTTTGATGTACTGTTTTGGCACCCCACTTGGTACTTCCTACCGGAATAGCCCTTACACCATGGGTGAGTGTACCAATGTAGGAATTCTGCCAGTTGCTAAGATTACCTATTCCAGCTATTCACTTGGCAACTAGGGCCCTTGACCACAGGATGAATTCACAGTCCCACTAGCCCTGCCCAAAGGTGAACCTGGGCCAGAATTCAGTTCATTTGTCACCCAACCTCTATAAGCTCAAAATGTTGATGGCAAACAGCAACATTTTGGGTCCCAGAAATTAGTGTTAGTTTGGGATTTGCATATGATAGTCACTAAAAAGTTTGGGTATTTCCTTTTCTCCAGAGCAATTATCTATAAGGGAGCACAAACTCTTTGGGGAGATGAAAGTTTGCTTGCAGTCTTAGGTACAATATTTCCACAGCGTCCTTATACAAGAATATTTGGGCTATGCTCAAAAGGCTGTGGATCTGGGATCTGATTTAGTGCCGGTAATGGGGTGACAAGTTGTATCTCTCTTGCTCAGGAGAGGTCTCTGTTCCCCAGACATAAAGCTGTGTTTTGTGGGTTGTTTTTTGTTTTTTTTTTTTTTAGAGACAGGATCCCACTCTGTTGCCCAGGCCGAAATGCAGTGGCATGATCATGGCTCGCTGAAGACCTGAACACCTGGGCTCAAGCAGTCCTCCCTTCTCAGCCTCTTGAGTAGCTAGTCATGCATGCTCCACCATACTTAGCTACTTTTTCTTTTTCTTTTTTTTTTTTTTTACTTTTTTTTGGAGGGGGAGGTAGGGGTCTTGCTATGTTGCCGATGCTAGTCTCAAACTCCTGGACTGAAGAATGCTCCCACCTTGGCCTCCCAAAACACTGGGATTATAGGAGTGAGTCACTGCCCGGCCTGGATTTGTTTTTGTTATACAAACCAAAAAGACTTAATGGGTTATTTGTTGAGTTCATTCCTTGGGTTCCTAAAATTACTTAACCACATCCAGAGAGCTCCTGGGTCAGACCAATGTGTTTTCCACCCTGCTGCCTATTATGATGACTGGAGCCCACTGTTCTTCTGGTAATTAACGCCCTCCACTTGACTGCCTCCCATCCTTGCTTGCCTGTGGGAGTGTATTTTAATTTGCAGCTGCTCCTTCCAGCATTCCTGCCCTAGAAAACAGCCGAGATAGAGAAAGAGACCCAATTTGTGCCTATCGGATGCCACTGTTCAAGTCTATTTCCTGCAGCAATGACTCCAGGCCTTTGCCATTGCTCTTACATTTCTTACCCTACTCCTGCTCTACCACTAGATGACTTTGCTCCAAACCACCCAGAGCAAATGGAGGCTCTCATACATGAACCCCCTCAACTTTGAGCCCAGTCCTCTAAACTAGTCCCCATCATGTCTTTCCTTCTGGTCTCGGTTGGTGAGGGGGTCATCCATCCTACTTTTGATTTTATCCCCCCAAGCTCCTCTAGGATCATGACCTTACCCTTTGGTTACTGTTACACATATTCAATACCTCTTCACAGACTACTTTCCTATAGCATAAAATTATGCTCTGATCTTACATACACATAACACAGAGAAGAAAGACAGCAGGAAGGAGAAATAAACACTTTCTCTTGAACTACCTCCCACTCCAGCCTTTCCTTTGTGGCCAAATCCTTAAACAGTCTACACTCAGTTTTTTTCCCACCTTTTCATCCACCATTCACTACTCAGTCCATAGCAATTAGCCTGCTACTCAGGACATCTTTCTTTTACCAAAATTATCAATGGCAAACTTACTAATTGACAAGTTTTACAGACTTTTCATCTTACGTGATCTCTGCTGTTTACTGTTGGTGTCTCCTCCCTTTCTGAAAATCTCTCCTCTGTGGGTTTCTATGATGCTGTTGCACTGGGCTTGACTCCTAGCATTCTGCTCTATTTCCTCCTTTTGTTATTCTGTTAATGCCCATGTACATTTAATACAGGGTCTGTCCTTGGCTCTTTGCTTTTTTTCTTTTTTTTTTGAGAGCAAGTCTCGCTCTTGTCCCCCAGGCTGGAGTGCAATGGCTCAATCTTGGCTCACTGCAACCTCTGCCTCCCGGGTTCAAGTGATTCTCTTGCCTCAGCCTCCTGAGTAGCTGAGATTACAGGAGCCTGCCACCACACCCAGCTAATTTTTGTATTTTTAGTAGAGACGGGGTTTCACCATGTTGGCCAGGCTGGTCTCGAACTCCTGACCTCAGGTGATCCGCCCGCCTCAGCCTCCCAAAGTGCTGGGATTACAGGCATGAGCCACCACGCCCAGCTGGCTCTTCACCTTTTTATCCATCCCCCTCTTCCTAGGTCAGCTTTCTCATTCTCACAGTTTCAGCTTTGGCTAATGCCTTCCAAACGGCATGTTCATTCAAGCAACAAATATCTTTTAGCTCCTACTGTGTGCCAAGTACTGTCCTAAGAGATGGGACTATAACAGTAAGCAAAACAAAGTTTCTGTTTTTCTGGACATTACCAAAGACAAGCATTAAGCAGATAAAATATATAATATATGATGTCAAATAATGATAAAGGATCTTGCAAAAAATAAACCAGGATAAGACAGTGAGAATGGGGCTGCTGTAAATGGAGTATTTAGAAAACACTTTTGTTTAACTTGTATCATACTGGCTCTCAAAGTGTGGTTCCAGACCAACAGCATCACCTGGGAACTGGCTAGAAATGCACATTATCAGGCCTCACTCGACCTGCTGAATCAGAAAATAGGGGTCGGGGGATGAGTCCAGCAATCTATGCCTTAACAGGCCCTCCAAGTGATTCTGATGCATGCTGTAGAGGAGTTTCCCACCTCTGTTGCCTCAAATAGATGACAGGTGTGCAGTCTAATACTAATTTTCTTAGCCCATAGGGATAGCTTTAGGGTTGGGGGTTAGAGAGATGCCAGGAACCTCCGGACCAAAGTAGCGTACACCCAGACTTTTCAGAAGGCAACCAAGTGGGATCGGCTGGCATGCCACAGGCCTCCAGGTGGCATGGTAAAAGTCATCCATTGATCTGCTGCAAGAAGCTAAGCGCTGTCAAGGACCTGCTTCCGCCCTCACTTCCAGGTGAAGTTTGTGGTCCCTTGCACATGGAGACTGCACAGCACAGAGCGAGACAGGTGTAGAAGCTACTCTAGCTGCACCACGACAGCTCTTCATAATGCATGTGTTGGGCTCCCTAGAGCTTCTTTCCTTTCCTTTCCCTTTCCCATTCATTCACATCCATTCTTTCACTCACTCGTTCATTCAATTCATTCATTTATAAATAGAGACAGAGGTCTCTCTAGGTTGCCCAGGCTGGTCTCAAACTCCTGGGCTCAAGAGATCCTCTTGCCTTGGCTTCCCAAAGTGCTGGGATTACAGGCATGAACCACTGTGCCCAGCCTCATTATTATTTGAAATACATTTATTTTTATAAATTTATTTATTTATTTTTGAGACGGATTCTCACTCTGTCACCCAGGCTGGAGTGCAGTGGCGCAATCGCGGCTCACTGCAACCTCCACCTCCTGGGTTCAAGCCATTCTCCTGCCTCAGCCTCCCAAGTAGCTGAGACTACAGGTGCGTGCCACCATGCCCAGCTAATTTTTTTATATTTTTAGTAGAGACAGGGTTTCACCATGTTAGCTAGGATGATCTCGATCTCCTGACCTCCTGATCCACCCACCTCGACCTCCCAAAGTGCTAGGGTTACGGGTGTGAGCCACCGCGCCTGGCCATTTTGAAATAAGTTTAAAGAAAAAGTTGATTAGATTTGAAACCCATTCACATTATCACAAGAAATATCAAAATTACATTTGTTGATGACAGAAATTAGATTCTTTAAGTTCAACTGCTGTAAATTTTTAAGTGATTGTAAAAATGATTTTTAAAGCTTTTAAAATTGTGTGAACACATTTCTCATTCATAGTAACAAAAATTTAGAGTTCATCATTTAAAAAATTTTGATTAGGAATTTTATGTAGTCATTTCAAACATGAAATTTATATCTGTGGAAGCAAACTCAAGATTCTATTTTAAAAATTTAAAATATTTGTATACAAATTTAGTTTACTGATATTGAATCCCTAACACTTTTTAAAACAATGATTATATATCAAAAATTAATTTTTTCACCAAGCCCTATACAGATACCCTCAAATCCCCTCAAGTTGCCCCAGTATGCTATTCAAACAGTATCATTTTCTGTCCTTTAATGGGAAAAGACTGGATGCACTGCGCTAGGATCACCCTCTCTCTCTCCCTGTCTGTCCCCTCTTCCCTCTCCACCCCTTCCCTCCCCGCCATACCTCTTCCATAACACTGAACTATAAAGGGACAAAATACAGTCCTCAGGGTCACACAAGCCACCAGAAATAGGAAATGTATCTTTTTTTTTTTTTGAGACGGAGTCTCGCTCTGTTGCCCAGGCTGGAGTGCAGTGGTGCAATCTCGGCTCACTGCAACCTTTGCCTCCTGGGTTCAAGCAGTTCTCTGCCTCAGCCTGCTGAGTAGCTGGGATTACAGGCACCTGCCACCATGCCTGGCTAATTTTTTGTATTTTTAGTAGAGATGGGGTTCACCATCTTGGCCAGGCTGGTCTTGAACTCCTGACCTCGTGATCCACCCACTTCAGCCTCCCAAAGTGCTGGGATTACAGGCGTGAGCCACTGCGCCCAGCCCAGAAATGTATCTTTAGTGGAAAAAACCCAGAAAGATGATAAAGTATATCGAAACCATCGCTGGCCAGGATCACTTCGCCATGTGCTGTTTCCTCTTCCATGTTTTTCTTTTGAAAATCCAGCACAGGATGCTGGAGCCAGAGTCAGCAGCTAGTGAAAGAGTCAGGATCTTGGCTTCAGAAACATAATCCCTCCTGAACTTTAAACCTAAATATTTCATTGTCCACTGTACATTTCTAGACAGATAACCTGCAGACACTTCTAGCTCAATACCTCTGAAGCTGAACTTGGCCCACCCACCTTTACACAAAATCTGTTTCCTTTTTTGTATTCCCTCAGTTGGATGTCAGCCCCATTCACCAGTCACTTTGATTAGAGTCCTGGGAGTCATCACTTTTCCCTGTAAACGTAACTCATATCCTCCCTCTCACCTGGACTGTTGCAAGAGTCTCCTCACTGGTCTCTCTGCCTCCATCCTCTTCCCATTTCTTTTTCTTTTCTTTTTTTTTTTTTTTTTTTTGAGACAGAGTCTCGCTCTGTCGCCCAGGCTGGAGTGCAGTGGTGTGATCTTAGCTCACTGCAAGCTCCACCTCCCAGATTCACACCATTCTCCTGCCTCAGCATCCCGAGTAGCTGGAACTACAGGTGCCTGCTACCACGCCCGGCTAATTTTTTTATTTTTTTATTTTTAGTAGAGATGGGGTTTCACCGTGTTAGCCAGGATGGTCTCGATCTCCTGATCTCGTGATCTGCCCACCTTGGCCTCCCAAAGTGCTGGAATTACAGGCGTGAGCCACCGCGCCAGGCCCATCCTCTTCCCATTTCAATTCACCTTCCACCTTGTCCATAAAGTGACTCTTCTCAATTGCAAATCTTACCATTTTCCTTCCTTACAATGTTTCAATAGCTTCTTTTGTCAATAAGATAAAATATAAGTTCTCTTATATGGTATAAAAGGCTTTTCATTTCTTGGGCTGCCTACCTCTCCGGCCTCCTCTTTTGACAGTTTGTCAAACCACTGATTGACCTGCTATCTTTTGTACTGTTTCCTCTGGCTGGAAGGCCCAGCTCTCAAAGTCCGCCTGAGGATCACCTACTCATCCCAGTATGGCCCAAACTGGATCCCCTCTGACTCCACTCAGGTAATGTTACTCACTCCCTTCTTTGTGTTCTCACAGTACCATATAGATCAGTGATTCTCAACCAGGAGCAATTTTGTTTGATGCCATGGGGAAAACACTTGGCAATATCTGAAGATAATTTTGGTCACCACAACTAGGGATGAAGTGCTACAGGCATCTGGTAGAGGCCAGGGATTTTGCTAACGATGCTGCGATGCTAATGATGCTGTTACAATGTACAAGACAGCCCTCCACAACAAAGAATCATCCAGTCCAAAATGTCAGTAGTGCTGAGGTTGAAAAACCTGGAGGTACAACACTTTATCACACTTGTCTGTTTACACATCTGTCTCTCCCTGTTATACTATACGCTCCTCAAGGGCATGCACCATGTCTTACCTTTAAATCCTCAGTGGTGAGCAGTGCAATACATGTAGTAGGTGCTCACTAAGTATCTATGGAGTGAATTGATTAGATAGAAGTTAAGTTAAGTCTCATCTTGTCCCTGCACCTAACAGGCCAACACCTGCATTTCAAAGCAAAGAGGGTAGGAACATAAGATGCTTGGGGTCAAAACAGTTAGGGGATGTGGATCAACCAAAGCAGCTGCAACTTCCGATCAGCTGCTAAGCCTATTAAGGTTGAACTCTCCATCTTTCTCAAGTCTTCTATCCCTTCATGGTCCCCACTCCATAATCCCATGAGACTACCACATTATTTTGATTTTCTCCCTCAGAAATATTTCCTGAATCCAAGCCATACCCACTGCCAAAGCTGCAGATCAGGCTCTCAGTTGCATCACTTTCCTAGACCACTATTGTGCCCTCCTATTTAGTCTCTCTGCCACCTACAAATTGAGAAAGTCAAATTTAGTAAGTCCTTATAGTTTCCAGCTCTAAAACAACAGGATTTGTAACATCATGTAGTGCCAATCAATTCCAGCCTTTCCATTAAATAATCCAAATGAATCAGTATTCATGCATTCACTTATTCATATGGATATAATACTTCAAAACACTAACTGGGAATAAGTGTAATACTTTAGAAAGCCTTGCACTCTTTCATAATCTTTCACCTTGGAAACATAAAAGTAAACAGCTTTAATTGATCCTCCCTTTCTTCTAGTAACCCAGTTCCCACAGATGTCAGTTTCTTAACAAATCCAAACAAGGAGTAAAGTATTGAGAGTTTCAGAATGTGTGCATATCATATTTTCAGCAAAGGGATGAGCAACACTTTCAATTAAAAAGGAATCTAAAAGAAAACAGCAGCATCCTTGTAAAAGTAGATGAGGACAGCCAGCTGGACTTAGCTGCTAACTCAGCACTCCCTTCCCCAACTCCTCCACCTTCCAGCCATGCTGCATTGACCTTTTTATCATGGAATGGTATGCAGCTTCTCTGATTTTGTCATTGTCACTCATAATCCCAGCAGACTTGTGTTATAAGCAGCTGCTTATATTGCTGTTATGTATAGATATAGAAATGTAACTTGTCAGTGGTCAAAGAAGCCAAGGAAACTGAGCAAAGGTGACTGAGAACAAGTGCTCAGCATGGGCTCCAACACCCAGTAGGGCCTTTTCTCATTGATTTTTCTCCTACAAGGAATTTCTCTCTTATTGAAAGACAGTACAGTTTGGGGAATATCATTTGACCAGATATCCTGCTCCATTCTTGGAATGAAAAACAGGTGCAATTTTAGTATAAGAGTCTAGCTAGGGATGCGGATGAAATTAATTTATAACAGGACCAGGCTGAGGAAAAACACCAATAAATGCTACAAATAGTTTGTCACTTTTTCTAACAGGGAAATCTCTAAAGGATGATAAAGATGCTAGCTGTGTTTAATAGCAAATGTTAATTTGGGGGAATATGAAATAATCATGATATCTTTCTCTCTTTGAGCCAAACGCAGCTTTGGAATTTTTCTCACTGTAGTGTTGTAGGCAGAAACTATCAACTGAGGCAGGCCCTTGCGAGGAAATATTTATCCTCCTTAGCCCATGCAATGATCAGGTTTAGACAGTAAAAAATCTATTTAAGTGACTGGATTGCTCATCTTTTATTTACTTTACTCCCAGTGGCCTAACCTGGAACATATAGAAGAAAGTAGTGGAATGGTTTTTCCAGACGCACTTCAGTTACTTCAGGTCCTCAGTGTTTAATAAGGTTTTGGGAGAGAAAAAAAGCTATTGCTGTGTGAATTCAATAAATATTTAAAAAATTTAAAAAATCAGTGAGCATTATTTCTGCCATCATGTGATCTGAACTATCTGAGTAGTATCATAAATCTTGGGTGATGGGTTACCTTGACCAACCTCCCTTTCAGTAAGAAACAAATTATTAACAGAAAGTGAAAGAGAAATAAACCTATTCAATGTTTCAAGTCCCTCAGAAGAGGGTGAGGCAGCTCCCCAGATCGTTGCTAGATCCAGCCTGGCCAATGAACCCTGAAAAAGCCCAACTCCTGCTTTCATCATGGAAGCACGGGACAAAGTGTCTCTTCCTAAAAACAGAAGTTAGACCAGACCCCTTCCTGCCTATGATTCTTCAAGAAGCATTGCATCATCAACATCAGGCATAAGCATTAATAAAGACCCTAAATAATAACAGAGACGAAACACATCGCAAAGAGAGTTTTCTTTTATCCCCTTTAAAATGTAAATACTCCCAGGAGGAATCAGCCAACATCATTAGGGGTTAATGCATATGTAGAATAACTAGGGCCAGGATATAAAATAAGAAATACGTAGGGAGGAGAGAAAGGCATCCTTGAGACGACTCCAAGAAGGAAAGTTGGGGATGAGGCGAAATTTCTGATTTTACCTTAAAGTGACCCTAATTCGATGACCTTTTGTGGTTTTTTTCTTTTTTCTTTTTTCTTTTTTACTTGGCCCTGCCCAAGCAGGACCTAAAAACAAACAGACAAAAAAGGTTACTAACAACTGTTCCTCTCCACGAAAATCTGCAGTAAAAGGTAAAAGATGTATTCGTTTTGAAGAGAAACCAGAGCTTGCGATGAGCTTCTGTATCTCCGTCAGCCCTCTAGCATGACATTAGGAACCCTCCAGGAGATGAGTCTTCACAGCCCGGGTTGGCACCTGCAGACACGCACTTTTCAACGCCCGCACCCTGCCCGGGGCCGGCTCTCCCACCCAGGCCTCTCTCTGCTTCAGCGCCGCCCCGGCCGTGGGAGTCGGCGGGCGCAGTCCACAGCTCCACCAAGACACAGCTGTCGGGGTTCCGGGTGCGCCCCGCCCGCGGCCCCGGTGTCCCGCCCCTCGCCCTCAGCCCCCACCCGACGGTCTTTAGGGTCCCCCGGGCACGCCACGCGGACCCGCAGCGACTCCACAGGGACTGCGCTCCCGTGCCCCTAGCGCTCCCGCGCTGCTGCTCCAGCCGCCCGGCAGCTCTGAGGATGGAGAGGAGGGCGCGGAGCTCCTCCAGGGAGTCCCGCGGGCGAGGCGGCAGGACTCCGCACAAGGAGAACAAGAGGGCAAAGGCCGAGAGGAGCGGCGGAGGCCGCGGGCGCCAGGAGGCTGGGCCCGAGCCGTCGGGCTCCGGACGGGCGGGGACCCCGGGGGAGCCCCGAGCGCCCGCCGCCACGGTGGTGGACGTGGATGAGGTCCGAGGCTCCGGCGAGGAGGGCACCGAGGTGGTGGCGCTGTTGGAGAGCGAGCGGCCCGAGGAAGGTACGGATTCAGCACCACTATCTGCTACTTTTCCAGGTGGTAACTAAGGGGCGTCAGATAAGGTGGAAAGGGTCATCCCCACGAGACCCACTGAAGCCAGAGCAGATTGCTGGATGCTCAGGTTCCCAGGAACGGAAGGGCGTAAGTTAGGAACCCAGCAACCTGCTATGGTGAGCAAAGAACATCAGAAGAAATACAAATATCACTATATACTGGTCTCGGGGCCAGCCTTGGATGGGACTGGGGAGCGAGTGTGGTACAGGTTGGGGACGAAGCAACTTGGCAAAGGAGCCATGGACTTGGTTTTTGTGGCCATGGAGGGGCATACGGGCACCTAATTTAAGTAAAGACATGCACGAGCTGGTGGC
This sequence comes from Homo sapiens, assembly GCF_000001405.40. Taxonomy (NCBI): domain Eukaryota; kingdom Metazoa; phylum Chordata; class Mammalia; order Primates; family Hominidae; genus Homo; species Homo sapiens. The sequence continues at coordinate 179,575,222 of NC_000001.11, read as the reverse complement.
TGTAGGCTGTAGGCTTATTCTTCTTCCAGCGTCCCCACCCCTCGGTCTTACCTAAAAGCATTTTAAACTTCTGGGAAGATGATCATTCTTTCTGAAAAGCAGTCGCAGCAGAGCCAAGTGAGGAAGAGCCACACCTGAGTTTAAATCACAGCTCAACCACTTGCTAGCCATGTGATCATAGGAAGGACCTTAACCATCTCTCCTATAACAGTACCTGCCTCAGAGGGTAGTGGTAAGGATACAATGAGAAAAGGCATCCAAAGCACTTTGCACAAAGTCTGGAACAAAAACTTACTCAATTCCAGCTGCAAGCTAAGAGAGAGGAAAATTAGATCAAAGGAGGGAATGCAAAGAAAGGTGTCTCTTTTGCTTCTGCAGGAGAAACAACTCTTGGGAAAATTTTGTCTACCTCCAGTCTTTTTTATAATGAGTGGAAGAAAAAAATGATTACCACTTTAGTGGGATGACAGGTGTTAAAAGAAATTAAATAAGGAATAGTGTGTTATATTGCTTCCTGCTGGCTCTGAAGTTTTAACATTTCCTAGTTACCAGCAAAGCAGTACATGCTGGATCACTGAAAGCTACCATTTAAGGAAGATTTCTGCAGTTGGGGTATAATTTAAATGGGTCACGTTAATACTGTTTTGCCCAGTTGATGATACCCTTTCATCAGTCAGAAACCTCTGTTCAGTAAATGGTTGCTGGGTTCAATGCTGAGGTTAGAGGGCTTGTAACTGTGAGGCAGCAGATCACACTGGTAGGGTAGACAAGTAAGGAAGCCACCATTTATGAAACCCCTACTATATGCCAGGCACACACTGGGTGTTTTACTGAGTTATTTAATCTCTCACCATCCTCTTATCACAGATGAGGAAACATGCTCTGAGAAATTAAGTAACATGCCCAAGTCGTGTAGCTGGGAAGTAGAGAAGCCAAAATCCCAGAGTAAGACAGTCTGATTGAAATGCTCACCCTTGCTTGCTGCTGCCCCTCATTTCTGGTCATGGTCCTATAGCTGTGGCCTTGGGCACCTTTTTGGGCCTCAGTCCCTACAGCTACAGAGTAACAAAAGCAGGAGACCTCAAGCAATGGGCGAGCAGTCCCACTAAGGATGAAGTGACCTTTGCTGAGCCCTTGTGTGGGAGGTTTCTGAAGCTCACGGGGAACAGAGAGTAACATCCCCTCCTCTTTTTCACCTAGCACCACACTCCCAAAGGCAGGCTACTTAAGACGGGAGAAATGAAAAGGCGCTTCACCTCACCAAAATGTTGGGGACTCTCAGACAATGTTTAAAGGTTTTCCTGCTTGAATAATTAATGTTTCACTATTCACTTAAACCAAACAAGTTGGATATTCAAGCAACTTATTCTAACAGAATAATATTTTGGGGGTAAATCTTCACGTTAGGTTTGAGGATATAAATTAGTTTTCTACGCATATCTCTCGCTACTGTATGAAGGAATTTTTGAGGCCTTTCTTCATTTATAAAATGTAATTTTGTATATGCATTTATTTATTTTTACTTGCCATGGCTACCACTGGTAACTGAAACATATTTATGAACTAATTAAAACTGGCAATGATACTGTTAGTCATTGTCCTTGAAAGAGAATATTATAAAAATTAATATGTTGGTAGAGCAGCATTTCCCAGAGTAGGTTCCATGAGAAATAAGTTCCATAGAATATCAATGAGCGTTCCTTAGAGAAAATATTACCTGGTCAAATGTGTGTAAACAAAGCTAAGAATGCTTTGCGAGATTCTCATAGCTTCAATGTCCTGAAGAGCACTGGGAACTCCAGGAATGGGATGTAGTGCCTAGTATTCTCTAAACTCATTTGCCCAGGAAGTTCTTCTTTGGTGGAGCACTCCGTGGGATTAGTATTTCGTAGGATGGCCTTTAGAAACTGCCATACTATGGTATTCAGTGCTGATTTTGTTTTTGTGCTGGTGCAGCTTGCATCTCTGTCCTCTTCTTCAAGTGATCTGCACATCAATTTGGTGGTGACCTTTCTGGGGCATGAAAATCAAATTTTCAGGCCTACTAATTAGTTATCCCCTTTGTCCCCATCTCTTAAAAATAAGATTTTAGGCCAGGTGCCATAGCTCATACCTATAATCCCAGCACTTAGGGAGGCTGAGGTGAGAGGATCACTTGAGGCTTGGAGTTTGAGACCAGCCTGGGCAAAATAGCGAGACCCCATCTCTGCAAAAAAATAAATTAGCCAGGTAAGGTGGCATGCACCTGTAGTCCCAGCTACTTGAGAGGCTAAGGTGGGGGGACTGCTTGAGCCCAGGAGGCCGAGGATGCAGAAAGCCATGATTGCATCACTGCACTCCAGCCTGGAGAGAGCAAGACCCAGTCTCAAAAGAGAGAAAAAAAGAAGGAAAGATGAAAGAAAAGAAAGAAAGAAAGAAGGGAAGGAGGGAGGGAAGGAGGGAGGAAGGGAAGGAAGGAAGGAAAGAAGGAAGGAAGAAAGGAAGGAAAGTAGACTACCATTTCCTAATTTTTAGTCACCTTCTAGTCCTCTACGATCTTTTTAAACTGGCAAATAATATTGCTTTAGTAAGTTTTCTAGTACCTGGAGGTTAAAATTCTTGAAATTTTCATAACTCTTACATTTAAATCATTTTCATTCCTCCTTTCTTCTCACACTCAACTAATATTTATTGAGCACATGTATGGTGCCAGGCACTATTCTAAGCCCTGGGGGCATACTGTAAATAAGACAAGACCCCAAGAAGCTTGTGTTCTTGAGACTGACTCTCCTTGATATTGTTTCATTTATCACCCAAGCATCTTGGATGTTCTGAACCCCAGTTCCTTATCACTTTTTTATACATATTAGTAGGTGAATATTACCCCATAAAGTTAATTTTCAAAGACTATTGAGATCAACACCTTAATGGAGGTGTTAAAATGATGGAACTTCAGACATTAAGGCTTGTAATGAATGGGGAAGTTATTTCATGGAAGATAAGCCTCTGGACATGTGCTTGGAATCACTTAAAACAAACCGGACAGAAGATGGCCAAATAGGAACAGCTCCGGTCTACAGCGCCCAGCATGATCGACACAGAAGACAGGTGATTTCTGCATTTCCAACTGAGGTAACTGGTTCACCTCACCAGGACTGGTCGGAAAGTGAGTGCAGCCCATGGAGGGTGAGCTGAAGCAGGGCAGGGCGTTGCCTCACCCAGGAAGCACAAGGGGTCGGGGGATTTCCCTTTCCTAGCTAAGGGATGCCATGACAGACTACCTGGAAAAACAGGACACTCACACCCAAATACTGTGCTTTTCCCAAGCTCTTAGCAACCTGCAGACAAGGTGATCCTCTCCCGTGCCTGGCTCGGTGGGTCCCATGCCCAAGGAGCCTTGCTCACTGCTAGCGCAGCAGTCTGAGATTGATCTGCGAGGCCGCAGCCTCGCTGGGGGTGGGGTGTCCACCATTGCTGAGGCTTGAGTAGGTAAACAAAGTAGCCAGGAAGCTTGAACTGGGCGGAGCCCACCATAGCTCAACAAGGCCTACTGCCTCTAGACTCCACCTCTGTGAGCAGGGCATAGGTGAACAAAAGGCAGCAAACAACTTCTGCAGACTTAAACATCCCTGTCTGACAGCTCTGAAGAGAGCAGTGGTTCTCCCAGCACAGCGTTTGAGCTCTGAGAATGGACAGACTGCCCCCTCAAGTGGGTCCCTGACCCCCGTGTAGTGTAACTGGGAGACACCTCCCAGTAGGGGCCAACAGACACCTCATATAGGCGGCTGCCCCCCTGGGATGAAGCTTTCAGAGGAAGCATCAGGCAGCAATATTTGCTGTTCTGCAGCCTCCGCTGGTGATACCCAGGCAAACGGGGTCTGGAGTGGAACTCTAGCAAACTCCAACAGATCTGCGGCTGAGGGACCTGACTGTTAGATGGAAAACTAACAAACAGAAAGGAATAGCATCAACATCAACAAAAAGGTCATCTATGCCAAAACCACATCTGTAGGTCACCAACATTAAAGACCAAAGGTAGATAAAACCACAAAGATGGGGAGAAACCAGAGCAGAAAGCTGAACATTCTAAAAATCAGAGCGCCTCTTCTAAACCAAAAGGTTGCAGCTCCTTGCCAGCAATGAAACAAAGCTGGATGGAGAATGACTTTGAGGACTTGACAGAAGTAGGCTTCAGAAAGTCAGTAATAACAAACTCCTCCAAGCTAAAGGAGGATGTTCGAACCCATCGCAAGGAAGCTTAAAACCTTTAAAAAAGATTAGACGAATGGCTAACTAGAATAAACAGTATAGAGAAGACCTTAAATGACCTGATGGAGCTGAAAACCATGGCACAAGAACTTCATGACGCATGTGCAAGCTTCAATAGCCAATTCAATCAAGTGGAAGAAAGAGTATCAGTGACTGAAGATCAAATTAATGAAATAAAGTGAGAAGACAAGGTTAGAGAAAAAAGAGTAAAAAGAAACGAACAAAGCCTCCAAGAAATATGGGACTATGTGAAAAGACCAAATCTATGTTTGGATTGGTGTTGGGAGCAGGCCCCTCAAAATCTGGCCATAAACTGGCCCCAAAACTGGCCATAAACAAAATCTCTGCAGCACTGTAACATGTTCATAATGGCCCTAACGCCCAAGCTGGAAGGTTGTGTGTCTACGGGAATGAAGGCAAGGAACACCTGGCCTGCCCAGGGAGGAAAACCGCTTAAAGGCATTCTTAAGCCACAAACAATAGCATGAGCGATCTGTGCCTTAAGGACATTCTCCTGCTGCAGTTAACTAGCCCAACCTATTCCTTTCATTCGGCCATCCCTTTGTTTCCCATAAGGGATACTTTTAGTTAATTTAATATCTATAGAAACAATGCTAATGACTGGCTTGCTGTTAATAAAAACATGGGTAAATCTCTGTTCCGGGATCTCAGCTCTGAAAGCTGTGAGACCCCTGATTTCCCACTTCAAACCTCTATATTTCTGTGTGTGTGTCTTTAAATTCCTTTAGCACCACTGGGTAAAGGTCTCCCTGACCGAGCTGGTCTTGGCAGATTTGTGTACCTGAAAGTGATGGGGAGAATGGACCAAGTTGCAAAACACTCTTCAGGATATTATCCAGGAGAACTTCCCCAATCTAGCAAGGCAGGCCAACATTTAAATTCAGGAAATACAGAGAACACCACAAAGATACTCCTTGAGAAAAGCAACCCCAAGACACATAATTGTCAGATTCACCAAGGTTGAAATGAAGGAAAAAGTGTTAAGGGCAGCCAGAGAGAAAGGTCGAGTTACCCACAAAAGGAAGCCCATTAGACTAACAGTGGATCTCTTGGCAGAAATCCTATAAGCTAGAAGAGAGTGGGGGCCTACATTCAACATTCTTAAAGAAAATAATTTTCAACCCAGAATTTCATATCCAGCCAAACTAAGCTTCGTAAGGGAAGGAGAAATAAAATCCTTTACAGACAAGCAAAATGCTGAGAGATTTTATCACCACCAGGCCTGCCTTACAAGGGCTCCTGAAGGAAGCACTAAACATGGAAAGAAACAACCAGTACCAGCCACTGCAAAAACATGCCAAATTGTAAAGACCCTTGATGCTATGAAGAAACTACATCAATTAATGGGCAAAATAACCAGCAAACATCATAATGACAGGATCAAATTCACATATAACAATATTAACCTTAAATGTAAGTGGGCTAAATGCTCCAATTAAAAGACACAGACTGGCAAATTGGATAAAGAGTCAAGACCCATCGGTGTGCTGTATTCAGAGACCCATCTGATGTGCAAAGATTCACATAGGCTCAAAATAAAGGAATGGAGAAAGATCTACCAAGGAAATGGAAAGCGAAAAAAAGCAGGGGTTGCAATCCTAGTCTCTGATAAAACAGACTTTAAGATCAGAAGGGACAAAGAAGGCCATTACATAATGGTAAAGGGATCAATTCAACAAGAAGAGCTAACTATCCTAAATATATATGCACCCAATACAGGAGCACCCAGATTCAGAAAGCAAGTTCTTAGATACCTACAAAGAGACTTAGATTCCCATGCAATAATAATGGGAAAATTTAACACCCTGCTCTCAGCATTAGACAGATCAATGACACAGAAAGTTAACAAGGATATCCAGGACCAGAACTCAGCTCTGCAACAAGCAGACCTAATAGGCATCTACAGAACTCTCCACCCCAAATCAACAGAATATATATTCTTCTCAGCACCACATCATATTTATTCTAAAATTGACCACATAATTGGAAGTAAAGCACTCCTCAGCAAATGTAAAAGAACAGAAATCACAACAAACTGTCTCTCAGACCACAGTGCAATCAAATTAGAACTCAGGATTAAGAAACTCACTCAAAACCACACAACTACATGGAAACTGAACAACTTGCTCCTGAATGACTACTGGGTAAATCACGAAATGAAGGCAGAAATACAGATGTTCTTTGAAACCAATGAGAACAAAGACACAACATACCAGAATCTCTGGGACGCATTTAAAGCAGGATGTAGAGGAAAATTTATAGCACTAAATGCCCACAAGAGAAACCAGGAAAGATCTAAAATTGACACCCTAACATCACAATTAAAAGAACTAGAGAAGCAAGAGCAAACAAATTCAAAAGCTAGCAGAAGACAAGAAATAACTAAGATCAGAGCAGAACTGAAAGAGATAGAGACAGAAAAAAACCCTTTAAAAAATCAATGAATCCAGGAGCTGGTTTTTTGAAAAGATTAACAAAATAGACCGCTAGCAAGACTAATAAAGAAGAAAAGAGAGTAGATTCAAATAGATGCAATAAAAAATGATAAAGAGGATATCACCACCTATCTCACAGAAATACAAACTACCATCAGAGAATACTGTAAGCACCTCTACACAAATAAAGTAGAAAATCTAGAAGAAATGGATAAATTCCTGGACACATACACCCTCCCAAGACTAAACCAGGAAGAAGTCAAATCTCTGAATAGACCAATAACAGGCTCTGAAATTGAGGCAATAAATAATAGCCTACCAACCAAAAAAAGTCCAGGACCAGATGAATTCACAGCCGAATCCTACCAGAGGTACAAAGAGGAGCTGGTACCATTCCTTCTGAAACTCTTCCAATCAATAGAAAAAGAGGGAATCCTCCCTAACTCATTTTATGAGGACAACATAATCCTGATACCAAAGCCTGGCAGAGACACAACAAAAAAAGAGAATTTTAGACCAATATCCCTGATGAACATCGATGCAAAAATCCTCAATAAAATACTGGCAAATGAATCCAGCAGCACATCCACCACGATCAAGTTGGCTTCATCCCTGGGATGCAAGGCTGGTTCAACATATGCAAATCAATAAATGTAACCCATCACATAAACAGAACCAACAACAAAAACCACATGATTATCTCAATAGATGCAGAAAAGGCCTTTGACAAAATTCAACAGCCCTTCATGCTAAAAACTCTCAATGAACTAGGTATTGATGGAACATATCTCAAAATAATAAGAGCTATTTAGGACAAACCCACAGCCAATATCATACTGAATGGGCAAAAACTGGAAGCATTCCCTTTGAAAACCAGCACAAGACAAGGAAGCCCTCTCTCACCACCCTATTCGACATAGTGTTGGAAGTTCTGGCCAGGGCAATCAGGCAACAGAAAGAAATAAAGGGTATTCAGTTAGGAAAAGAGGAAGTCAAATTGTCCCTGTTTGCAGATGACAAGATTGTATATTTAGAAAACCCCATCATCTCAGCCCAAAATCTCCTTAAGCTGATAAGCAACTTCAGCAAAGTCTCAGGATACAAAATTAATGTGCAAAAATCACAAGCATTCCTATACACCATTATCAGAAAAACAGAGAGCCAAATCATGAGTGAACTCCCATTCACAATTGCTACAAAGAGAATAAAATACCTAGGAATCCAACTTACAAGGGACGTGAAGGACCTCCTCAAGGAGAACTGTAAGCCACTGCTCAACTAAATAAAAGAGGATAGAAACAAATGGGAGAACATTCCATGCTCATAGATAGGAAGAATCAATATCATGAAAATGGCCATACTGCCCAAAGTAATTTATAGATTCAATGCCATCCCCATCAAGCTACCAATGACTTTCTTCACAGAACTTGAAAAAACTACTTTAAAGTTCATATGGAACCAAAAAAAGAGCCCACATTGTCAAGACAATCCTAAGCAAAAGGAACAAAGCTGGAGGCATCACACTACCTGACTTCAAACTATACTACAAGGCTACAGTAACCAAAACAGCATGGTATTGCTACCAAAACAGAGGTATAGACCAATGGAACAGAACAGAGGCCTCAGAAATAACACAACACATCTACAACCATCTGATCTTTGACAAACCCAACAAAAACAAGCAATGGGGAAAGGATTCCCTATTTAATAAATCGTGCTGGGAAAACTGGCTACCCAAACATAGAAAGCTGAAACTGGATCCCTTCCTTACACCTTACACAAAAATTGATTCAAGATGGTTTAAAGACATAAATGTTAGACCTAAAACCATAAAAACCCTAGAAGAAAACCTAGGCAATACCGTTCAGAACATAGGCATGGACAAGGACTTCATGACTAAAACACCAAAAGCAATGGCAACAAAAGCCAAAATAGACAAATGGGATCTAATTAAACTAAAGAGCTTCTGCACAGCAAAAGAAACTATCAGCAGAGTGAACAGGCAACCTACAGAATGGGAGAAGATTTTTGCAATCTACCCATCTGACAAAGGGCTAATATCCAGAATCTACAAAGAACTCAAACAAATTTACAAGAAAAAAACAACCCCATCAAAAAGTGGGTGAAGGATATGAACAGACACTTCTCAAAAGAAGACATCTATGCAGCCAACAGACACATGAAAAAATACTCATCATCACTGGTCATCAGAGAAATGCAAATCAAAACCACAATGAGATACCATCTAATGCCAGTTAGAATGGCAATCATTAAAAAGTCAGGAAACAACAGATGCTAGAGAGGATGTGGAGAAATAGGAACGCTTTTACACTGTTGGTGGGAGTGTAAATTAGTTCAACCATTGTGGAAGACAGTGTGGCAATTCCTCAAGGATCTAGAACTAGAATTACCATTTGACCCAGCAATCCCATTACTGGGTATATACCCAAAGGATTATAAATCATGCTACTATAAAGACACATGCACACGTATGTTTATTGAGGCACTATTCAGAAGAGCAAAGACTTGGAACCCAAATGTCCATCAATAATAGACTGGATTAAGAAAATGTAGCACATATACACCATGGAATACTATGCAGCCATAAAAAAGGATGAGTTCATGTCCTTTGTAGGGACATGGATGAAGCCGGAAACCATCATTCTCAGCAAACTATCACAAGGACAGAAAAGCAAACACCACATGTTTTCACTCATAGATGGGAAATGAACAATGAGATCACTTGGACACAGGGCGGTGAACATCACACACTGGGGCCTGTCGGGGGGTGGGGAGCTGGGGGAGGGATAGCATTAGGAGAAATACCTAATATAAATGATGAATTGATGGGTGCAGCAAACCAACATGGCACATGTATACCTATGTAACAAACCTGCACGTTGTGCACATGTACCCTAGAACTTAAAGTATAAAAACAAAAAACAACAACAAAAACAAACAGACACATGTAAAGTAAAGCTCAGTGCTTTTTATGTGTATGTGTTATTTTATCCTTCTGCCAGAGATAGGTGATATAGCTCATGAACTAGTTATTATGGGATAGTCATGAGATGTTAGCATCCTCATAATATAGTGAAGAAACTGAGGCGTGAAAAGGTCATACGCCTTGCCTAAGGTCATCTGGATATGAAACAGTAGAGCCAGAACTGGAATCCAGACCTTCTTCACAAATTTTGTGCCTGTTCCAGTATACCCCCACTCCCTTTCTTTTTTATTTTATTTTTGAGACAAGATCTAGCTCTGTCACCCAGGCTGGAGTACAGTGGTGCAGTCATAACTCACTGCAGCGTCAACCTCCCAGGCTCAACCTTTCTTCCCACCTCAGCCTCCTGCGTAGCTGGAACTACAGGCACGCACCACCATACCCAGCTAGTTTTTAATTTTTTTTTTGTACAGACAGGATCTCACTATGTTGCCCAGGCTGATCTTGAACTCCTGGACTCAAGCGATCCTCTCACCTCAGCCTCCCAGAGTGCTGGGATGACAGGCGTGAGCCACTGTGCCTGGTCCCCACTACCTTTCCAGGAGCCTGCTCCTCCCCAGGCCCTGTGAACTCTGACTACTCTGATTTGACTTATTCTAATATTTCCAGCAAAGTCTCCAAGTTGTGCCAACTCCAATACCAAGAATTGGACCAACAGATGCTAGTCAGTGAATACAGTGAAGTTTCAATATAATTATTCTTTTGCTTTAATTTTTTTAAGGTACCAAATCCTCCGGCTTAGGGGCCTGTGAGTGGCTTCTTGTCCTCATTTCCCTGCTCTTCATCATCATGACCTTCCCTTTTTCCATCTGGTTCTGCGTAAAGGTGAGATTCCATAAGGACCCAATAGGTAATTTCCTGAGGCCTCTCACTGGCCACACCATGCCCATTCTCACTTCTGTTTTCTGGTACATGTTATTGCTCCATGTGGAATGCCCTCACCCCAGACTCACCTTCCAGGATAGCTTACTCCTCCAAGACCTTGCTCAAATGTGAACAGGAAGCCTTCCTTGACTCCCCCAGACTGTCATTCCCTTCCTGGTGCTCCCATGTCACTCTGCTTTCACTTTGTTCTAACACTTACCATGTGTATTATATTGGCTATGTCTCGTTCATCTGCATTCTGTGACCAGAATGGATCATGACATCCACTCCACACACTTCCACGAAACTTCTCAGGCAGCTTCTATAGACCATGAGTCATGATTATGTTTGGCCCACAGGTGGTTACAGATGCCTGTCCCTGAAGTAAATGAAGACCTGTGTCCATTCTGGAAGCACATGCCAAGATGGAATTAGAGGAGCAAGAGATTTATTGGGAGATATTGCCTGTGAAAGATTAACGGGAAAGAAAACAAGAGTAGTCAGGAGAAGCCTTCAGACAGTTATGCAGGCCTGACACTTGTGATATGAGAAGGGGAAGAAAGGATTGGGCAGAAAGAGCCTCTGACTGTGGTGCAGCTCTGAGAAAGCATTGGCCAGCCCAAAAGGGAACTCCGGAGCAAGGTTTGCTTCATAGGAGTCCCACAGTGGGCAGAAATGGCACGGCCCTAGTACTCCTGCCATCTCAGTCACTGGCTGTAGCTGCAGAGAAGACTGTGTCCTTGGCTGAAACAGTACACCTGCTGCTGGGGCTGTTGTTGGTTTTACTCCTCACAGCAAGCAGCAGCTCTTTCCTCTTCCCCTTCACCTTTCCCTCCCCATTTTCCTCCCCAAGATACATTTTGGTATCTTGTGTTTTTGTTTTCATTTATCTCAAAGTATTTTCTCATTTTCCTTGTGATTTCTTCTTTAACCCATTGGTTAGAGTATGTTGTTTAATTTCCACATATTTGTCAATTTCTCAAATTTCCTTCTGTTATTGATTTCTAATTTAACTTCATTGTAATAAGAGAATACACTTTATGTTATTTCAATCCTTTTAAGTTTGTTTAAGTTAGTTTTATGGCCTAGCATATTATCTATCCTGGAGATGATGTTTCATGTATGCTGGAAAAGAATGTATTATTCTGTTGTTGCTGGGTGGAGATGTTCTGTGTAGATGTCTGTTAGGTCTATTTGTTGACAGTGCTATTCAAGTCTTCCATGTCTTTCTAGTTCCATCCATTGTTTAAAGTGGGGTATTGAAGTCTCCAACTGTCACTACTGAATTGTCTATTTCTACTTTGAATTATTTTTGTCTTTTTCCTCATGTATTTTGGAACTCTGTTTTTAGATGCATCTATGCTTATCATTGACACACTTCCCTAATGCATTGATCCTTTTATCATTATACAATGTCCCACTTTATTGCTAGTAACATGTTTGCTTCTTTTGAAGTCCATTTTCTCTGATGTTAGGATAGCCATTCCCGCTCTACTTTAGTTACTGTTCATATGGTATATCTTTTCCATCTTTTACTTTCAGTCTGTTCATATCTTTGAATATAAAGTGTGTCTCCTATAGACAGTGTATAGTTGGCAGCAGGCTCTTCTCAAAGGGTGACCTGAGCACCTGCATGACTGCCACAAGATACAACACTGACTCAGCCATGGTTTTTGGGAAAGGCTCTCAGATCTGGTCACTTAAGATGGTAAGCCCTAAGAAGCCAATTAGGGAGAGGAAACAAAAGCAGAACCAGGCAGTTATATTTGAGCAAGGTCTTGAAGAAATAAGACTCCCCTTCATCTCTGGGGAGAATTTGTTTTTTCCAATAAAAGCAGGTAAGAAACAAGTAATGCTAGGAAACCAAGCAATTGGGAATTGCTTGGCATGCTCTAAGAACCACATACAGTCATTCATTCTGATTGTTTCAAGCAAGGCAGTGTTCTGGCCTCATAAAATTGTAAACCTCATGAAGACAAACAAAACATGGTTCCCAGCCTCAAAGGACTTACAGTGGGTTAGTAGATCCTGTTACTTTAAGAAGCACATTTCAAAATGTGTTTTGTTGGGCCTCTTTATCACATTTTTATATTTGACTAGTTATTATTCATTGGAGCTTTTTAAAGTGGAGGGAGGATAAGGAAGGAAAATAAATTTGTCTATAGTCACAAATCATTCTTTCATTTATTCAGTAAATATTTATTGAATACTTACAATGTATCAGGCATTTTTTAAGCACTGAGAAAAAAAAGATTAATTCCGTATCATCAAGGAGTGCCTCATCTGGTGGGGCATATCTTAACATGTAAATAAGCAGACCAAGTTAAATCAGTGATAAACACGCAATTGAACTCAGATTCTGATACTGGGTCAGAAAGTGAAGTTTATTTTTAAAGTAGTGTGCAGTAACTTCTCTATTTCTCTTCTAATAGACATTCTCCAGATTCTTTTTGTCATTTAAAAGTATCTCTGCACATTTTCAGGGTAAACACAAATCTTCTAGATCTATCACCAGTGAAAATTGGCAAATTAAAATCCAATTGAGGCTGGCCACGGTGGCTCACGCCTGTAATCCCAGCACTTTGGGAGGCCAAAGCAGGTGAATCACCTGAGGTCAGGAGTTCGAGACCAGCCTGACGAATATGGCGAAACCCTGTCTCTACTAAAAATACAAAAAATTAGCCAGGCATGGTGGCTTACACCTGTAATACCAGCTACTTGGGAGGCTGAGGCAGGAGAATCGCTTGAACCCGGGAGGCAGAGGTTGCAGTGAGCCGAGATCATGCCACTGCACTCCAGTCTGGGTAACAAGAGCGAAACTTCATCTAGAAAAAAAAAAATCCAATTGAATCATTTTGAAGCAGCCTCAGAAGAAATTGCACTCTGAAACAAAACATCACAAGTGGTATTAAAATATACTCCCTCTTTCCATTAAATAGCTAATGAGCAATACATATAAAAGCTAGTGCAGAACTCACAGTAAAATATAAGATTTAATATGCCTTGATAAGATTAATTTAGGGAAAGTTGGCCATGGATTTTAGATAATCATAAGTCTTTAATCAAAATTCTGTCTATGGGTTCAAAAATTAACATGGTTAATATACTTTTTCATTTCTGAAATTTTACACTTACTAAATATAGATTTTGGAAACTTAAGTATTAATAGAAATTTTTTCCTGGTTCTCAAAACAAAAAATTTCTGATATCTAGGATCATTCTTATGCCAAGGCCTTTTGAAGACTTTTTCTTTCTGGGAGTGATTTGAAAGGATTAAATTTCTCTTTAGGTTGTACAAGAGTATGAAAGAGTAATTATATTCCGACTGGGACATCTGCTTCCTGGAAGAGCCAAAGGCCCTGGTAAAAAAACACTCTTTTTTTTCTAAACACCTCTCTCCTGACTTGCCAATTTCTTCAACCCATGCAGATTTGTAATATGGACCTCAGATTAAATGAAGTAACTTGATTCATGATATCTGAATTTTCCAATCTGTTACTTATAGGTTATTCAAATATTCTTCAGAGACTATTACTACTAGGTCATAGGTAGCCAAGAGAGAGAATTGGTACAGAGAGCCCACATGCCAGGGCAAGGCTTGCTGGAATAGCAAGTTAGCTTAGGACCAATGGCTGGGGACTGATTTGAGTACGATGTGTATATGGTCAGAGTCCTGTGAATTCTCAGAGAAAAGCTGAGCTAGTTCCCACTCCAGGTGCTCAGATCCAATCATGAGAAACAGGCAAAGTTCAGCATTCAAATAACAAGTTGCTCTTCAGTTATAGGGATTTAAAAAACATAGATTAAGCATTTCTTGTGGCTCAGACTCTGTGCTAACCATAAGACATGGTCTCTGATCTCAGGACCTTAAGATCTAGTGGAGTTGATGTCCAGAGGTCCAAGCTCATTATGGGAGACAGATAGAAGTATGGTCAGTCTGAAAGGTTTAGTAGTGGGGGTTTGGAGATCTAAGTCAGCCAGGAAGGCATGAGGAGCAAAGTCCCATGTGTATATTATATTGGAGAGGGTCTGAGTTCCAGGACACGCCCACAGAGACCAGACTAGGGACAAATATCAGAGTTTGAAGATTCAGAATGAATATATGAGTCCACACAAAAGTAGAACCAGACTCTGTAGTTCCAGGACAAAGAACATCTTGTTCTGGCCCTGGTTTTCAGGAACCTTCTCAATTGGCACTGAGGAGGACTAGTAGCTGACTAGTATCCTGGACTCTGTGAGGTGCTGCTTGTTTCAACAAAGCTTTGGCTTTTGCAGGAGCCCACAGAATCCAATGGGCTCTCAGAAAATCTCAATAAATCAATCTACAAATGTTTATTGCACATTGATCCTATATATTATATTGGGTGGGTGAGGACTAACTAGCCAACCAGAAAGCTGGTATCATGATAATTGCTATTCTGATTACTTCTGGGGCTCACATTCTAACGAATATGACATGGAGGTTGCTGGCTCTAAAGTTTGACACCTGGGTACACTCATGGATTCAAAAACAATTTTAGAGAGCACCTAAAAGGCACTAAGTCAGACACTAAGGCTAACAATAGTGCATAGGACACTACTTAGGAAATTCAATTCTAGTGAAAGGACAGACACGCAATTGAGACCTGGGGAGGCAGCACCATGACTAAAAGGACCACACAGCCCAGTTTGCTGGGAATAATCCCTGTTTATACCTATTGTCCTGGATTACATATTATAATATATAATAGTGCTCTCCTTTTACCCTCAGGTGGAGGTGGGATGGGCCAATGGTCTGTAATTAGAGGCTAAGAAAAGTAATGTAGTGTGCAACCTGACCCCAGAAAGGTGAAACCCAAACAGCCTTCATGCTAGCTATTTATCTGTCACTTCCTCCTCCTCTCTTTTAGGTCTTTTCTTTTTTTTGCCCTGCCTGGATACCTACCACAAGGTTGACCTTCGTCTCCAAACTCTGGAGATACCTTTTCATGAGGTAAGCCAAATGATGGCTTTTGCTTTCTCTATACATTTTCCATGGTCTACCTACCGTGGACAAAATGATTATTTATACTCAAAAATAGGAAAGAAAAATAATGATATGGACTACATCATAACTTAAAACTTTTGTGCATCAAAGGACACAATTAACAGAGTGCAAAGGCAATCTAGGGAATGGGGGAAAATATTTGCAAATCATATCTCATAAAGGGTTAATATTCAATATATATGAAGAACTCATACATCTCAACAACAAAAAAAGTAAACAACCTGATTTTAAAAATGGGCAAAGAACTTTGTGATAGTTAACCTTATGTGTCAGCCTGGCTAGGCCATGATCATTTGACCTATATTTGGCCAAACACATCTGGATGTTACTGTGAAGGTACTTTTTTAGATGGGATTAACATTTAAATCAGCAGACGTTGAGTAAAGCAGATTACCCTCCCCTAATGTGGGATGGGCCTCATCCAATTAATTGAAGGGCTCAAGAAAAAGACTGACCTCCCTTTGAGGAGGAAGGAATTCTTTCAGTAGAAAAGATAAACTCTTCCCTGGGTCTTCAGCCTGAAGATTTTAGACATGCTGGCTTCCATAAGCACATGAGCCAATTCTTTAAATCAGTATTTTTTTCTCTCCCCACCCCAGCATACCTATATGTGTACGTGTGTGTGTACATATATATGTATGATGAAACCTAAACACACACATACACATTCTATAGTTTCTCTAGAGAACCCTAATACGAACTTGAACAGACATTTCTCAAAGGATGACATCCAAAGAAGATGAAGATATATAAATGGGCAACAAGCATATGAAAAGATGCTCAGCATCACTACATTAGGAAAATACAAATCAATATCACAAAATATCACTTTACACTCATTAACATGGCTACTGTTTTTTTAAAAACCTGGAAAATAACAAGTGTTGAAGAGGATGTAGACAAATTGGAACCCTCGTGCACTGTTGGTAGGAAAATGTAAAATGGTGCAGCCACTGTAGAAAACAGTAGAGCAGCTCCTCAAAAAATTAAGAATAGAATTACTGTATGACCCAGCAATTCCACTTCTGCATATATACCTAAAAGAATTGAAAGTAGGGTCTTAAAGAATATTTATACAACTGTGTTCATAACAGCATTATTCACAATAACCAAAAGGAAGAAGCAACCCAAGTGTCTACTGATGACTGAAGAGATAAATAAAATGTGATATATAACCCACAATGGAACATTATTCGGCCTTAAAAAGAAAGGAAATTCTGACATTCTACAAGATAGATGAACCTTGAGGACATTATGCTGACTGAAATAAGCCAATCACACACACACACAAAATACTGTATGATCCTACTCATATGAAGCACCTAGAGTAGTCAAATTCATAGAGACTGAAAGTAGTATGGTGGTTGCAGGGGTTGAGAGAAGGAGAAATTGGAGAGTTATTATTTCATGGGTACAGAGTTTCAGTTTTACAAGATGAAAGAGTTATGGAGATGGATGGTGGTGATAGTTGCACAATATTATGAGTGTATTCAGTATCACTGGACTGTATACTTAAAAATGGTTAAGATGGTAAGTTTTATGGTATATGTATTTTAACACAATAAACAAAATTGGGGAAAAAAAACTCACCCCAATCCTGTTACCCATAGTTAACTGTTGATATTTTGGAGTATATCCTTTCAGATTTTTCAGTGTATGTGGTTATATTTACAGATGGGTATATATATATACACACATATATCATACCATATATACTGTTTTGTAATGTGTCTTTCTTAACCCAACAATATATTGTGATCATCTTTTCATATATTAGCTAAATGCTTCTATCTCTTTATTTTAAATGGACATACAGCATTTCATTTAGTGGCTGTATCACAATTTACTCAACCAATTCCCTATTGTTGATGTTAAATTCTTTCCAATTTGTATTCCAATTAGCAATACTGTGAGTAACATCCTTATAGCTAAATCCTTAAAATATGTCCTTATGATCAATATAAAAAGGGAAATGTTAAGACATCTTTCTAGGGCTTATGATGTATATCATCAAAGCATCCCCTAACGTACACTCTAGCGAGCAACACATTAGAGTGCTTGTTTCCCAGAACATGCTTCTCTTTTAGCAGATGCTTTATTTTGGTATCAGTTTAGAAAGACCTGGTTTGGAATCAACTGAATGTCTTCTTATGAGAAAATTATTTCTGATTTTTTTTACAAAAGGATTTACCACAGGATTAAGTTGTGCATTCTTTCGTGTATTTAATAAAAATTTCATAATTTTCAAAAACATGTCTATTTTAAATAAAGGGTAGGCCAACTCCATTTTTCTCTTGCGGAGAAAATTCACTTTGAACACATTTAGTTCCTCTAACCCCACATAGGAAAGGAGCCCAAGAATCAAGCCTGTCATCCAAACTTTTTTCTGCCTAGATCGTGACCAAAGACATGTTTATAATGGAGATAGATGCCATTTGCTACTACCGAATGGAAAATGCCTCTCTTCTCCTAAGCAGTCTTGCTCATGTATCTAAAGCTGTGCAATTCCTTGTGCAAACCACTATGAAGCGTCTCCTAGCACATCGATCCCTCACTGAAATTCTTCTAGAGAGGAAGAGCATCGCCCAAGATGCAAAGGTACTTAGATAAACATAATGGCCAATATGCTGAAATATTTATCTTTTATTCATTTGTTCATTGGACATTTATTAAATCTTCTATGGCCAGTTCCATCCCTTAGGGGCCATCCCTTTGGGAGCTCATAGCTAGTTAGGAGGTTGCCAAATTGACTCTGAGTCAATTATAGTTATCAGTATGGTGCTTGTTAATCAGTCATTGCCGCAGTTTTTGCTCTCAAACCTACTCCAGTGACTTTAAATTCATCTCCAAGTACTCACCTAGTATTAAGTATTCAGAATGATTGCTGGCAGGAACGGTGGGGTTGGTGGGGATGGACAGGAGGGGTTGGTACACAAAGATGATAAAGCATGGTTCCCAGGAGCTTACTGTCTACCTGGGGAAACAAGCATAATGAGTGCCAAGTTAAATAATAAGTTCAAATAAGACTTCCAGATAACAAAAGCTAAGATGTCATAGACCTTTACATGATGAATTACCCAATCCATTGTCTAGATTTAATCAATTTGGAATTAGAGGGGAAAGAGCAAGAACTGCTTCACAAGCAGCTCCCTCTAGTCCACAGACAGCAAGCTCAGCAAGCTCATTCACGGCCAGGGTCGGTGGCTTTGATTCTTACCAAGGCAGGTAGGCAACAGGTATTCAGAGGAGAAGTGAGAAGACAGCAGGATTCCAGGCAGCTGGCCAATGGAGTGGCAATTACCACCAGCAATGGAGCCTGTCACTGAAGCAGTGGGGACACCCAGGCCCAGAACTGGGTTAGGAGGTTGTGAACCATGGTAGTTGGAAGGAGGACCTCAAATAGAGGGACCCCAAGAATCAAAGGCACTGGTGGCAATTATGCTTTATGGGATGTCCCCCTTCACCCTCCTTTCCTTATTCATCCTTCTCCTTTAAAGGATAAAGTCCAGACACTTGACATTCAAGCTTGCCCTTGTTACACTGATTATAATATATATGCAAGTGTTCTTTGACTTATAAACCATCATAAAGCAAAAAATATCGTAAGTCAAAAATGCATGTATCCTAATAAACCCATGATAAAAGTCGAAAATTGTCAAACCATTGCAAGTTGGGGACCATCTATCTAAGACACTGGTTTTCCCAGACTACAACCTCCATAGCAGCAGGGGCTATGTTTTATCCATCTCTTGGTCCTCAGCACAGGCCTGTCACACAGCAGGTAGATAATGTTTTTTGGATAAATAAATAAATGACCCAACTATTCTAGTCTCACCTCTTGCCACCCTTCTCCCACTGAATCTAATACTCCAACCTACTTTAGCTTTTGTCCAGCATTCAGCACTTTTATGCTCCCATTGCCTCCTCTTGGGCTGTATCTTCTGCATCGAATACTTCCCTTTTCTCCACAGGCAAGATTTTATTTGTCCTTTAAGATGCCACCTATTCTGCGACGTCTTTATCAACATTCCTTACTCTCACCCACACCCCCAAATTAGTCTTCTCAAGGTTCTCAATGCACTATGCTTACTGTTTGTCTAACCACTAAAAAATAATGAGAAAAGAAGTGTAAAAAGAAGAGTTTGGGTCAACATGGAGAGCTCCATGCCCTGCCCCTCCTTTCCAGAATCCACAGTCGATTTTCTTCCCTCTCCTGTTTCCAACTTCAATCAAGGGGGTGGATGGGACTGAGAAGCAGGAGGAAACTGGAACCACCAGCATCAGCTGTAGAAGTGAAAACATCCTATAAATGAAAGACATCTGGAAGAGAGACTAGAGACTGGTTCTCAACTCAGTGCATTTTAAAACAGATTTTTAAAATATATCTGTATTAGTTCCTATTACTTCTGTAACAAACTACCACAAACATGGTGGCTTAAAACCAAACAAAAATTATTTTCTTAGTTTCGAAGACCACAGAGTCCAAAATCAGTTTCAATGGGCTAGAGTCCAGGTGTCAGCTGGACCAATTTCTTCTGGAGGTTCTGAGAGGAGAATCCGTTTCCTTGCCTTTTCCAGCATCTGGTGGCTGCCTGCATTTCTCAGCTCGTGGCACCTTCCTCCATCTTTAGAGTGCATCATTCCATTTCCTGCTTCTATCATCATGTCACCTTCTCTTCTTCTGTAGTCAAATCACCATTTGCCTCCCTCTTATAAGGACACCTATAATTACATTTAGGGCCACCTGGATAATCCAGGATAATATCCCCATCTCAAGAGCCTTTAACCTAATCAAACCAGCAAAATCCCTCTTGGGGTAACATTCACAGATTCCAGGGATTAGGACATGGGATATCTTTGGGGACCATTATTCAGCATACCACACCATCTTCAATTGCACAGATATTTATTGGGTGGCACCATGCAAGTTAAACAACTCTTTGCAAGGCACTGTGAAGTTAAATACAACAGGCAAATAATGTCCTTTCAAAGGGAATGTTGTTCCTTAGTACAGAACAATGGCCACCAGGGTTTAGGCATGCTCTCCTCCCACCTGGAGGCTCCCACTGACATCTGAATTCTTCTTTCCACAGGTTGCCTTGGATTCAGTGACCTGTATTTGGGGAATCAAAGTGGAGAGAATAGAAATGTGGGTAGGAAATTAACTAGCAAGAACTGTATGATAAAGGAAAATATTCTGGTTTCATTTTAAATTTTTCATTTGAAAAATTATTTTCACTGAGTACTATAGCCATATCAGCATAAATTTATAAAAAAGAGAAACAAATCACCTAATATCTTACAGCCATAACACAATCACTATAACATTTGGACAAATTACTCTGATTATTTTTTTCTCTATGAATCTAAAAATTGTTTTAGATAAAATTTACATGAAATTTCCCATTTTAGGCCAGGCGCAGTGGCTCACACCTGTAATCCCAGTACTCTGGGATGCCAAGGTGGGTGGATCGCTTGAGGTCAGGAGTTTGAGACCAGCCTGGCCAACATGGTGTAACTCTTGTCTCTACTAAAAATGCAAAAATTAGCTGGGCGTGGTAGCACATGCCTGTAATCCCAGCTACCAGGGAGGCTGAGGCAGAAGAATCGCTTGAACCCGAGAGGCAGAGGTTTCAGTGAGCCAAGATCATGCCACTGTGCTTCAGCCACGACCACAGAGCGAGACTCGATCTCAAAAAAAAAAAAAAAAAATTAGCCAGGGGTGTTGGCAAATGCCTGTAATCCCAGCTACTCAGGAGGCTGAGGCAGGAGAATCACTTGAACCCGGGAGGCGGAGGCTGCAGTGAGTCGAGATTGTGCATTGCACTCCAGCCCGGGTGACAGAGTGAGACTCTGTCTCAAAGAAAGAAAAAAAGAAATGTCACATTTTTGCTATTTTAAACTGTGGTTTTAGTATAATATATTTACTAAGGGGTACATCCATTACTATTATCTAATTTCAGAACATTTTCATCATCCCGAAAGGAAGCCTGTACTTGTTAAGTGGGAATCCCCCATGTACTCCTTAATCCCTGGCAACCACTAATTTAGTTTCTGTCTCAATGGATTTGCCTCTTCTGGACATTTCACATAAATGGAATCATACAATATATGGCTTTTTGTGTCTGGCTTCTTTTCACTTAGCATAATGTTTTCAACGTTCAACCATGCTTGAGCATGAATCAGTACTTCATTACTTTTTATGATCAAATAATATTTCATTGTGAGGCTATACCACATTTTATTGGTTCATCAGCTGATGGACATTTAGGTTGTTTCTGCTTTTTGGCTAGTATGAATAATGCTACAGCAAGCATTAATTTGCAAGTTTTTGAGTGAACACGTTTTCAATTATCTTGGGTCTGTATCTAGAAGTAGAATTACTAGGTCACATGGTAACTCCGTATTTAACTTTTTGAGGGGCAGCTAACCTGTTTTCCATATATGCATTTTTATAGTTATAATCAGGGTCAAAAGACAATTTTGTACCTTTTATGCAATACATTAAGCGTTGTTCTTATTTGGTCAGTTGTACCCTTTTCAAAATCAATTCTTCTCTTTTATAAACTTGGATGAATTCCCCTTATCTTTATTATCAGTAGTGTGGCTCTTCAAGCCATTGTTCAAATTTATTAGTTGGGGCTTAGATTATATCCTAAGCGGAAAAACTGAGCACAGCTCATCAATACAAAACCTGCTGTGCTGATAATGAGAAACTACAGCTCTACTGTAGCATCAGCAATAATACAAAACTGCATTTGAGGCATCGACCTTGGAGATCTGCCTACTTTTGACCTCAGAAGTCTAGGAATGGCACACTCTGGTCACTCCAAATTTGCTACTCATCATGAGACAGCAGTAGAGAGGCTTGCAAGTCTGTGTGAAAGCTTTGGCCCCTAAATCATGGCTGCACACCTACATACCTGCATTCTTTCTTTTTCAGTAAAGATGTGAGGTTGCCAGCTGGGCTTCAGCACTCACTGGCTGTGGAGGCTGAAGCGCAAAGACAAGCCAAAGTGCGGGTGAGCACTCCATCCTCCCACCCAGACTGCCCTTTAGGAAGGCCTGCTCGTGGAGAACATTTCCCCTTTGCTTCCTTACTGTCCATTCATTAGGCACTGGGCAGAAGCTGTCTTGGGCCCTTACAACTCTATTAAAATTGCTCTCTTAAAGTGTGTTAATAGTCCCCTGACTAATGCAACTCCTCTCCCTCTCTGAAGCTACTGATAATAGTGACCACTCACTGCTTGAGTCTCACCTTCCCTCTCTCTCCTTAAAGGCATCTCCTCCACACACATCAATCCCTCTTCTCTAGTGCTGGCATCTTTTCCTGGGTAATCGTAGTCACCCTAACTTCTAACTTCTAGGTATCCCCTAGAACTGTATCCCAAGCTTGGCACAAGTTTTAGAGGGACAACCACGATCAGGGCCCAGTTCCCTCAATGCTAGAGCCAAGAGAAGGCTGTGCTACTCGGCTCCACTCAGGCATGACAGCAAGAGGCAAAGATGTGGCAGCTAGCAGCTTCTGGTAACTGAGGTGTGGGTGAGGGGGCCTTGGGAAGAGGAAAGTGAAGAATGAAGGGAGGCAGATTTCTCTGAAAGAACAGAGAGCAGGTGAAGATAAAAACCTGAACCAGTAAGAGGATCATTGCCTGTGGATCACTGAGGGGAGGCGGGGATGAGGAAGGGGAGGAGGATAGTCCCCAGGGCAGTTGCTTCTAGATCTCTGAGTGAAGTCCTCTTCACCCACTTTCAGGTAGCATTTGTGTAGTGAGCTCAGCACTTTCACTTCAGAAATGTTTACCCATTCACTTTCCCTGAGTTGGGGGTCACCCTTTCATAACGTCATGCCTTTGCATGGAATGCTGGCTAATCTTTTCTCTATGTTGGCAAAATCCTAATCTTTCAAGGCCCACCAGATGCTAATAACTCCCCTAATACTTCATTTATACTTGTGATGGCTCCTAACGCATTCCACCTTAAATTGTGATTAACAGTTTAATCTGTCTCCCCAGCTCAAGACCCTTCAGAAAGAAGAATAAACATGTTCTATGCTTAACCGTGCTTGCCACATAGTAGATGCTCAGTGCTTGTCTGCTGAGTCATACTGCATAGTGGTGAAGCCTTCAGGGAATGAAGAACAATCACTTTGCTTTCGTCACATGTTTTCTAGATGATTGCTGCAGAAGCGGAAAAGGCTGCTTCTGAGTCCCTGAGGATGGCAGCTGAGATTCTGTCAGGCACCCCTGCTGCCGTTCAGCTTCGATACCTCCACACCCTTCAGTCTCTGTCCACAGAGAAGCCTTCCACTGTGGTTTTACCTTTGCCATTTGACCTACTGAATTGCCTGTCTTCTCCCAGCAACAGAACTCAGGGAAGCCTCCCCTTCCCAAGTCCTTCCAAACCTGTTGAGCCACTAAATCCTAAAAAGAAAGACTCTCCCATGTTATAGGAAGGATGGGGCATAATGTGACTGTAAAGGGGCCTGCCATAGAAAAGTCACATGCCTGAGGGAGACACTCTGTCCTCATTCCCTGCCCTTCCTTTGGTTGCCATATGGAATGGCCATGGAATGCACGAAGTCACAATGCACCATCCATGAGAAGACGGTGAAATGATGTAATGACAGAGAAGGCAGACAACATGTTTCCGTGACTCATCTAGTCAGAGCAATTATGGGAAACAGCTTTGGTCAACATTCTACTTTGGAAAGAATTTTGAGTCTAGATGTGGTTAAATTTTGACTTCTGGGAACTTGGTTCAGATGTCCCTTTCACTGTATGTCCTCTGACCCCTTTGGCAAGGTTGCCACAGCTCCCACAGCCCTTCCTACAAGCACCTATCATTGGGCTTGTCACACTCTATTGCTCTTCTGTCCCAAAGATGCAGTCTTCTCTCCAATGATACTACCAAGTCTTAGTTTTCCTCAACCACACTCAATCTTTTTGCTCCACCCTGAATTCCTCACACCTAACCCTGATAGTTACCTAAAGTGACACTTAAATGTTTCAGAGTGAATGCAAAAAAGAGAGATGTACTTGGAGTCGGATATACAATTTATCCCTAATTAAAGCATTTAAAAGGAATTCTTTTTGTGGAGATTCCTTTTTTAAATAAAGAAATAAATAAAAGGACAAAAACATCTGACACATGTGGCTTAAAATCTGAGGGAGAATCACTATAAATAGTGGGCCAGAGAGTAATCTATTTTCAGTATAGAACTTACCAGCTTGTTTATTTCTTCGAACAGTAATAATATTAGGTAACCTACACATGCCCTGACATATTGTTTTCTTATACAGATATTTCTTAATATAGATACATTTCTCTAAGTCTTATTTTCCATTAATTTGCATTATACAATTAGAAATGCATATCTGCAGAAAAAATAAGCCAATAAGAAAGCATATCTATACTTACAGCAAATTCTCTATAAACTTAAAAAAGTCACTAACATTATAAAACATTACTAACATTACTAAAATAATGTTAGTAAATTCTGAAGCCAAAGGAACAGGCAAATCTCTAAACTATGCAGGGGTGCCGAAATATGGAAATCCAAATGTGGAATCCAAATGGCTCTCATATCCAAATAAGTCAAAGGCAGGTAACAAAATCTACCAGACCCAGGAGTATGGTGTCAGAAACAAGAAAGCAAACACTGATGAAGCAGCAACAGGACATGGGTTGGGGAACTCCTAGGTGATTTCCTAGAATGTCTCATCATCTAGGATGTGGAGCTTGCTTTCATGGACCAGCCGGGGCATGATCATAGGTGGTTTAGCCCATTTAAAGGGTCAATGGCAATCAGAGCACTCCTGAAGTGGGAAATATTTCTCATTATCACTGTGTTGGCCCACACCCATTCCAGTGTATTGGTTATTGGAATTAAGATGGCACCGAGGGTTGTTGGTCACTTTTCACACCATATATGACGGTTCCTGATCTCAGGATAGCAAATTTTGGCATGTGTAATGAAGAAGAAGGTAGAGTCATGCTGGGTCAGGCATAACAGAAGCCAAAAGCAGAACAAGCAGAAGTGAACACCAGGGTAAAAATGGCTTTTATGACTCTTCATACTTCCTTATAACACTGGTTTTTTGTCAAAGGCAGATTTTGCTTGCATATCTGGGGAGTGCCTATGGTATCTCCTATTGTTTGGTTTCCTCTGATGTCTGGCACAGGTCAATATTTAAATTTCTCATTGGCATGCCAGAGGGCTTTCAGGTCTGCTTGCTGGCATGCGTTGTCTTTCAAATTAACCAACTGTTGCAGTTGGTGGGCTTGATAAGAAGGAAATCATAGCGATAAGTTGCTATAAAACTGTGTTTAGGTGAAAGAGTATAGTGGATAGTCAAAGGTAAAATTCTTCAGAAACTGGCTAGGTGAGCTGACCCAGGTGCTGCATTCCAACTGGTTACTAATTGTGAAATGATGGCTGGAGGACAAGCTGGAGAGTACAATCTAAAACCATGATATGTTCTAGGAATAGTTTTTTTTTTCCTGATAATTTAATATTAATAGAGTGGCAATAAGCTGATAAACAGGGATAAGATGTTCCAGTTTGGCATTGGAGCCTGCCATGACCAAAATGACATGCCCCTGAGAGTGGGAGAAGTCTATGGCACACTCTATGACAATGGTGTTCCAGGGCATTTGGAGCTGACAGTGATGTGGCATTGGTGTATTCAGACCTGAATTTATTATGCAAGCAGCTAGCTTAAGGGCTGGTATACTGCAGATTGTTGGGCTCAAAATCATCAGAAATGTGGAGGCTTTGAAGGCCTTCCTTAGAAATTCAAGGGCCACCATGGCTCACCAGTGGTGTTATGGTGCAATGGGCGCTCTGCAGTTTGGACTCTCCTATCTAGAAGGCTCAGCAGGTCATTCTGCCAATACGCCTGCATTCCACATCCTTGGGGACCATGTCTGGATGGCTCTGAGTAAGTATGCATCTCCTTGATGGACTGTTCCTGGCCACTACAATGTTCTTTGGCAGAGAGTCTATTGGAATTATGAGGTTCCAATAATTCTGGCTTTTGCACGGTAGCTGAGCTGAGCATTAAGTAAAGGACATGGAAGCCAAATCCTTTAAAAGAGAGGTCATCAACACACTTCCAACGGCTTCTTCTGGGCTTGGAAAGATATTACAGCACTATAGCTGGGAGCTTGGGGTCTGCTGTCAGACATATTAGATTTGATTCAGGCTCTACCATTTACTAACTGTTTAACCTTGGACATATTACTAATCCTGTGTATAAATGGGGATAAAAGTAGGATCCACCTCACAGAGTTGTGATTAAATAAGATAATGCATATGATATGCTTAGCACAATGCTTGCACAAGGTAAATTCTTAATAAATAATGGTGATTACTATTATTCTGGTTTTACTTCAGTAG